>NC_000007.14:65537082-65840112 GCF_000001405.40 Homo sapiens
ACACATGGACACAAGGAGGGAAACATCACACACCAGGGACTGTCAGAGGGTGGGGGGCTCGGAGAGGGACAGCATTAGGAGAAATACCTAATGTAGATGATAGGTAGACGGGTGCAGCAAACTACCATGGCACATGTATACCTATGTCACAAACCTGCACGTTCTGCACATGTATCCCAGAACTTAAAGTATTCAGAAAAAAATTGATATCATAGAGGCAGAGAGTATAACAGTGGTTAGCAGACACTGGGGAGGGGAGGGAGTAGGAGAGAATGGGAAGAGACTGGACAACAGATACAAAGTCACAATTAAGAGAAATAAATTCTGGTGTTCAACTGCACATAAAGGTGACTATGATTAACAGGAAAATATTGTATATTACAAAATATACAATATTATAGCTGTAAGAGAGGCTGTTGAAAGTTCATGACAAAGAAATGATAAATATATGATGTGATAACTATACTAACTATCCTGATTGGATTAATATTCAACATAGATGTGTATCAAAACATCAACTTGTGCCCCATATATACAATGTGTCAATTTTTGTTTGTTTGTTTTATTATACTTTAAGTTTTAGGGTACATGTGCACAATGTGCAGGTTAGTTACATATGTATACATATGCCATGTTGGTGTGCTGCACCCATCAACTCGTCATTTAACATTAGGTATATCTCCTAGTGCTATACCTTCCCCCTCCCCCCACCCCACAACAGGCGCTGGTGTGTGATGTTCCCCCTCCTGTGTCCATGTGTTCTCATTGTTCAATTCCCACCTATGAGCGAGAATATGCGGTGTTTGGTTTTTTGTCCTTGCGATAGTTTGCTGAGAATGATGGTTTCCAGCTTCATCCATGTCCCTACAAAGGAAATGAACTCATCCTTTTTTATGGCTGCATAGTATTCTATGGTGTATATGTGCCACATTTTCTTGATCCAGTCTGTCATTGTTGGACATTTGGCTTGGTTCCAAGTCTTTGCTATTGTGAATAGTGCCACAATAAACATACGTGTGCTTGTGTCTTTATAGCAGCGTGATTTATAATCCTTTGGGTATATACCCAGTAATGGGATTGCTGGGTCAAATGGTATTTCTAGTTCAAGATCCCTGAGGAATCGCCACAGGTACCAAAACAGAGATATAGATCAATGGAACAGAACAGAGCCCTCAGAAATAATGCCGCATATCTACAACCATCTGATCTTTGACAAATCTGACAAAAACAAGAAATGGGGAAAGGATTCCCTATTTAATAAATGGTGACGGGAAAACTGGCTAGCCATATGTAGAAAGCTGAAACTGGATCCCTTCCTTACACCTTAGACAAAAATTAATTCAAGATGGATGAAAGACTTACATGTTAGAACTAAAACCATAAAAACCCTAGAAGAAAACCTAGGCAATACCATTCAGGACCCAGGCATGGGCAAGGACTTCATGTCTAAAACACCAAAAGCAATGGCAACAAAAGCCAAAATTGACAAATGGGATCTAATTAAACTAAAGAGCTTCTGCACAGCAAAAGAAACTACCATCAGAGTGAACAGGCAACCTACAGAATGGGAGAAAATTGTTGCAATCTACTCATCTGACAAAGGGCTAATATCCAGAATCTACAATGAACTCAAACAAATCTACAAGAAGAAAACAAACAGCCCCATGAAAAAGTGGGCGAAGGATATGAACAGACACTTCTCAAAAGAAGACATTTATGCAGCCAAAAGACACAGGAAAAAATGCTCATTCATCACTGGCCATCAGAGAAATGCAAATCAAAACCATAATGAGATACCATCTCACACCAGTTAGAATGGTGATCATTAAAAAGTCAGGAAACAACAGGTGCTGGAGAGGATGTGGAGAAATAGGAACACTTTTACACTGTTGGTGGGACTGTAAACTAGTTCAACCAATGTGTCAATTTTTAAAAATTAATTAATTTTTAATGAAAGATTATACACAAATCACTTGATCCCAGGTTTATCTACTGGAGAGCTGGAGTAGGGCAGCTTTACCTCTTAGCTTGCACAGAGATACTAATAAACCAGCAGGGCCTTAACTGGCCAATCCCAATGTGTAACTGGATACTCACCAGGAAAGGATTATACATGGGCTTTAGATTATGAAGTTTGAAGTCCTCATCTATCATTTACTATCTGTGCGGTCTCAGAAAAATTATACCACATTCCTAAATTTTAATTTTGCTATTTATAAGTAATACATTTACCTCAGAGAGTTTAAAAAGATTAAAAGTTACTTGCAAAAGTATGCAAATGAGTTAGGCATGTGTGCTTGTATATAAAGAAGTGGGTTAATATTTATGTGTGAATATGTGTGTATTTATGTGTGTATGTATGACTAAAAATGCCTCATTTAGTAGGCCAGGAACTCTATACATAGTAGTAATTATTATTATCAGCAAGGTAAGAATGATTATTATTTCTGAATACAAACATAATTACTTATATAATTTGAAGCTGTTCGGATTTAACATGGAATTATAACACAAGGCATGTGACTCAAGTTAGAGTCATTCAAGTAGAAATCCTTTCAATGTACCATATGTTATACATACAACTTTATGCAAATAAATTTCAGATCCTATAGAGTACAAAACTGAAAATTTTGAATGTTTCTTACTTTAAGGATTACTTTTTAAAACTGCCTATTCAGGTAAAGATATATCATTAATTTACTCCTCTAAAACATCTTTCTCTTCCCCACTCCCACCTAGAGTTCGTTGTAGATCCTCTGTAAATGCCAAATGAAAGGATCTGATGAATGATTAGACTGTTCTGAATTTTAAAACATTCATAACCCAAAAGAAAGTTTTAAAATATGAATTCAGAAATAAAATCAGTAACAGCTGGCTTGTTTAACTCTAATATGCACAAGAGTGGAAATACTCCAATCATCCATTACTATATCTCATGAAAATGCTTCACACAGGTTTCAGCAAGTACTCCCATAAATACTGGTCACAGGACTAAAGCTATCACTGGATCAGTGTCCAGTACAGTCAGAAACAAAGCATTCAGCCAACAGTCTCACCAAGAGTGGCAGGGCTGGGGGCACTCAAAGGGGAAGTGTCCAAAAAGAATCACAGATTTTCCTGCTGTGACACGTATACAAATTTTTATAGATACTTACACACACATATAGTTATATACTATGCCCCCATCCACCCTACATAGTATAGTACTTTTTAGTTTATAAACATTTTCATAGACTGTATCTCATTTGAGCATCATGACAACACTGTCAGGTAAATATGAGAGATATTAGAACCCCACTTAACAGATGAGGAAACTGAGACTAATATCAAGTGACATATACAAGGTAACACAGATATAAAATAAGGCTATTAGGCCAACACTCTATTACAAAACAATTTTATCCCTTAAAAGTTAAACAATTTTTTTTTTGAGACAGGGTCTCGCTCTTTTGCACAGGCTGGAGTGCAATGGCACAATCTCAGCTCACTGCAACCCCTGCCTCCCAGGTTCAAGTGATTCTCCCACCTCAGCCTCCAGAATAGCTGGAACTACAGGTGTGTGTCATCACACCAGGCTAGTTTTTGTATTTTTAGTAGAGATGGGGTTTCACCATGTTGGCCAGGCTGGTCTCGAACTCCTGACCTCAAGTGATTTGCCCGCTTCGGCCTCCCAAAGTGCTGGGATTATAGGTGTGAGCCACTGCGCCTCTGCCTCCCGGGTAACCTCTGCCTCCCGGGTAACCTCTGCCTCCCGGGTTCAAGCGATTCTCCTGTCTCAGCTTCCCAAGTAGCTAGGACTAGAGGCGTGCACCACCACGCCCAGCTAATTTTTGTATTTTTAGTAGAGACGGGGTTTCACCATGTCGGCCAGGATGGTCTCAATCTCTTGACCTCGTGATCCGCCCACCTTGGCCTCCCAAAGTACTGGGATTACAGGCGTGAGCCACAAAAGTTAAAAATTTTCAATAAATGTGCTGAGTCCTCAAAAAGAAAACAGAAAAGTACCAGGCTAAAAGATGCAAGATCAGGATCTGACCTCACTCTACAATTTTCTGTCTGTATAAGCTGGATAACTTACTTAACTCCTCAGAGCCTTAGTTTTCTCATCTAGAAAATGATAACAGCATTTAAAAAAATTTTTTTTAAATTTTATTTTTTGAAAAATAGAGATGGGATCTTGGTGTGTTGCCCAGGCTGGTCTTGAACTCCTGGGCTCAAGTGACCCACCCACCTCGGCCTCCTAAAGTGCTAGGATTATGGGCATGAGCCACCATGCCCCAACTGGATAATGGCATCTATCTTGCAGGATTACTGTAAAGAGAAAATGAGAAAATATATGTAAGGGGCCTCCTTCAAATTATCTAAGATAGTGGTCCCCCACCTTTTTGGCATCTGGGTTCAGTTTCATGGAAGAAACCAGAGAGGGTAGTGAAGCAGGGTGGTTTTAGGATGAAACTGTTCCACCTCAGATCATCAGGAATTAGACTCTCACAAGGAGCATGAAACCTAGATCCCACACATGCTCAGTTCACAATAGGGTTCACACTCCTATGATAATCTAATGCAGCTGCTGATCTGACAGCAGGCAGCACTCAGGCAGTAATACTTGCTCATCTACCACTCACCTCCTGTTGTGTGGCCTGGTTCCTAACAAGCCATGGACCAGGACTGGTCCACAGCCTGGGGGTTTGAGCCTCCTGAACTAGGACATAACAAGTGCTTAATAAATGGGAAAAACTTTTTTTTTATTGTTTTCCTTTTTCTCTAGGCTCCGGCTATCTTAATTCCTAGTAGGGTTAATAGAATTATGTTTTAAGATTCTTTCTAGTTCTAAAAGTGAACAGGAGAGTGAACTATTTCTTTCTATATTAAGAAATTCTGGGGCTGGGAGTAGTGGCTTAAACCTGTAATCCCAACAATTTGGGAGGCCAAGGCAGAAGGATCACTTGAGCCTAGGAATTCAAGACCAGCCTGGGCACAAAGCAAGACCCCATCTCTACAAAAAATACAAATTAGCTAGGCAGGGTGGCACATGCCTGTAGTCCCAGCTACTCAGGAGGCTGAGGTGGAAGGATCGCTTGAGCCTGGCAGGTCGAGGCTGCAGTGAGCCGTGACTGCACCATTGCACTCCTGCCTGAGCAACAGAGGAAGACCCTGTCTCAAGAAAAGAAAAAGAAAAAGAAATTCTGGGGTTTTAAATTCAGGTCACACTGCCCCATCTGTAGTTTCTCAAAATGTTTGTAAAAACTTAACAAGCAATGTGTTCATTTAAAAAAAGGATTATTGGCTGGGTGTAGTGGCTCACATCTATAATCCCAGCCTTTTTTTTTTTTTTTTTAAGATGAGAGTCTCCTCCTTGTCACCAGGCCGGAGTCCAGCAGCGTGATCTTGGCTCGCTGCAACTTCCACCTCCGGGTTCAAGCGATTCTCCTGCCTCAGCCTCCCAAGTAGCTGGGATTACAGGCGTGCGCCACCATGCCCCAGCTAATTTTTGTATTTTTAGTAGAGACGGGGTTTTACCATGTTGGCCAGGATGGTCTCAATCTCCTGACCTCGTGATCCACCCGCCTTCGCCTCCCAAAGTGCTGGAATTACAGGTGTGAGTCACCGCACCCAGCCTATAATCCCAGTCTTTTGGGAGGCTGAGGCAGGAGGACTGCTTGAGGCCAAGAGTTTGAGACCAACCTGGGCCACACAGGCCTCATTTCTACAGAAAAGAAAACAAATAAATATATACATGCATTCATACATACATAAAAAGTATAACTTACCAACAGTTTTGCTGCCTGAACATGAACCACCCAAGAGCCATCACTGACCATGTGACAAATTTTTCCAAACGCATCATCAACTAAGCGTATTTCTTCATTAGAAGAAGGAATTGGGACAATGCTAAATTAAAAGAAAAGAAATGAAATCACTTAGAACAAAACATGAACCTAAGTCTGCAGATTCAGGCCATGCACAGTGGCTCACATCTATAATCCCAACACTTTGGGAGGCCCAGGCAGGTAGATTGCTTGAGCCCAAGAGTTCAAGACCAACCTGAGCAATATGGCAAAACCTCATCTCTACAAAAAAAATACAAAAATTAGCTAGGCATGGTGGCATGCGCTGATAGTCCCAGCTACTTGGGAGGCTGAAGTGGGAACATAACTTTAGCTCTGGAGGTGAAGGTTGCAGTGAGCTGAGATCACACCCCGGCACTCCAGCCTGGATGACAGAGCAAGACCCTGTCTCAAAAAATAAATACAGTCTGGGTGCAATGGCTCACGCCTGTAATCCCAGCACTTTGGGAGGCTGAGGCAGGTGGATAACTTGAGGTCAAGAGTTCGAGACCAGCCTGGCCAACATGGTGAAACCTCCTCTCTACTGAAAATATAAAAATTAGCTGGGCACAGTGACACATGTCTGCAATCCCAGCTACTCAGGAGGCTGAGGCAGGAGAATCGCTTGAACCTGGAAGGTGGAGGTTGCAGTGATCCGAGATAGTGCCACTACACTCCAGCCTGGGCAACAGAGCGAGACTCCATCTCAAATAATAATAATAATAATAATAAACAAATAAATACATAAGTAAGTAAGGCTGCAGGCTCAATAAACTGAGAACAGTCAATGAAGACTGACACACACAAAAATGATAATTGAATAGTTCAAATCCTAGAATGATTAAATACAGTTTGAAATAAACAAATCACTCTAGGAGTACAAACCAACTCTTTCAGTTGCATTGCAAATTATGCTTTTTTTTTGAGACAGGGTCTCACTTCTGTCACCCAGGCTGGAGTGCAGTGGCATGAGCACTGCTCACCGCAGTGTCAACTTCCTGGGCTCAGGTGATCCTCCCAGTTCACTCTTCTGAGTAGCTGGGACTACAAAAGCATGCCACCACACCCAGCTAATTTTTTATATTTTTAGTAGAGACGGTTCACCATGTTGCCCAGGTTGATCTCAAACTCCTGAGATCAAGCAATCCGCCCGCCTCAGCCTCCCAAAGTGCTAGGATTACAGGGCTGAGCCACTGCAATCAGGTGCAAATTTTCAATGTATTGAATAAAAGTGTGTAACTCACCAAAGGTTCAGCCAGGCGTGTAATCCCAGCACACTGAGATACTGAGGTGGGCAGATTACCTGAAGCCAGGGGTTCAAGACTAGCCTACCCAACATGGCAAAACCTCATCTCTACTAAAAATACAAAAAATGAGCTGGGTGTGGTGGGGCACAACTGTAATTCCGGCTATTTGGGAGGCTCAGGCATGAGAATTGCTTCAACCCAGGAGTTGGAGGTTGCAGTAAGCCGAGATCACATCACTGCACTGCAGCCTGGGCCACAGAGCAAGACCCTGCCTTAAAAAAAAAAAGTACGTAACCCACCAAAGGTTCAAAGATTTATGAAATTATCAAAAACTAGCTTCCACCGAATATTTCATATCCTTAAGTTTATTATCTTCTGTAACTGAAATTCTTCTTCTTCTTCTTTTTTTTTTTGAGAGAAAGTGTCTTGCTCTGTGACCCAGGCTGGAGTGCAGTGGTGCGATCTCAGCTCACTGCAATCTCCACTTCCCGGGTTCAAGCGATTCTCCTGCCTTAGCCTCCCTAGTAGCTGGGATTACAGGCGTGTGCCACCATGCCCGGCTAATTTTTGTATTTTCAGTAGAGATGAGGTTTCACCATGCTGGCCAGGCTGGTCTTGAACTCCTGACCCGAGGTGATCCGCCCACCTCGGCCTCCAAAAGTGCTGGGATTACAGGCACCACCGTGTCCAGACTGAACTTCTATAAATACATTAAATCTCAGAATAAATCAATATAAAACTTACTTATCAATCCAGTCCTAAAAGAAGAGACAATTTCCACTTAGCCCTTTTCTTTGTATGTGTCTAAGTCCTAAAATGGAGTCTACTACAAATGGAGCCTACTCCTACAGGTTTATTAATCCATTCTGGTTTTCAAATTTTGGCAGTTTAATGAAGAGGAAAAAACACCTCTTTTTCCTATACAAGGAAAAATAAAATATTCTATAAATATTTATAAATAAAAGATAAATATTTATAAATGTAATATTCTATCTTACAAAATATAATAAATAATATTGCCTACCTCCTCAAAGAATCACTGTGGTTAACTTAATTGCTGTGAAAATATTTTTAACCAGGAAAACTACATAAGAGATCATTATTCTCAAACTCATCTGGTATCTTTGTCTGGCATTTGGCGCAAGCCAAACTAAAATGGGTCCCAAACAATTTTAAAGATTTTTTTGTAAAGTACTGAAAACCATTTAAGAAAGATATTCCAATTTCTTCACTTATGGATGAGAAGATTAGGACAAAAGAAGTGTCTTTCCGAAGGTGTACAGAAAGTTCCTATCAGAGATGAAAAATGAGGACCAGGCAATCTGATTTTCAGGGCCTGTGCTTTTCCCTTACTCCCCATTGCCTTCCAAAAATCTAACCAACATTTCTTTTCTAGAAGTGGGCTTTTTGCATGGTGAGAGGAGAGGAAAACGGCTTCACAATCAACAAAAGCCAGCTTACACCCGCACTGACCTTTCAGGATAGAGCTGACTGACAACCCAGATAAGCTAGACTGCAGCACTGCGCACTTGTTCATAGTCATCAGAGAGTAATTTACAGGCCTGCAAAGAAGAATTCCAAAAGTCTATTAGTTCTGTGTCCTCTCAGGCAATGTTTAAACTATTTTCAAAGTGAAGATATAGGGTAGTTGGATAAGGATGCCCAGTAAAACACTTGTGTGTGGTTTTAACTTCTTGAATCTTTGCTTAAAAATGAATCTTGACCTCTGTCAGCTGCTCTGGCTATATTCTGACTATGCACTCTACCCCACATCTGGAAGGAGAATCACAGACTGACGGCATAAAAACATCTAGAACAGATCAAACCCAGCAAAGCATGCTGGGAGCCCACAGTACTGTTCTCACAGGCTCAAACACCAATTATGGGTTTTTCCTCCCCCTGTAAAAATCAAAGCGCACACTTCTGTTTACCTTGGTCTGAAATCATTGGCCTCTGTTTCAATCCACTCACTCTTTCTGGGTAGCCCCATACTCCCTAAATACTGATGGCTCCGAATACCTACCCTTAGCTCTGATTTCTCCTGATCTCCAGACCTTTATAACTACTTATGGCTGGAATTCTCTTCACGGATGTCCCATCAAACTTTTGTACCCAACACACGCAAACCTGAACTCATTAAGGAAGCAAATTCTACCTTATATCTTAAATTCTACACTATCAGTCCATCCTCACTCCCTTGATGCTGTCATTACTGCTTGCCTAGATTACTAACAGAGTCTTATGCCACCAAACATCTGAATCAGCCAACTAACTTCCGTTCCTCTGAGTCCTTACTATCCAAGTTTCCTTTAAATTACTTGGCTTCCCACATAGTATCAAAAAAAAAACCAAAAAAAAAACCGAGGAAATAGTACATGAAAAAGCAGAATTAAAACAACTGAGTATATGTTTAAAACTGCAAAAGGTCACTTTTTCAGAAAAATATTAAAATATTAAATCTAACAAATATCTAGGCAGATTGATGGAGAAAAATACAGAAAATGCACAAAAAAACCAATTACCTGGAATGTGAAGGATACAAAACGTCAGCAGTTGTAGATTTTAAATAAGCAATGACTTTGAGTTCGACCATGATTGGGTATATTGAAAAGAATCTCTCAGAAAAAAAGAAAAAGAAAACTGTTATAAAGCTATGTACAAAATGTTAAGCACTATTGAAGTCTTCCAATTCTACCAGTTATGGAGTTATTGGTCTTGGACTAATTCTCCTGAAAAGAAAAAAACAAAACAAAACAAAAAAAACTAAAAACTGGGATAAAATAGCCTACCGTGGGCACTGGCAATGCAACCGAGCACGTAGGACATGGGTGCTACATTCTCTTTGTCAGAACACAAAGCATTCATACACTCTTCTCACCCTCACTCTCACCTTTTAATCTTAGATCTACTATTAAAAGTATTCAACATTACTATCAATCCTTTGGTCAAAATTTCTTTACTCACATTTTGCTTGATGCACTTGGATAGACTGTTCAAGAAAGTGTGAGTAGTGAATTCCTCAAACTCTTGCATATTTAAAATTACATTTTTGAGCCTTGATGCTTGAAGTGTAGCTTGGGTAACGGGTGGGCTTTAAGCCAATTTTGGCATGCAAGGGGTTGAGTTTATTAGGCATCAGCACCGCTGAAAATCGTGGGGATGCAGGCTTAATTTCAACACTATTCTAAATACTTGAAAGATATTATATAACTCTTTAATAAACTCCTGTGTCTACAAATGGTTCACATTAACTCAATATCCAAGATTAAACATCTATAAAATCAAGGCACTGTTATTTAGTGGAGACTTGCTGGTTATTCTATGAGAGGAGGTATTGTTATTGTAATCTCATCCTCTCATAAAAGTGTATCATATTACTCATAACCAGCCCTTCATATTCTATTCCTATTTTGGTATTTAAAAATAAGATATCTTTGAAACACTTGAATTCAAAGAGGGAATCTGAATAGTTTTTAAAATGTCAATGAAATGCCATTTCTTCATGCTTGAACAAATACAAATTGACTAAAGTGCTTCTCTTCAAACTTTCTGGAACATTTTTTATCTAAATTCTAGGAACAATCACAATAGGTTTTAACCACAAATGTGAGAATGTTCTAAACGTTAGGGTGGAAAATTTTTAAAATAATTTTATAGTAATTTTTTCATCATAGTGACAGTGTGCTAAATTTTTTTCAGTCAAATATTACTGTGGACATTTAAGTCAAGATTCTAAGAAGCTGTTCTACAGTCCAAAATTTAGTTTCATATACAATGATATTATACATATATTTGCATATAAAATTAATATATGTGAGCCATGTTTCAAATAGTTGAGAGATTATTATATCAAAGATTCTTGATTATATAAAATGCCAATTACTTATAGGCACACATGCTTTTAATAATTACAAAGGCAGCTGTGGTTGATTCTACTCTTGCTACTGGCATTTATATGGACATAACATTATGGTCTGAAGAATATTTAGGCAAATTTATCCCTCATATGATCAGAAGAACAATGCAAGATAGTTTATATCTGAAAGGAAAAAACCTTTATATGGTTCTGAAAGCCTAAATCCTTAACAACTTGCATAATAATTAGCATAAAAATACACAAACATGCCCTCTTCCTAGCAGTAAGTACACAGTGATAACAGAATCAAAGCATGTGGCTATGTGCATGTTTATATTTCAAGACGCAGAGCACTCTATTCCTCTTCTCTGTCCTTTCTAGATGGCACAATTCCTCATGAATCTAAGTGCAGTCATAGGGTGGATTAGGGTGACCTGCCATTTGTATGCAACTGATCTCTATTTTGGAAGCAATTAATGTAAAAATATATTTTTACAAGATAATTTCAAATTTCAGGGCAAACTAGCATGGTTTCACTCCTTTTCTTTGTAACATTTTTTCTAAGGTTGGAAAAGTAAGGCTTTAGTACGATTTTTAATAATAAGTTTTCAAAGTGAGACGCAAAATGGTGGCGCCAACACATTTCAAGTCTGCTACATTTTGAATACACTTATTGGAGAAAAGACCTTCTCATCATTTTTCTCTTACAGGAAAGGAAATAACATGTACAGTTGACCCTTAAGCAACACGGAGGTTGGGGTGCTGGCCCCCCTACACAGTAGAAAATCCACTATAACTTTGACTCCCCCAAAACTTAACTACTAATAGCCTACTGTAAGCCTTACAAATAACACAAGCAGTCAATTAACACATATTTAATATGTTATATGTCTTATATACTGTATTCTTAACAAACATGCCAGAGAAAAGAAAAAGAAAATCATAAGGAAAATATATTTACTAGTTATTAAATGGAAGTACATGATCAAACAGGTCTTCATCCTCATCCTTTTCATGGGCAGGGTGTGGAGAAGGATGTAGAATTGTTGGTTTTGCTAAGTGGACCTGCACAGTTCAAACCCCTGTGGTGCAAAGGCCAACTGTAAAGCCATTGAATAGCAATTTAGTTTTAGAAATTAACCTCACTAAAATACTCTTAGAAGGATGCCAAGAAAAAAAATGAATAAGTATTTTTGGTTCATCTATTTCATCATTTCATTTAATTTCCTCATTTCATTTCATCCTTTCATCATTTCGTTGCATCATTTCATTTCATCATTTCATCTCATCATTTCATTTCATTCTTTCATCATTTCATCTCAACATTTCATTTCATCATTTCACTTCATCTCATCATTTCATCATTTCATCTCATGATTTCATTTCATCTCATTTCATCTTTTCATCTCATTTCATCTTTTCATCTCATTTCATTATTTCATCCTTTCATCATTTTGTTGCATCATTTCATCTCATCATTTCATTTCATTCTTTCATTTCATTTCATCCTTTCATTTCATTTCATCATTTCATCTCAACATTTCATCATTTCACTTCATCTCATCATTTCATTTCATCTCATTTTATTTCATCTTTTCGTCATTTCATTTCATCATTGCATCTTTTCATCTCAATTCATTTTTCATCAATTCATTTCATTTCACTTATTTCATCATTTCATCATTTCACTTCATTTCATTTAATATCATTTCATCATTTCATATCATTTCATCATTTCATCTTTCCATTTCATCATTTCATCATTTGACTTATCATTTCATTTCCTCATTTCATCATTTCATTTCATTGCATCCTTTCATCATTTCATCTCATTTCATCCTTTCATTTCATTATTTCATTTCATCATTTCATCTCATCATTGCATTTCCTCATTTCATCATTTCACTTCATCTCATTTCATAATTTCATCTCATGATTTCATTTCATCTCATTTCATCTTTTCATCTCATTTCATCATTTCATCTTTTCATCTCATCATTTCATCAATTCATCATTTCATCATTTCGTTAATCATTTCACTTCATTTCATCATTTCATATCATTTCTTCATTTCATCATTTGATCTTTTCATTTCATTTCATCATTTCACTTCATCATTTCATTTCTTCATTTCATTTCCTCATTTCATTTCACCATTTCATCATTTCATTTCATCATTCCATTTCATCATTTCATCATTTCATTTCATCTCATCATTTCATTATTTCATCAATTCATTTCATTTACTTCATCATTTCATTTGACTTCATTTCATCATTTCATCATTTAATATCATTTCATCATTTCATTTCATATCATTTCATCATTTCATCTTTCCATTTCATCATTTCATCATTTGACTTATCATTTCATTTCATCACTTCATCATTTCATTTCATCCTTTCATCATTTCATCTCATTTCATCCTTTCATTTCATTATTTCATTTCATTTCATCTCATCATTGCATTTCCTCATTTCATCATTTCACTTCATCTCATCATTTCATAATTTCATCTCATGATTTCATTTCATCTCATGATTTCATTTCATCTCATTTCATTTCATCTTTTCATCTCATTTCATCATTTCATTTCATCTTTTCATCTCATCATTTCATTTCATCAATTCATCATTTCATTATTTCATTAATCATTTCACTTCTTCATTTCATATCATTTCTTCATTTCATCATTTGATCTTTTCATTTCATCATTTCATTTCATTTCATCATTTCACTTCATTTCATTTCTTCATTTCATTTCCTCATTTCATTTCACCATTTCATCATTTCATTTCATCATTCCATTTCATCATTTCATCTCATCATTTCATCCTTTCATTTCATTATTTCATCTCATCATTTCATCTCATCATTTCATCATTTCACTTCATCTCATCATTTCATCTCATGATTTCATCTCATCATTTCATCTCATGATTTCATTTCATCTCATCAATTCATAGCATCTTTTCATCTCATTTATTTCATTTCATCTTTTCATTTCGTCATTCATTTCATCATTTCGTCAATTCATTTCATTTCCTTATTTCATCATTTCATTATTTCACTTCATTTCATCATTTCATTCCATCATTTCATATCATTTCTTCATCATTTCATCATTTCATTTCACTTCATTTCACCATTTCATCATCATTCCATTTCTCATTTCATCTTATCATTTCATTTCATCATTTCACTTCATCTCATGATTTCATCATTTCATCTCATCATTTCATCTTTTCATCTCATTTCATTTAATCATTTCATTTCACCTTTTAATCTCGTCATTTCATTTCATCATTTCATGTCATCAATTCATCATTTCATTTCATTATTTCCTCATTTCATCATTTCACTTCATCACTTCATTACATTTCATCTCATCATTTCATATCATTTGTTCATTTCATCATTTCATCTTTTCATTTCATTGTTTCACTTCATCATTTCATCATTTCATATCATTTCTTCATTTCATCATTTCATCTTTTCTTTTCATCATTTCATTTCATTATTTCACTTCATCAGTTCATTTCATCATTTCATTTCATTTCCTCATTTCATTTCACCATTTTGTTTCATCATTTCATTATTTCATTTCATCATTCGATTTCATCATTTCATTTCATCATTTTATCATTTCATTTCATCTCATCATTTCATCATTTCATCATTTCATTTCATTTCATCATTTCATCATTTCGTTTCTTCATTTGATCATTTCATTTCATCATTTCATTTCATTTCAGTGATACATGTATTTAAGTGCTAATGTGATGCCCAGGAGACACCCTATTTCCCTTTGTAAAACACCTCCTTCAACAAAAGGCAACCTCTCATGGCTGGCTAAGTCTACAGGGATACCAGCCTCTCTTCAACCACCCAGTTTGATTTAGAACCTCAAACAGCACCTCAGTTTCATAAAAACCTAAAACATAAAACACAACACTTGGTTGTAAGTGAGCCAACAGTTTCTTGTCTCTTTCTCTGCTCAAGGCTTAAGGCCGTGTCTCCCCAACTACGTTCAGTGGAAGAAAAGATCCCCTGGACAAATAAGTTTGAGAACTGTTGTTGCAGGACTTCTCAGAACCTTTAAAACACAAATCCTCATCCGCAGGGATCTTCAGGAGGGAGATGGCTGGTGCAGCACAACTTTCTTTCACAGGAGCATCTTGCAGAATACAGTATGAGATACAGAAAGGCTGCACTGAGTCTTTTTAAGGGCCCGGGCCTTGGTGCGGGTGGGGAAGGAGCTCTCCAGATAGCATCTAATGAGTAGGAACATTCAGGTGGCTTTTTTTTTTTCCTTATTGGCAAAACTGTGTGTGCACCATGAATGAAGCTGGACTCCCTTATCCATATCAAAACTAAACCCAAATTAATTGGCTAAATTGGGACTCAACACCTCCAGGAGCCACATGGAAGAAAGCCCCACCACACTTTAAAGTAGCTTACCTCATCATATTTGAGGAAAGCAAAACGCTTATGACCAGTATGCTGCTAATACAAGTCTACAGATAATGCTGTATGAAAAATTATTTTTCCCAATCATGGCTGGCATAGTCCACATTTTGCATTACACTTTCCCCCCTTTTTTTAAATTTTAAGCACAGGTCTTTTTTTCTTCTTTTTTTAAATTTTAATTTAATTATACAAGACGGAGTCTCAGTATGTTGCCCAGGCTGGTCTTGGACTCCTGAGCTCAAGTGATACATCCGTCTCCGCCTCCCAAAGTGCTGGGATTACAGGCCTGAGACACTGTGCCCGGCCTTAAACACAAATCTTAATTCATTCTTACAACTATCCTGAGGTTAGAAAAATGGAAGGGGAAGAAAAATGGCAAGCAGGCAGGCTGACTTCGGCTTCATTATTTGGAAGGACAGTTTGCTTGGTTAAAACACACTACTGCCCACAAAGGCCAAGACAACAGAAAAATACAGACTTATATAAATAGATTTTATATGTGACAGCAGTTTGAATGGAGACTTTTTCAATGCAAATGACAAACAGCTGTCCTTGGGAATAAATGACAACGAATTTTTTTATCTCAACAGCTGTCCTGAGAGCACGTCTCTACATCTCTACCTGCATTCTGGAAACCGGGAGAAAGCCAAAACGGATGACAAGACACTAGATCAGCCGTGTCCAACCCTGTGACTACAAGGACTTTTCCGCCTATCTTTGGTGGTGGGTATCATCAAAATTCTGCACAAACCTTTTTTTTTTTTTTTTTTTTTAAGCTCATTAGCTGTTGTTAGCATTAGTGTATTTTATGTGTGGCCCAGGAGCATTCTTCTTCCAATGTGGGCCTGAGAAGCCAAAAGACTGGACACCTGTGCACTAAATCAAAAGGCTATTCCTTCTGGAAGCAATTGTAAAGAATTTCTCACATTATCTTGACATGAAAACCAATGGATAGTGGGACAGAATGCAAAATCTTCAAGAATTTTTGTTGTTGTTGTTGTTGTTTTTGAGTCAAGGTCTTGCTCTGTGGCCCAGGCTGGAGTACACTGGTGAGATCACAGCTCAGTGCAGGCTCAAGTGCTCCTCCCGCCTCAGCCACAGTACTAGCTGGGACTACAGATGCGCACAGCCACCCCTGGCTAATATTTTATCTTTTGTAGAGACGGGGTCTCACTGTATTGTCCAGGTTGGTCTCAAACTCTTTGACTCAAGGGATCCAGGACAGGATAACAGGTGTGAGCCACCACACCTGGCCATGTGCATGAACTTTTAAGACAAACACAAGGCCCCACAAAAGGTAAGGTTTTCCCACCTAATTTCCAGGGGATCTTTTGGTGCAAGGATGAGAAGCCCTTAAAAGTACACAGACAACTCCAAAGATTCAAGACAGTTCATTCGGGCTGAGCCAGCCCACTGGGCAGACAGACCTTCAAGAAAGGCCCACGCATGACATACACCAGATGGCTCTCCAAGAATCGCTTCAGTCCTCAGGGTCCCTAAGGTACTGGACAGAGCTAGGAAAGCAAACCCATTTGCTTCTTCCTGCACGAAACCCCTTGAGGTCAAGACCCCACAATCAGACGAGGATGGAGTGGCTCACCCTCAGTCAACAGGCCAGACTCAAGGTGGTATAATGACTTAACCAAGGGTGTGGGACTCCAGGTCTGACTCCCAACTCAGTTCTCCTTTAATAACCACACTTTGGTAATTCTCCTTAACAGGGGTTCCTGGCAAGTCAGTTCTCCCTCAGGCCTTTGGTTTCCTCACCTACAAGATGAGAGGGCCGGACCAGATGGAAATTCGGGGGGTAAGGGGATGTCCGCGCGCAGCCCACCCCCACCCCCCCGACCCGCCCCACGGGACCCTAGCGCCTCCATCCCAGTTCCCACCAAGCACCCGCCCCACAAATCCTGCCCAAGGTGAGGGCTGGTCCCGGGTCTCTCGGCTGCCGCATCAGCGAGTGCAGGAGGGAGGGGAAGCCTCCAAGGGCGCGACGCGGGCTCAAGGATGCAACTCGGCCAGGAGTGAACTGGGGCCTCAAGGGAGGTGTCCGGGCCGCTCCTCGAGCCCAGCCCGGGTCCCCAAACCCCTTACCTCCAGGGTCCGTATCTCCTGCTCGGTGAGGTCGTTGGACACAGCGCACTTGGTGCCCAGCCCGCGCAGGCTGCCAATGGAGATGCCGATGAGCTTCTGGAGCTGTCCGCACTGCTGCAGCCCCGGGCTGGCCGGGGCCCCTGCGCCACCCTCAGCGGCCGCTGCATCACCCCCGCCACCGCCCTCCTTCTTCTCTCCCATCGCCTCCGCGCGCAGTGCCGCCCTATGCAGGCCACAGCGGCCGAGGCAGGGAGCCCGGGGCTCGGGCGCCTAGGCAAGGAACCCCCGAGCCGGGAGAGCTGGACCGGGAGCGCCCCTCGGCGCTGCCCTTGCCAGGACGCCAGTAGAGCTGGCAGCGGAGTCTGCCGCTCCCGCCCTCAGAGCCGCGGCGGCGGGAGCAGAAAGCCGCGGCGGCAAAAAGCCGCGGCGACGGGGGGCAAAAAGCCGCGGCGGCGCAGGCAAAAAGCTTAGGCGGCGGGGGCAAAAAGCCGCGGCGGCAAAAATGCGCGGCGGCGGGGGCAAAAAGCCGCGGCGGAAGAAAGCCGCCGGGGCGGGGGCAAAAAGCCGCGGCGGGGGGGACAAAAAGCAGTGGGAGCTGGGGCAAAAAAACCACAAAAAGCCGCGGCGGCGGGGACCAAAACGCCGCGGCGGCGGAGGCAAAAAGCTGCAAAAGCCGCGGTGTGGGGGCAGAAAGCCGCAGCGGGAGAAAGTCTCACTCCAAATTCCCTTGCTTCAGTAAGCTTCTCTAGGCCAATGTTCCTTCGGCATTACCCATTTTCTTCCTGTGAATGCAAATCACATAAACATGGAAGTACATTTGACCATTTTAATTGTTTAACATTCCATGTCACACGACCTTCCACAATAGAATCAATGTATTAAAATGTGTTAACGACCACACATTTTACACAAATGCCATGAATCCTTAAGGTGTTCCAATTTATAAAATATGTCTGCAAATCATACTTTATGATGCTTTGTATTCTGTCGGTAATTGGATGTCATATATTTAAATTCTATTAAACTGCTTATTAAAATGTCCAGTGCCTCTTTTCTTGCATGGCCACAAATATTGTCACTTTAAATCAGCACCTTTCAAAGTTAGTTTCATGACGACTCAAGATACTTTAAACTATTTTAGAAAGTCTCAAAATAATTCAAAAATAATTCATTTAGTTAACATATTTTGTAAATATACATATTCTATGTATTAATTTAAATTTGGAATAAGTCAAGGAAGAGATATAAAATGTCTTTAAAAGGTATTACAACTGTAAGTAATCAAAGAAGGAAAAACAAACAAACAGAATAAACTGTTAAAGGGCCAGAATACTAGGAAGAACTTAAAAAGTAGTAAGCAATACATACTTCCTCACCTATATAATATCAAAGAGTTTGGGATACCCACAGAAGCGACTGTGAAAACCTCTGAGACCATCCTCTGTGTTGGTGTCTCCTTAAATCAATGGGATAAATACTGAAAATCTTGTCCAATAGCAATCCAATTTAAGAAGTCACCATAGGTATAAATAGCAAACAATTATATGTTCCCCATCATGGCCAAATGTATCATGTGAGCCATATGTGAGCCATCTACAAAATCAATTATTCAGCAATTCAGTTCATTTCATTGAGACAATATTAATAAAAGGATCAAAAGAACTATCGTCTGATTATGTCATACACAATAAATCACCAACTATTTATCAAAAACTGTTCTTTCCATTCTACCTCTGTGGTTATTGCCTTAGGTCAGACACCATCACCTCTCACCTGAATTAATGTATTAAGTTTTTAATGGGTCTCCCTATCTCCAATCTCACCAACCCCAGATTACCCTTTAATGATTTCACATTACCTTGAAAATAACTAGGCACTTATTTTTGTGCTCTGGTACAAAAATGCCTTTGTCTGTTGCCACACAGGCCATTATCTCATGGAAAACCTGTTTTCCAGCTGTGTTGAATTCAGTAGTATTCATAGACCCAACACAATCTCTTCTTGTCTTTAATGTGACGTTTATCCTGAAAAGAGTGCTTTTCTCTCACACTCCCTGTATATCTGGTTGGCTTATCCTTGAATACCCTACTCAAACTTTACCTTCCCCAAGCACAGTTTTCCATGGTCTCCTCAATGCTGAGCTGCCCTTCTCTGTGGTCCTTTTGCAACAGCTACCAAGCCATTTCTTACATGGCATTTACTGTCTCCTCTCCTAGAACAATTTCTTAAGACTAGAAACCATGTCTTAATTATCTTTGTGTCCTAGTATCTGAATGTCTGCAATATGGAAAAAACACTCCACTGGTGTTTGTTCAAAGGATGAATAAATAAACATTTCCTAAAATTGCCTGATACTAAGAATCGCTCAGGTGCTAATTAAAAATTCAGATCGCCAAGCTAAGATTTATATTGACCAGTATGAATTGAGGCAGAAGATTTTGTACATTTATCAGGTATCCCAAATGATTTTCATAATGAGGAAACTGAGAGAATTTAATCATAAGAGATAGGAAAATCTGTCTTTGCATGAAATTTCTCTGTCCTCCGTCCATGGGTTACTTGTTTTTGAGGTATCCATGAGGATACTCCTCCCCCTTTATCTGATACCTAACTGTGCTGTGCAAGAAAAACAAAACAATTTTTCATCATATAAGGGCATGAGGCTAATCTATCCTTAGCTCAGAATATAAACTCAGCAAGGGGCTTAAATATGATTTCAACATTGTTTGTATTCTTTCAGCTAGCGTTTTCAATGTGGCCTAAAAATGTCATGACTCAGAGTACTTATTTGTAGAATTGCTTCAAAATTTTATCTAAACCATTATAATTTCACACCTGGCATTGAAACTACCTAGTTTGCCTGCAAGAACTCCACTTACTTGGCAAATATACAGTACTTGCTGAGACTAACTTAGTGTGTAATGCTTTATCCTATAACTCTAGGAATACAAACATTTAAAAAAAAAAAAAAAGGCTGTTCCATGTTGCCTCTATTCAGCATACCTTACTCCTAATTTCCTGCAATACTCTCTTCACCTCTACCACTCAGGGGAAACTTTTTTTCTGAAAGTCACAAAGAAGCTCTGAATTACCAAATCTAACAAATTTTCTTCCCATATCCATTGGCTTCTAACTAACAGTACGAGGCAAGTCTTTCTTCAATGCCCATTCCTTGTTGGATTCCTGGCCTTCCTATTTCTCTCTCTGCAACTTTTTGGTCTCCTTCATAAACGTATTCTTTTGTTTTGCCTGCTTCTAAATATGTTTGTTCTATTTTGGAATCTAAACGTGTTGGCCTAGCAGTAAAGTTCTTCGAAATTTGCCAATCTGTTTGGATCTTATCACACTAAACTCCTCTCCGTGTATCCTATGATTTGAGCTGGCACTCGTCAGATGTGGTTTTAAAATGTATACTAATTAAAATTAAATAGAATAAAAACTTCAACTCCTCAGTCACACTATCCACATGTCAAGTGTTCAACAGCCACTAGTGGCTACCATATTGGACAGAACGTTCATACAACATTGCCTTCATGGACAAAAGTTCTATCGGACAGTGCTAGTCTAGACAACTGGAGTACTCAAATTTCTCATCTCTACACTTTAGCTCATTCTATTCTCTGTCTACCTAAAATGCTGTCCACCAATCATATCTCTTCCTATTGAGGTATGACTCGTTCTTCAAGATTTATTCTTAATATTTACCTGTCTCCAAAGTCTTTACTTATCACTCTAGCTGAAAGTATGGCAGCCCACCTATGAACTCTCAAAGTTGTTTATACTACTACTCTCCCCCATGTTGTTTTGTTCTGTCATTATTGGTGCAAATGCCTGCTTTCCTTGATTAGAGATATAATGTGTGAAGAGTTGATTGATAGTTGCCAACTGTCATTGAGCACTTTGAACATGTGAAGTTAAGTGCTTGATCATAGTTCTCACATCCTCATAACTCCCCTGTGAAATATATGGTGTTTTTTCATATCCGCGTTAAAGAAACTGGGATTTACAATGATGTAACATTGGACAAATTAAGGTCTCAGGACAGGAGGTCACGGAGTGATGAGCCCTGAATTACTCTAGGTGGGTTTAACTCCAAAGCCCATGCCCTTACCCAGGGGAACACACTGCTTCTGAAGATCTCATTCACCATGTTAATGACCACCCCCCCGCCAACCCCACCACGTGCCTCCTAACACTAGGCATGCTCCATGTGTGAATGAGTGAATAGATGACTAATACTTTGTATGCTTAAGGTCATTTACAATTCACAAAACTTGTTGACAGCTATACTTGATTTCCATATGATTTCCCCAACATCTCTGACGCAGCTCCACAGGAAATGTTATCTCCATTTCACAGAGGCTGAGAGAGTTCAGAGTCCTCCAGAAGCTCACATTGCTATTTAGTAACAGGCATAGACAGGACTTCAGCCCACGTGTTCTGCCTTCAAGTTCTGCCAGCCTTTCTTCAAAACCCTCTGTGAGTTTGAAACTCATCAACAATCAGCAAAGGCTCAAAGTGTTATTGTATCTTAATATGTCTTTTTTGTTGTTTTTTTGAGACAGAGTCTTGCTCTGTCGCACAGGCGGGAGTGCAGTGGCGCCATCTCGGCTCACTGCAACCTCCATTTCCTGGGTTCAAGCGATTCTCCAGCCTCAGCCTCCCGAATAGCTGGGATTATGGGCACCCGCCATCATGCCTGGCTAATTCATTTGTGCTTTTAGCAGAGATGGGATAGGGTTTCACCATGTTGGTCAGGCTGTTCCCGAACTCCTGACCTCAAGTTATCCACCCATTTTGGCCTCCCAAAGTGCTGGGATTACAGGCATGAGCCACCGCACCCAGCCTTAAGATACTGTCTTCTAAAACTTGCCCTTTTTATTGTTTAAAAAACATGATGAGGCCGGGCACGGTGGCTCACGCCTGTAATCCCAGCACTTTGGGAGGTGGAGACAGGTGGATCACCTGAGGTCAGGAGTTCGAGACCAGCCTGGCCAATATGGGGAAACCCTATCTCTACTAAAAATACAAAAATTATTTTTATTTTTTGTATTTTTTGAGATTGCAGTGGTGGGCCCCTGTAATCTCAGCTACTCGGGAGGCTGAGGCAGGAGAATTGCTTGAACTCAGAAGGCGGAGGTTGCAGTGAGCCAAGATGGCGCCATTGCACTCCAGCCTGGGCCACAGAGTAGTGAGACTCTGTCTTGGGGTGGGGTGGGGGGAGGGGGCGGCGGGGAAGAAAAAACAACATGATGAGGCTTAAGTGTTTATGTCTAAGGGAGGGGGAGAGGCAATTTAGTCAAGTTTTCAGTGCTTTTAAATAGCCACAGATTTCAATCTTTATCATATTGTTTTTGCCCTAACCCTATTAGGATAACTTGCTTACATTAAACAAAATTCTGAGAATGTTAATTAGCAATTCAGTTATGAATATGCATGATTATTTTTAAGTCCACTAATATTATGCATAGGTCTTATCTGTAATTATATCTAAATGTTCTCTTTTTTTCTCTCCCTCTCTATTTCTCCTTCAGGAAAGCCATTTAAAACACATTTGGGAAATGTCTGAAAAAAGTAATTCTATTACTCTTATTTCCAGAATTTTCTTAAATATTTTATGGCTATAATTTTTTCCTTCTCAAGGCAAAACAGTACATCACCACATACATTATCATATTTGTTGACAAAATATGAGAGTCAAGGAATTAATTTTACACCAGTTAAATAACAGAAGAAAAAGTTATTCTGTATTTTCTTCTTTATTATACTAATTTTCTCACATCCTTAAATGGTTTTATATTTTGTGGCTATCTGCAATTATATTTAAGGGCGAGTATTATACCACCATTTGTTTCACATCCAACTTGGAGCATTTTGTATTTGTGTATACATATAAGGTTAGTCAGGAGTGAGAGATAGGATTAAACTCATCTAGTTTGCGTGCCCTTTCTCAGTCACAATGCAGTCTTTACAAACAATTTTTCCTTTAACAGAAAAACTGAAAACATGTCTAAAAAAATAATTTGCCTTAAGACAACCCTTCTAGGAAATGGCGAAGATCTGTTTCAAACCCAGGCCTGCCTCATGCCAAAGCCTATGACCTTTTCACTATTAATGACCAAATGGTTGAATGACTGTTAAATAAGTCTCTTGGGTAAAACACAAACGTGCCTGATACCCCTTCATTAAAATGTTTATTAGATAAATAAATAAATTGGTGGACGGAGCTCAATATAATCAGCTCATTTGCCTCCACACCAAAAGAGAACATTTTCAAATGAACATGCAGGAGGAATACATGATTACAAAAATGCTTCAGCAATGATTTTGCTTTTATAGGATTACTCGTCCCAAGTTCGATAGTCTTAATGCACATGCAATTTGCTTGAAGTCTATAATGCCTTGCATTTCAAGCTGAGGAGTCTGATCATCTGGAAACTAAAAATTAAGGATCTGAAATATTGTTAACTAAATAGATTGAACTAAAATTAGCCTCTTAGGACTTAAAGTGCTTCCACATAAAGTCCAAGAGCTAGAAACGAGAATGATGTTCTCTACAACCAAATATTGCCTTAATTCCAAATTTAGCTTCTGCCACTTGATCTAATGTTACATCAAGGCATATGAGCCCTCTGCATGTGAAGAGCTTACACCAATTTGAAGCAAATGCATCACATGGGCAAGAATGCAAATTCCAATAGTAATAATGTTTCTTTCACTATTTATTTCATTCCTTATTTTTCATACTTGTTGCCACTTTGTGAACCTGCCTCCAATCACTTTACACTGGCTTATTTTAAAAGCCTTTTAACTGTTCTCCTTACTGTCACCCTTTTTTCCTAATTCCACTGTTCCTACAAATGGTTGCTAGAAAAATCTTCCCCAAACACAGCTTTTATCACAGGCTCAAAAACCTATCACAATTCTCTAATGCCTGGTCTATAAGACTCTTAAAGTCTTTCCCCCTTCTCACCAGCCTAGTCTCTCCCTGAGGCAGTTTCTCCATTAAGAAGAAACAATATTTTGCTATGCCCTGTATTTTCTTATCTGTGCCTTTTGGCATGCCAGTGCTAGTGATCCTAACGTAGAGCTTTCAAACATGCTTTGCAAATTATCTTTGATGTATTTTCATATGGGTGTAGTATCAGCCTCTGTATTAGTCAGGGTCCCAGAAAAAAACAGAATTCATCCCAGAGTGTTCAAATAAAGAGATTTTAATAAAGGAGTTATTTGCATTAATTGTAGACAGACTTAAGGAGCAAACAAGGTGGCAGGGCACCCAAAGGATAGCAATGGTGAGAATATAATACTACCCCTAGGGATAAACAGTCAAGGAAAAGGAGCAGTGTTTCCTTAGGAGCCCTGCATCAGAAGAGGTACAGAGGAGAACAGGGCGAAGGGAGTTATATCCTGAAAGGACGTGATCACGGCCAGCGCACAGGGCCGAAGTAGGACCTGAAGAAGAAATACCCTGACTTCTTTCTCTTCCTGCCCTCCAATATCCTGCTAAAGCCTTCCATAGGCCCCACCCAAGACAAACACAGAGAGCAGAGAGTCCCAGTCATGCAAATGACAAGGGTCAGCTTCCCAGAGCACACGGAAGACATGGAATAGTGTTGAGTGCATGGGGGCATGGCAAATGGAGAACAATTTGCACAGTCTGAGCTAGACTGTAGCCTTCTGGAGGATGGCAATTTCTGAGATACCCCACATTTGGAGTAAGAGAACAGCCACAGACCTCACTCTATGTGTCACTTTGAGCAACTTTGCTTAGTTAGAAGCTATTTCCTTACCTTTAATATAAGAGTAATACTCAGTTTGTATAATAGTCCTGGACATCCAGTGAAAAAATGTGTATAAAATATCTTGTCCCATAAGTGCTAAATAAATTGTAACTACTGCTGTGACTGACTAAATAAAAATTATATATGTATAAGTATAAAACCTCTTACAAAACATGTAATAATAAAAGAATGAGTCATAAAAGACAAGAATCAATGAGTGTTAATGGTCACCTTTGTTGCTCACCTCTACCCTCCATCCCCTGGCCTTAACAAATATGGCAGGACATCTTCAGGATTTGGCAGGCAGATGATTTATTTTACACTAGTGACTTGGATGCCATTCCTCTTCCTTCCACTCAGTAACAGATGGCGCCCTGGACAGCAGTGACATCTGCAGCCCCAAGGGAGAAGGGTCAGCACAAATTTTAATTTTGCTTTTGGTTTGGGGCTTTAAGTACACAAAGAGGTTTTTTTTTTTCCCTGTCAGTTTGCATCTAGCTTCGCATCTGACATTTTTTAATGCTTTATGTATTTGGATTGACCTAGAAATTTATAGCTTCAGGTTTTTGCTTATTTTGCTCTGTCTCTAATTCAACCTCCTTGATTTAAAAATAAAAGCCAAAATATAACATGAACAAATACTCTATTTGTCTGTATCACTAAGGGGGTAAGGAAGAGGTCATTCTGCTCTTTTTGAGCTACTTCTTATTACCATATATTAACATTTGAATATCTTCAATAACAAGAAACAAGAATACTAGGGATAACCTATAAAAATCTGAGTAAAATTTGACTCATCGCTAAAAAAAACCTTAAAAGCTAAGAGGAGAACATTTACAAAAATTGTTATGTTCACTGACAAGGCATTAGATTTCAGACTAATTGCTGCTATGAGAATAATAGATAGATACACACATACATAAAGCTTTATTTTCAGAAGGTCAAGTATCTACACCAAATGTTTCATCCTCCAGAGTTCAGTTTCAGGGAAATCTCTACAATAGCAGAGCCTCCTGATGTTTGTTGTGGCCACATTTGGAGCCATCAAAATTTCCTACTCAGGCATCCCACAGAGAAAAAGCATCTACCCCTAAGAATGTGAAATAGTATCCTCATTACTGAGTTGATTACTCATCAACCTTAATAGTATTTGTAATTCGCCTTTACCCTGGGGCAGTTTTCAAAGGTCATGGGGAAGGCTGAAGGCTGTGTCTATAAGACAGTTTGATCAAAATAGAACTAAAGGCTGGCCTCAGGTAGCTGTTTCTAATCTGAGTTGGTCAGAGGACAATGAAAACTACAGTTCATGCCCAGATGTTCTCCTTGGTCAAGGGGAGACTGGCTAGACAGAGTCAGATCTTAAGGGTCATTTCTGATTGGCCTCCATCCAGAGTATGATAACAAAACTCAAGAAGCTTCGCAGATAAATAATGATGTAACTAATTTAGGTGTTTAGATAAATCATTCCAAGTCTCCTTTGTCTGCTTAGGACTGATTTTCCTGGGCTAGGTAAACACCCTGAATTTACAAGAGAATGTTCAGCCTCATTTTAACTCTGCAACTGGTAGAAGAAGAAGAAATAGGCCTTCTTCTATTTTGATGGTAGAAAGACAAATAAAACGACATGCATAAGTCATTTAGAGTAGTAAAGCAAATAATCAACAATTCACAGGATTGAATTGTATGATAAGAAGACATATGGAATTTCTCATCCTGGTTCTTTTCTTTGTCCCTTTTGTAAGTTACTTACTCCAATTGATTCCAGCTTTTCAATCTGTAAAAAAGGGATATAAGATAAATAATCTCTAATATTCCTTCTAACTCTATAAAAATAGCTATTGTTATATGTATCAAGAATAATCAAAGTATATTTTTTTAGATTGTAGACCTATGTTCTCATGAGACTGCATTTCAGATGGATTGGAAGCAGCCTAATATGTATTCAAAAACCACCACCAAATGAAAGGACTCAGCCAGAATCATGCAAAGCAGAACAATCAAATTCACAGAGACAGACTAAACTTTTTAACTAAGACTATCATGCAATTATATTGTTGGTATATCCCACGTCTATTGGTTGTATATGTATTCAAAAATTAGGTTTAGAGATGGATGATACACAGATTAGATAAACTGATAATCAATGGAGAAATGGAAAAATAGACATTTTTTAAGCACATTTTCTGAAATATCAGATGTATAAAATATGTGTATTCAGGAAAGAAATAAAATTAGACAGGAGACAATACAGATAACTTAGCAAGAAGTTATTAAGGGTGAATAATAGTATTCGGATATATCTGTCACAAGGCCCTACAAATACTAAAATTAGCTGTGATTTTTTTCTGTTAGTTCCCTAGGATTCTGCTAAAATCAGCATCCTCAGGAGCACTGGTTAACACTATGGTGTAAATCACTTGCTGATGCCATAAATTAAAAAGAAAACAAAAAACTATATTCAAAGTAACTGAGCTATAGGAACATCTCCTTAAAAGATGGAGGCATTAAGAGCATTTTCCACAACCAAGAACTAAATGTCATTCACCTGTGAATTAAAAAAAGGAAATCAAGGGGGAAAAATGAGCAGCCAGATCAATTGCGTAAACCTTTGTCAAAGATAGAAATGTTTATATGGGAGTTCTGTGGCTAAACAAAATGCAAACAGCCACATATTTTTTCAACCAACAACTGGATATCAGTAGCTTAAATAAACTCTTTCATCGTTTTATTTTTTTCATCCTTATCCTTGCTTTAAAAAAATGGAACACAGTATTTGTTGAACATTTTATGCACATATTGCGTCATAGCCCAATTTCTCAAACTCAAAGTCAATTTAGCAAATAGAAATGACAGTAGAAAAAACATATAATGTCCTGTTGGGAAGAACTGTCTTTCATTGTAGTGTGAACTTAATGACTGCATCACCTACCTTGAAGTATTTTTTAGGTCTAGTTATTCATTTAACAAAGGATTATCCAGTGCCTTCTATGTGACAGGCGCAGTGGCCACAAAGATAAGCAAAAAGATATGCTCCTTATCTTCATGGAGCTTACAATTTAATAAGAGATAAATATCCATCAAACAACCCCACAAATAAATGTACAACTGTAACTGTAATAAAAGCTAAAATGAGTATGGTGCACTATGGGCATACAGTAGGGAGATCTGACCTAATCAGAGAGTTAAGACAAGTTAGGGGCCTTGTATCCTATTCCTGGAGTCTTGCTCATCGGCAAACAGGTGAAGGAAGTATTTGTAAGGATAATATATCCTCCTGTACATCCCAAAGTCCCGTCCTGTGCACAGCCACTGACTACGTACCTCTGCATCCAAAGCAGACTCAGCTTTCAGCTGGCCTTGCTGAGAGTGAGCCCAGCATATCATGGAAAATGAATTCACCACACTGTGGCACAAACCCCGTATCATCCAACAGCTTCTTCAACCAGAGCAGCTCAGTCTTGGTCCTTATCCGTGAATGATGGTTGCAGAACCACGCTGGCTTTACAGGGATCTGGGTAGGATCTATTGCCCCCACCCTGAATGTATTCATAGTGATGTGCTATATGGTTTAGGAGCCTTGGTAAATAAGTCAAGGTAGAACTGTCTCAACTCAGAACTTTCTTCAGGTAAGAAGTATGCTTCCAACAGAAGTTCCTAACAGGAAGCAGCTATCAACATCAAAGGGGAGTATAGAAATCAATCCAAGACTAACCCCACGGTCTACTCTTTTCTTCCCTATCATCTGTGCCCCTAAAGAAGTCAGGGGAGTTCCCTGGCCAGACCTAACTCAGTACTTAAATATCTTTGATAGGCCTGGGAAACAGAACACAGGAAGAAAAGTCGTGGCTTTTCACCCCAGCAGTGGAATCTATTCTTGTTTTTTGTAGCTTGAGGTGTTTACACCTAAGGAACAGAAAGTGAACTTAAAATGCCTTTAATTAAGAAATTAGGTTTAAATGATTCCATATAACAAATCTGATTTAATTTTAAATTTTTGAATACATTTACTCATTCAAGAATGGTTTCAAACCCTCCGGGGGTGAGAGAAAGGGCAATTCTAGCTATCTTCTACAACTTTCCTGAAATAAAGACAGGAAATCCAATTTGTAATCACAATAAAGTTTCTTATCTAAATCCAAAGGCCAGTTTCTTTCTCCCCTTGGAAACATAAGTGCCTGAAGCAGGGGCTGCATTTTGATATTCTTTGTGGCACTTGGCACAGTATCATTTCTGTGAAGGTGGCTTGTAAGTAGCCTGGGGTGATTATGGTGGTGTAATTTTCATCACAACCACAGATAACCCAGGTAACTGTGCAGGTACAATGATGTTCAGCTTAACTTAAGTGGCTTTGTTCCAAACAAGGGCCTCTATTGTAAAAACAAAGCAGGTGTTAAAACATAGAGATATTGAAGATAGGGGTCACTTTACATACTAACATGCACTGAAAAGTAAATCTGAGCTGCCCCACATTATTGCCAGGAATTACTGTATACTTAACATGAATCCATTAAGTACACAACTGGACAAATGATGAAATTTTATGTTAGTAAAATTCCTGACATATTTCACACCTCTTACTCTATTAAATTACGCTTTTTTAACAAAGAAAAGCTTGCCTACTTCTACACATTTTCAATTTTTTCTCCTATGTATTTCATATTAAAATTTCAAAATAATTTGATCAGAGATCCAGTGCACAAAGGTGCCTAAGTGGATAATAATCACCAAAAACACTTGCAATGGCTGCAGTAGTGGGATTCCCATCAGTGATGTCAACAGTGATGCCAAGAAGACAAAAGAAGAGGGAAGGAGCTAATAACAAAATCCACAGAATAAACAGGCTTCATTAATTTCTGAACAGGCTACATAAATCCATTAATGCCTACCGATTAATAACATGGTCATATAAATGAAGTTACTGCATACGTGTTTTCTGAAAAGCATCATTGCTAATTCATCTTATACTATCAAAATTTCTTTATCCAAAATGTATATATTTTTGAGTAATATCTTCTCAAGAAAGTAATACTTTCTTGTAATACTCAAGAAATACCCTCAATTCCCAAGTACTATAGTTTATATGTGACCAGTTTTTGATATAATAAAATATATAAAATGTAAAGTTAAACCTTAGACGTCTGTCTAGTGCTTATTCTGAGTGGCAATGAAATAATGTAATAAAACACAGCAAAAGGCCGAAAGAAGGAAGAGCTATATTTTGGGAGTGCAGAGAAGCATTACTTCAGAAATGTGTCCAGACAAAGAAAACTCATTCAAGGGATGTGGATAAGGGCCAGGTGGACTAAGGAAGAGGTAGTCTATCTGGGTGTCTCAAAAAGGAAGTTTTCATTCTGGAATCTGAAAAGAGGATGAATGCACCCGAAAATCAAACCAGCAGAGAGTGTTTCAAGAACTAGAGTTAGAGAGAAAGAATCAACTAGAGATAGGTACATCAGACATAGGAAAGGAAACCTGTAGCTAACTGATAGCTTCCATAAAGACAAATTGAATAATAAGACTGTGTATGGTTTACAAAGGCAGGTAGTATTTTTCTCGAAGTGTCCTTGTAGTGAATCTACTATCTTTATATTTGCCATGTTAAAGATACTACTGAGCTGCCCAGAGAACAGTCAAGGAAAAAAGATTTTTGGCCACAGGGCTGTGGTCCTTCAGAAATCCTGGAGCTCCTGTGTGATTAGGAAGTTATCAGAAACAGAACATGCTGTGAGTGTCTGTGTTTGAAGTGAAAGAAGGGAGATATTGAGAACAGCAATGAGTTTGCCCCTTTTTGACAAATCTTACTCTCTGCTTATTTATATCAAATTATCATCATCATCACCCTTATCTCCAGTGATTACCCAAGTCTCTTGTTCACACTCCTCCAAACTGTCTACATATACCTCCCCGCCCAAATACACACTGAAGTTATTAAGAATTAAAAGAACAAATTGTTTGCCCATCCTCATAATCATCTGTCCTAAAATGTCATTTAAACATTTAATCAAACCTGCAGTCCTCCAGGGGAATGTGTGAGTCATGCCGTTCATCCCACACGCTCGAGCGGGGCTTTGTGTCAGTCTTAGGAATGATGCAGACTGGTCCCACAAAGAAATCAGTCACAGGGACATTTTCTGTCATTAGGCAGAGAACAAAAAGCTAACAGTTTCCTGGACTCTACTGAAATAAACTTTTGCACCAATTAATGAAACCCCTATGGAAAGCATCATGCCAGAATCCAAGGAGGCTGGCCATGTACTGACACGCAAACTAACACTCCTGCAAAAGAGGGGGTAGGTGAGCATCCTAAGTCAATATGAATTGTTTGTTTTTCTGCTACTTTGGATCAGCTATACCACTGCTCCCTTTCACAGGTACAAATACACAAAAGAGGGCTTCTGTTTCATAAAAGTGGCTCCGACAAATGACACTCCTCAGGGTGCTGAACCCAACACTGGCAGCCAGCCCGTTCTGTGCCCTCAGCCTGCCAGTACTTTTCACTTCCAAAGCTATCAGCCTGTTTCAGACCTATGCCTTCACTCTGACTAGGGACAAAGAAAAGATCACAGTGGAAATCCTTCTGTGTGCTGCTAATAAGCCTATTTAGAGTCAATGAGAAAGCCTCATTTTGCACCACCAATAACGGCCTTCAAGAGTACTACTGAATCAGAAAAACCGAAATGTTTCTATGTACTCCCTGTCCTCATTTTACATCAGCCAGAGAGGTGACGCTCAGCAAAATATCGGACACGATGACCTCCAAGTTTCCTTCCTTCTCTAATGTCCTCTGGTTCTCTGTTGGCGAGTAGGATTCAAATTTTATTTAAATTATCTCATATTCTGATGGATTCTTGAGCCCTTTTTCAGTTTTAGATAGTCTCCCTGAGGTTTGCTGAATTGGCGTATCTGGAGTCTAGGATCTCTCTTGGCAAAGAACTGAATATTGCTCCCATCCAACGGCTTAGCTAGCACTGTCTATTTTCTTTCTGAAAAAGATCTGGGTAGGAGGCAGGTGTAGAGCATCTTTCCACCTCCCACAGAAGGGCTAGGGAAAGCTTTGTTGTGCATGAACCATGAACAAAAGGATAATTCAAACCAGCAATAATGTCCTTAATAAAAAATAATCATCATTTTCCCAAATGAAAATCTACAGTTCTAACCATTTGATCACAGTGATGTAAGCAAACAAACCTGCAGCTAAAGGTTATATACGGGTCGAAGATTTAATGGAAAGTGATACATGGGTGGAATGACATCACCTATTTGTCAGAATACTAACTCCTCTACCATATCCTGTGTCGGCCCACCGTTGGGGTGTAAGGGAAAGGTGCATAAAGAGATAAGTACCCATTTCTAAACATAATGCAAGTTTGACATTTAAGCTCAATAGTTTAGCTATAGAGCATTTTGGTAACATAAAAAGAAACCAGAGCAATTTGAGTGACCTTTGTGAAAGACAGGCATAGAGGTAGCAACCACCAGTCTCACCACCAAAATCTAAAAACACGGAAAATTAGCATTTATCAAAATTTCTCAGAGACTATGTTACCTACCCAAGATTCCACAGCTAGGATGCAGTGTTTGAGTGTCTACTAACAAGGCTGGGAATTATTAAACACAGAAAGCGTAACAGAAACACTTAGTTCCTCTTGGGTCTTATGGTCCAGTTGATAAAACTTCCAGCACTTTGAACAGATTTTCACTTACTGCAAAGAAAAATGCTTAGCTGAATTATTGTCTGTCTGGGTTGCAAGTAGCACACCCCCACCATCTGTAAAATAATATTTTGGTAGACTAGAGGGCATGTTGTTAAAGGAACCCAAAGGAGAATTATTTTGATAAAGTTAGGGACAATCTCTAGTATGTGTGTTTTATAATTCTGCAACTTATGTAGAAATATATCTGAATGAAATGTTGTTGAAAAGCTGTATATCATTTTAATTTTAATAAATCGAGTCACATTTTATATTCACTGACTGAGAAGTTGGTATTTAGGAAACCTGTGAGAAATTACTTTAATAATTTGTGTGTATGGCAAACATTCACCTTCTGACTTAATTCAGAATTTCTATATAAAAACAAAAATTTAATTCTTTAATATCATCTTAAAATGAGGGATGTTCATGCCATGTTAAATAAATCATTTCCACTTATTTTTAATACATAGTATTAGTTAGGATGCTTGCAGCTGCAAATGATAGAAAATCCAATCCAAAATGGCTTTAAAAATTGTTGTTCTATAGGTCTATCACCCTAGACTTCTGCTGTCCAATATGATAGTCATTAGCCACATTTAAATGTAAAGAAATCAAAGTTACATTTACATTTAAGTGTAAAGTAATTAAAGTTAAATACAATTTGAAATTCAATTTTTTCAGTTTGCACTAGCCATATTCCATCAAGTGACCAATAGCCACATGTCACTAATGGCTGCTCTATTAAACAATGCAGATATGGAAAAATCTTCTTCACCTCAGAAAGTTCTATTAGACAGTGCTGGCTTCAAAGAAAAGGAAGTTGTTAAATCAGTAAGCAACAGTATCTGTTATATTCCCTATGTAGCAGGCAATAATCTTTATGCATATTATTTCCTTTAACTTCCCAACCGCTCTATGAGGCAACTATTATTATAATGTACTAGTCTGGACTCTAGGTTGCTAGCTAAAAATGGGAAAACATAATTAGGAGAACCTTGAACTATCTCACATATCTACAAGAAAAGCCTGGTTAAGGTCCTCATCACCATCAGAACTCTTTCCATCTGCCACCTTTATTCTGTTGCACAAGTCAGTATTATTCTTCCAGGTCAGCTTCCCCCTTGTGGTGGAAACTTCCCAGCCTCATATCTCACAGCCTCAAACTACTGCCTCCCACCCCCTGAGAGAGAATGATCCTCCTCCTTTCACTCCCATTTTAGATATTACTCGGAAGGACTCTGATAATTTAGCTTTAGTGAAGAGCTCAGTGTTAAATCAATCAGTTGTGGCTGAAGAGACACCAGGGAGAGGATCAGGGTTGTAGAATAGAGACATGGCCGGAGGGGCTCCACTTATGGACAGGGAAAACGATTTCTAGAGAAACTGGAATGCCAGGGTCCTCTCCTTCAACACATTTCTGAGTCCTCAAGGCTCTATCTCAGGCCCTCTGCAATTTCCACCCCACATACTTTCTGAATCTGTCTCACCAAGTCCCATTAATATACTAGTGAGGCCCCAATTCTCTGTCTCAGCAAGACCTTGTATTCTTAGCTTCAGACTCACATAACCAACTAACCTTTCCCAGACATCTGCAGCTGTATATCTCATAGGCTCCTTAAACTCAGTATATCCCACAAAATTCATCATCCTCCTTCCCCCTCTTCCCCAATCATTCATTATATCAGGAATGCTCTTTCAATCAATGACCGAATTTCCCATGCCAAGAATCAAGGCATCATCCTTGATTTGTCCTCTCCTTAAACATCCAATTAATTGCCAAGCCCTACATATATCCCTAAAATGTCTTTTTATTAATATGTCCATCTACTTCTGTCCATTCCTAGTACAGTGCAACCATCATAGGCTGGGCCACTATCATTTCTGGAAAATTACTGTAGTATCTCATGGGTCTCCCTTCCTCCAGTGTTATGCCTCACCAATACATTATCCATACTACAGCCAGAATAATCTTTCTAAGATGGTGATTCTATTATTCTGCTTAATACCTTCTGGTGCCCATTCATTGACTTTCAAAACATTTTTCAACTGCCTCTTGACGCATATAAAGTCTTATATGATCTGTCCCTTGCCTAGGTCTCTATCCTTACTCTCTTACTATCCCCCTCTCCTAGTCTCTACAACTGCCATCCTTTCTCTTGCCCACTGCTCTTTGTGCCACCCTCTGGTTAAAACAATACTACTACTGATAACCTCTTTTTCTTAATTCTGCTCATATTTTAGTCTCAACTTCAATGACACCCATCTTCGCCCTTAGGCTACATCAGTTCTCCCTGCTATATGCTGGCTATTCAGTTAACAACACATTGCATTGCAGGAACTGTGCTAAATTATTCACCTTCCCAATTAGACTATAAGCCCCATGAGGACAATAACCATTTTCGTTTTGCTCACGAACATGTCCTTGACATCTAATAGCTAGTGCTTGACAAAGAGCAGAAAATAAGCTGAATTTAATTCTTTCATTTATTCCACAAATATTTTAAGGAAGCCTATTTGTGCCAGATGCCACCCAAGGCACTGAGATGCAGCTGTGAATGAAACAAAATCTCTTCCTACATAAAGCTCATGTTCTTGCAGGGTAAAAAAAAAAAAAAAACCCTAATAAGGTAATAATTTTTTAGAAAATGCAAAAAGCCGCAGCGGGCGAAAAGCCGCGGCAGCGGGGGGCCAAAAGCCGGACGGGCAGAAAGCCGTGGCAGCGGCGGGCAAAAAGCCGCGGCGGCAAAAAGGCGCGGCGGCGGGGGCAAAAAGCCGCGGCGGCGGGGACCAAAACGCCGCGGCGGCGGAGGCAAAAAGCTGCAAAAGCCGCGGTGTGGGGGCAGAAAGCCGCAGCGGGAGAAAGCCGCGGCTGTGGGGGCAAAAAGCCATGGCGGCGGGGGCAAAATAGTGGAAATGGGGTAGAAGGCCGGCACGGCTTGGCATTGCTGGAGTGTGATGTGATAGGAAAAGTGCAGCCGAAGACAAAAAAAGATGTAAGTAGGCTTGACTCAGTGCAGCTAAGAACCCAGATGTTATCTTGAGGGTATTAACTAATAAGCAGTTTAAATCCGAATGGCACATTCTGATTTGTTTTTTGTATGTTCACATTTGGCAGGCATAGATACTGTTTGAAGAGAGGAAAGTCAGTAGATAGAGGTAACAAACTTAAACATGTGCCAAGTCTAGAAACAAGAGACTAGGGGAATAAAGACCTTTCAAAATAAAATGCAAGATTTGAAAACTGATTGGCTAGGGGATGAGGAAAAGGCAGGTCTTTAAGGTCAATCCCTGTTTTGCTTTAAGTTGTTAGGGGGTGGTTTTATCACAAATTGTAGAATATGTCATTTCAGTTTTGAACATCTTGAGTTAAATTGTCCTAACATATCTTATGAATTTGATTGTCTTCCCTGGGAAGCTGATATTTCAAAAACTTTAAGAGTATAGATTTCCAACTTGTGTCCAATTTATAAAATTATCTCTAGGCTGCTGGTTTCAGGAGGTTGTTCATGAATATACTATTTGCAGAGAATATATCAGGAGTTAACAACAGCCTCGATATTTGTGGAGGACCAGTTAACTAAGCCACCTCTTAGTGTATTTAGTTGGGAAATCTTAGCTGAAGATATTCAGTAATGAACCGACAGTGACTAAAAAATTCAATATTTAAGTATATTTCATTGTAATTAATTTGAATTTAAGTAGCCATATACAGCTAGTATTTACTACATTGAACAATGCAAATAAGAGGAAAAAATTAATAACCATCTCTAATACCACATGCCAAAATCCTCATAGATTTATTCTAGCTAAAGGAGTTTATCAGAAGCAGCAATTGAAAGTACCAACTAAACCAGCTAGGGTTAATTCACTGTCATTCTCTCAGAACCATCTCTTCTCTGAACAAAACAAGTACAAGAGTTAATTGTGAATCTGCATTTTCCTTGCCTATTTTAAGGTTTGGATGTTGACACTAACTTGTGAAATCCCTCTTGCGGTGTGATATTTCGTTTTCCTTGCTTTTTGTTAGGACAAGAATGCTTCAGCTCTTAATTTAAAATTATGTTTGTCCCTCCTAGGTTGAGTGAACTTAGAATGCATTCTCTGACATATCCAAGTTTTTGTTAATATGGATCTGGGGAAAAAAGCATACTTAATTAGCTAAGACTTCTTATTCTAGGCTTGACCCTGTGTTCGACATCTTTTGAATTTGTAGTTGCATAGGCTGCTCTCTGACACTGGTTAGTGATCTGGAAGTTATATTAACGTCAGGGGAGGTGGTGTATGAGCATTAGAGGTATCCTTGCAAGGAAAGACTTGTCTTATCTCAATACGTCTTTTTTTTGCACACAAGAAAGTCAATGTTTGAGTCTTCTAAAATCTTCCTATTTCCAAGTTGCAGAGTACTATTGATTCCTAAACAAAGATCTAATTTTTGACTCAGAGACGTGGCAAGGTAGTGAATCACCATTATAATTTAACAATCTTCAAGATAAAATTATCTCTCTGATATTTAGATTTTGCCCGATTATTAAGATATTTGGGTGTTTCGTTAAGAATGGAAGACTCTAGTCTCTTGAGCAAAGACTATAAAGCCCTCAGACGATCATTTATAATTTTATGCTCTTTTCTTTTACACCTTCAACACAGTTGGAAGCAGCAAATATTCCCTAGAGTTGTTGTGTTTTTTAAACCAAATGCATGGTTCAGTGGTAGAAAACTGGGCTGATCCAAGCTGTTTTCAGTAAACACTTCATTTCAGGTGACCTATTTCATGTGAAATAATCTCTAGATCCTGTCTTCAAAACTAACTAGATCAGATAACCTACCCTAGATTTTCCCCTTTTAGGGTCTGTTAGCTGCAGTCACTTTTGTGAAAATGATTGCAGTGAAAAGATAGAGTTGTAGATGGGGAAAATGTTTTGACTAATTTAAGCATAGTGGTATTTAATATGAGAATTTAAGTTACACACATTTGAAAATTACAATGGAGTCTCTTGGCTGAGCTTTAAAAAAAATAGCGTTTAGGCTAAAAAGGGAACTGCTACCTCTCCTAAAATCAGAAAGATGTTACAGTAATTCTCCATTCTCTAGAATTATCAGGAAGCACCTTTGTGATGATTTACTTTTGCTCTTAGGAGTGTGAGCCTGTGTAGTCGTGGAACCATCAATTAGAATGATGGCTTTCTGATCCCAAAGTCATTCATTCTGAAAACAATATTTTTCATAAAATTGAAAGTGAGAAGTTTTGATCTTGCCATTCCCAAGTAACACTCTTAATAAGAGGCATCAGCATGCTTCAGTGACAGATGTCACCTTCCAGTGCTGAGAGTCATCTTTGAGTTCTCCATTTCACTCCCTACACTCCAATTTAGCTGCAGTTCTTTTGGCCAGTCCTATGAAATACATCCTGGCCTAACGACTTCTCACCACTAATACCACTCATACTCACAGCATTCTCACCTAAGTCACTACCTTTTTTCTCTGGATTACAATAGCCTCCCAATTTATTTGCTCACATAACCATTTATTCTACACAGTGCACCAGATACACCCCTTTGAAATGCAAACGCAATCATGTTATTCTCTGGTGAAATTATCTCATACATTCCTATCGCATTTAAAATTAATTCAGAATCATCCCATGATTATCAAAACCCTACATGCTCTTCCACAACATGGTTTACTTCCAAGATATCTCTTCAAATTTTTTTTCACTGTACTGAATTGGTGACTAATAGTCATATTTTTGTTTTTGTTCAAAAAGTCTTGACTTGTAAATTTTTCAGTTTCTTCTTTATCCACAGGTAACTCTTTCCTCACAAGGTGAATTGCTTGCTTCCTTGAGTTCTGCTCTCAAAGATACCCTTCATTTTCTACCTAATATTAATAACTGTAATCACTCATTATTCCATTACTATGCTCTATAGTGTATACAACTGTTTTTTGTCATGTCATTAACTAAATTATTTATTTGTTCCAGTAATGTATTCCATAAATATTGTACACCTAAAAATTATGCTATTTTTACTGCTGTATGCTCAGCTGCCCAATAACAGTTTGAGGATTAACATATTTGTTAAATGCACAAATACATTCTTTCAGAAGTGTTAGTTGAATAATTTTATATTAAACTCCCTATATACGTACAATATGAATTAGAGAATTCAGAATAAACATTCCATTGGAAAAAACTAAACAATTTGTTATAAAACATCCTTAAAAGCATCAGAAAGTTAATACAGCAATGAAGAATTACAGGACCAAATTAAGAATGGTATGGAAGCCTGTTTGTGAGGCTTATGTTTGGGTTATCTCTTTACTTAGAATGACTATAAATCTCAAAAGAGAACTAAAGGGAGAAATAACCATATCTACTAACATGGTAAGGGTATTTAAACATCTCTTAGTAATTGGGAAAGTTGAAAGAAAAGAAAAAAGAGAAAGGGAGAAAGAAACAGAGCGAAAGGGATAATGAAGGAGAGAAGAAGAGAAAGGAAGAGGAAGAAAAGTAAAAAGAGGAGGGGGAGGGAGGAAGAAAGGTGGAAAGAAAGAATGGTAAAGTTTTTAACATAATTTATCCTTCTGGAATATGAATGTTGGTCTATTTGATGGTGTCCCACAGATTCCTTAGTCTCTGCTCATTTTTTATTTTTTATTCTTTCTGTTTCTCAGAGTCAGTATTTTCCATTTTCTTATCTTCAAGTTCATGACTTCTTCTGCGTGTGCAAATGTACTCTTAAATCCCTCTGTTGATTTTTTAATTTTTATCATTGTAGTTTTCCACTCAGGAATTTCTGTTATCTCTTTGTTGATATTCCTACTTTTTAATATTTTTTCTAATTCCTTTATTTCTCTGTTTATGTTTTCTTTTTGACATTTGAGTATAATTAAGAGAGTTGTTTAAAAGTCTTTGTGTAGTAAGTTTGATGTCTGGGTTTCCTTAGAGATATTTTCTGTCAATTTATTTTGTTCCTTTGAATGAGCCATACTTTCCCATTCTTTGTATGCCTTGTAACTTTTTTTGAAAACTGGACATTATAATAATTATAATTACTATGTGGTTACTCTGGGCAGACCCCCCCCTACAAACACACTAATGTTTTGTGGTTCTAAATTTTATTTACTTATTATATTGTTAAAGTTTCTATTTTTAGTGAAATTTTCCAAAGTGATTTACAAAACTGTTTGCTTTATAAGGTGCGGTCACCAAAGTCTTTTTGTTTCCTTAACAAATGTTAAGCTAATGTTTTGACAGTGATTTTCTTGTATGTCAGGAACTAAGCAAACAGGCAAATACAACAAAAACAAAAAGAAAAACAAGTAATCATTAGCCAGCAAAATATGTCTCTAGGCCATGCAGACTGGCTTTGTGCTGGGTTCTTTAAAGCCGGCACAAAGTGTATGTTCACTCTTGCACTGAGTGAAGTTCAAGTTCACTCTTGCACAGAGCTTGCACTGAGGGGAGGGATCGGCCAAGGTAAAAGTGTAGGCTCTTCTTATGACATTTGTCATCATGTGGCTTAACCTATGCATACATGTGACTTTCTAGACTCTCCCATGTACGTGAATGATTTTGAATGTCTTAGTTTTCCAAATACTCTTCTCCAACTTTTCTTCCTGTGCCGAAGGTGATCTACTATATGTGTAAACTCTAATTTTTGCCCTAAGTGTCTGTGGTTTGTTAGGTCTCCTTGCTGAGTTTCTTAATAATGTCCATTCCTTATCTGTTCTGTATTCTAGCAACACAGAAAAAAAAAAAAAAGCCTTTCACTAGTCCTTCAGGTATCCCCCAGACCAGTCAGAACAGACACATAATAATTTGCGGGTAAGATCTTCTCTTGTTCCTTTGGGCGATGGACCAGGCTTCCTCACTGGGAACGTGGGCTTCTGACACTTCAGAACTGCCAATTTGCTGGGGCAAAGGCAAGTTAAAAATGTCGTAAAGTTTTCCAGTTGTCTTTTCCTTGAGTCTGCTTTCACTTGGTTGTTGTAATCTTTTGACCATTTTCCAGAGTTTTGGCAAAGTTTATTCGGACAGTTTCTCTTAGTTGTGTGATGTTTCTGTGGGGAAATGAAAGATTGCAGCTGTCTCCACTGCCATTTTGCTGATGCTCCTCTTTTGTGAATTTTTGCTTCATGTTCTTATGCTTTGTTGTTAGTTCATGTATTAGTTTTCTAGGGCTGCCATAACCAAGTAACACAAACTGGGTGCCTTGAACAACATACATTTATTGCCTTATAGTCCTGGAAGCTAAAAGTCTGAGATTGAGGTGTCGGCAGGGATGGTCCCTTCAAGGGCTATGAGAGAAAGTCTGTTCTATGCCTTGTTTCTAGCTTCTGGTGGTTTTGTGGCAGTCTTTGGCATTCCTTGGCTAACCTCTGCCCTCATAATCACATGGAACTCTCCCTGTGTGTATGTCTCCCTCTACTCAAATTTCTTCTTTTTATAAGGACATCAGTCATATTGAATTCAAGCTCATCTCATATTATCTTAGCTTGATCACCTGCAAGGAACCTATTTCCTAATGAGGTCATATTCAGTGGTTAGGATTTCAGCATCTGTATAGAGGAAACAATTTAGCTCAAATCTGTGCATACATGATTGTAATAGCTATGTCTTCCTAAAGCGTTGACCCCCTTATTCCTACAATAAAAATTTTAAAAATCCTATTCACATTTTTAATAGTCTATATTGTGTTATGAGTATAATGAGTTCAGTGTTTTTACGATTGCTCTTTGCATATTTTTTGTCATCTTTTTACTTTCAATCCATTAGTATCCTTGCATCTCAGCGTATATTGGGATCACTTGTTTTAATCCAGTCTGACAATCTCTGCCTGTTGATTGGATTTTAATCTGCTCACATTTAATATTATAATTGGTATAATTCTATTTGTCTGCCATTTTACTATTTGTTTTGTATATTTCTCAAATATTTTTCTTTATTGCTTTATTTTGCAATGAATGAATATTTTCTAAAATAGGGAACTTTAGATTACTAACGAAATATTTTACTATATATTTTTGAGAATTTTTGTTGTTGTTGTAAGTTTACCATGTAGGTATATGGAAAATTAATTACTCAAATCATCTTCCAATTTATACTAGTAAACTTTTAGTAATACATAGAAACATCATTCTTATACAAATCTCTTTTATTTCCTCCATTTGAAAGTATTATCACTTTACACATTACATCTATTAAAGTTACAAAGCCAACAATACATTTTAGTAATTATGACTTTACCATCTAGAGTGATTATCTTATCACGATACATTTTTCTTCCAACTACCTCCTTTTTGATGTTACTGGGAAATATGTTATAGACATATTACATTTCTACATGTCAAATACTCAGCAATACATTATGCACATATTATTATTATTATCATTGAGACGGAGTCTCCCTCTGTCACCCAGGCTGGAGTGCAGTGGCACTCCAGTGCCACTCCAGTGAGCTCCGCTCACTGCAAGCTGCATCCCCCGGCTTCATGCCATTCTTCTGCTTCAGCCTCCTGAGTAGCTGGGACTACAGGCGCCCGCCATCACGCCCGGCTAATTTTTTGTATTTTTAGTAGAGACGGGGTTTCACTGTGTTAGCCAGGATGGTCTCGATCTCCTGGCCTCGTAATACACCCGCCTCAGCCTCCCAAAGTGCTGAGATTACAGGCGTGAGCCATCGTACCCGGCCATTATACACATATTATTTTATAAACAATTTATGATAAAGAGAAAACATGCATTTCTACTGTCTTTTATAATGTTAATATTACCTATACCAGTGCTTTTTTAAAAATGTGGATTCAAATGACTGTCTTGTGTAACTTGCTTTTAGCCTTAGGAATTTATTTTGGTGTTTTTGGTTTTTTTTTTTTTTGGTATGGTAGGTCTGGCAGCAACAACTTCAGTTAATATTTCTGTTTATCTGGCAAAGTCTTTGTGTTATCTTCATTTTTGAAAAATAATTGCTGGATAAGGAATTGGTGGCTGACAGTTTTTTTTCCTTTGCATCTTTTGAATATATTATTCTACTGCCTCTTGCCTTCCATTGTTTCTGTTAAGTCAGCTGTTAATCTTACAAAACATAGGTGCTCAAATAACAAACATGTGCATGAATATTTACAGCAGTAATAATCATACAGTCAAAAAGTGGAAACAATCCATAGGCTTGTTGACTCATAAATGGACACCCAATTTTTAGCTATAACAAAGAAAGAAGTACTTATACATGGTATAATGTGGGTGAAATTTGAAAGCATTAAGTGCACAAAAAGACAAATATTACCTGATTTTATTCAGATGAAACATCAGGAATTGGCAAATCAATTGGGATATAAATCAGATTAGTGGTCATTAGGGCTCAGGGAAGCAGAATAGGGTGTAACAACTTTATGGATAATGGGTTTTTAGAAGGGACATGATGAAATTGTCCTGGAACATTGTGAATATACTAAAAGCAACTGCATTGTATGCTTTAAAATGGTTGTTATTAATTTTATATTATGTGATTTTTACCTTAAAAAACAAACAAAAAAAGAAAATAGCCTTATTCTATACATAATAAACTCAAGATGTGTTACAAATTTATATGTGAAATCCAAAATACTATAATATTTAAGGAATAGCTCAGTAGAATAACACTAAAATTTAATGTAATGAAATATTACCTTAAAAAAGAAAAAAGCACAGTAATTAAAAAGGGAAATATAGTTAATCTTTTTTCTCTCCACTAAGCATGCCATTAACTGAGGAAAAAATCCAGCTGCAATTATGTAAACTACATTTTCTAAAACCATAAAGAAAATAAGAAATGAAAAGGGATTTGGGAAAAAAATCCAAAGGTACAGTCAACTACACAAAAAAAGCTTAGTCTCATTAATCATTGTGAAAATGCAAATTGTAACTGAAATAAGATAAAACTACAATTCAAAGAGAAAGCCTAAAATTTCAACCCCCCAAAAATTCTGGGTTTTGGAGAGCTGGGATGGAATAGGGCTCCTAACCTTACAACAATGAAAGAACCCAACTAACTTCAAAGTCATGACTTTATTTTTATAGCAACCAGGTTGCCAAGAACTGAGTCAAAATGTGAGGGAAAACAAGCACCTGCAAGGAGAAAGAGGACAGATGCACTTACATAGGACAGATGCAAATAGACACCACTATGACAAGTAAAGCTGGAATAATCAATAAATTCCTGAAGACAAAGTGGGGCCGGTCAGATTGGGAGACCGCTGACAGCTGCAGAAGTTGGGAAAGATCCATCATCTTGAAAACTTTTCCCCCCAAACCCACTGTGATCTCTCAAGCAATTGGTAAGGAATCCAAGAGAGTCTGTATATGATACAGATCAGGGAGAGCAGAACACTTGGGAGGTGACCAGGTCTTGGGGGCCGAGCCCTTATGAATGGGATTAGTGCCTTTATAAAAGAAGCTCAATGGAGTTCTTGTGTGCCTTCCACTATGTGAGGACATAGAAAGAAGGCACCATCTATGAACCATGAAATGGGCTCTCATCAACACTGAATTTGTGAGCATCTTGACCTGAGATCTTACAGCCTCAAGAAGTGTGAAAAAAGAAATATCTATTGTTTTTTAGTCACCCAGTTCATGTTATTTTGTTATAAGAGTCCAAATAGACCAAGATATTCCACTTAATATATAGGGGAAGGCAACAAAAACTGCCACACTTAGAATACTCCTGATGCTGGGAGTATGAAAACAGGAAAAACAAAACTGCTCTTGAAGGTGAAGGAGGAATACCACTGAGCTCACCAACACAGCCAGGAAAAGAACAGAAGTGTGAGAAGGCTACATTCCTGGGACCCTGAGAAAAAGCACCTGCATAAGACTGAGATGAAATTACCTACCCTAGTTACAATTGAAATTCCAAAAAGAAAAGAGGAAAAAATAACGGAGCAAAAGAAATATTTTTCAAAATAACTGCCAAAAATATTCTAAAAGAAGTGACAGAAAATCAAACTTCAGATATAGGAAACTCAGAGAATGTCAAATAGAACAAAAATAAATAAGAATTACATCTTGAAAAATCTTTAAAAAATCAAGTCTAAATTTTATATCTTGCTCCAAATATATAGAGATATAAATAGGTTATCATCAAGATATGGAGAATGCCATATCATGGAAACACTAAAATAAAGCTGTGGAAAGACTACATTGATATTAGACACAACAGAGTTCAGAACAAGAAATAGTATCAGAGATGAGAGATAATAGATAATACAATAATCAATTCTCAAGAAGTTGTAAACATCCTACTAATTAGGGTATGCAGCTAACAACAGAACCTCCAAATACATGAGGCAAAACAGGAAGGAAATCAAAGGCGAACTAGAAAAATCCAAAATTATATTTGCAGACTTCAACACTTTTGTCTTAGTAATGGACAGACTAGACACAAACTCAGTAATCATATGGAAGATAAGAACAACAATATCACCAACAAGACATCCAATCTTCAATGGCAGATACTCTTTCAAGTGAAAAAAAAAAACAGTATGGCATATTCTCTAACAAACCCAGAATTTCTAATATTTGCGGTCTTCCTTCCTTCTTTCCATCTTCCTTTCTCTTCTCTTCCCTTCCCTTGCCTTCTTCCTTCCTTTTTTCTTTTCCTCTTTCTTTTCTTTTCCTTTTTCTTTTCCTCTTTCTTTTCTTTTTTCTCCTTCCTTCCTTTTCTCTTATTCTTCCTTCCCTCCTCCCTCCCTTCCTTTCTCCCTCCCTTTTCTTCCTTCTTTTCTCTTATTCTTTCTTTCTCACTTTCTTGTTTTTTTTCCTTTTCTCCTTTCCTCCCTCCCTCCTTTTATTCCTTCCTCGCTCCCTTCCTTTCCTCCTTTTTCCTTCCTTCTCCTCTTTATTTTCTTTGTTTCTTTGCCTTCCTCCCTTTTCCCATTCTCTCTTCCTCCTTTCCTTCCTCCCTTCCTTTCTTTCTTTCTCACTTTCTCTTCTTTCTTTCTCTTTCTTTCTTGTGTTCTTGCTTTCTTTTTAGTCCCTTCCTGCCTTTCTCCCTTCCTCCTTCCCTCCCTTCCTTCTCTCATTTCCTCCTTCTTTTCTTTCTTCTTTCTTTCCTTCCTTCCTTCTTTTTTCTTTCTTTCTTTTCTTTTCTTTCTTTCTCTTTACTACAATTCATATTATTTAAAAAAAATTAAGAGGGGGAGGCAGAAAAATAAAGAACACTTTAATCTGCAGGTAAATAGATTATGTCTGCTGCAGACAAAAGAATGGCCTCCCAAAAATGTTCATGTCCTAATTCCCAGAGTCTAACATACAAATATGTTAGGTTGCATGGCAGTGGGAAATTAGATTTCAAGTGAAATTAAGGTTGCAATAAAATGATGGAGAGATTATCTTAAATGGGTGGGATCAACGAAATCACAAGCTTCCTTATAAGTGAGAGAAGAAGGCAGAAGAAAGGCAACCATGGAGGTCGTAGCATGAGAAATTACTCAACATCACTGACTTTTAAGATACAAGAATGAGGACCCAGCGTGGTGGCTCATGCCTAATCCCAGCACTTTGGGAGGCCGGGGTGGGTGGATCACGAGGTCAGGAGATTGAGACCATCCTGGATAACATGGTGAAACCCCATCCCTACTAAAAATACAAAAAATTAACTGAACATGGTGGCACGTGCCTGTAGTCCAAGCTACTCAGGAAGCTGAGGCAGGAGAATCACTTGAGCCTGGGAGGCAGAGGTTGCAGTGAGCTGAGATCGTGCCACTGCACTCCAGCCTGGGTGACAGAAGGAGACTCCATCTCAAAAAAAAAAAAAAAAAAGATATAAGAATGAGGTCATGTTCCAAAGAATAAAGGTGGCCTCTGGATGCTGAAAAATATCAAGTACATAGATTCTGCCACATAGCCCTCAGAAAGACTGCAGCCCTGCCCAAAACTTGATGTTAGCCCTGTGAGTCTCAGTTAAGGCTCTGACCTCCAGAACTGTAGGCTTAACAGTCAATTTATTGTAAGATATGAAGTTTGTGGTAATTCGTTACAGCAGCAAGAGGAAGTTTATATAGTAATTGTATCATGAAAATGAGAACCATAATTTACAACTGCTTTTAATACTGCACTTGGATGTTTGAAATCACGTACATGGAAATGATCTCTATCTGAATGAGGGAGGATAGCAAATTGATGCCAAAATAACGCAAATGCAAATCTTACACTCATTTCTATGTAGGTTTCATTTAATCTTTGAAATTAAAATGAAATTAAAGGATTATGATATTTTGATGAAATTAGACTAAAATGAACAATAACAAAATAAGAACTTATATTCTTTATGTGGTCAATAAAGAAGTGATAGTGGAAAAAAACAAGATCAGATGAAGGTGATGATTTAGGAAGTTGGAAAGCTAGCTTAAACTACAAAATGGTATATAACTGGTGAACACTTAGACACACTGATGAACTTTGGCTTTTGGCTTGGTGAGAGCATAAAATGAGAGCAGCTGAGGTTTGCAAATTTGTAATCTCCTTGTGGAAAAACAGGGGAAAACACATCTCAGCCTAATAAGATTTATCTACTAAAGAGTCAAGAATTGATCCATTTGTCCTTGTAATTCAAAAGCTAATTCAAATCCTGATTTGATGTATTGTGTGAACAACCATTGCTGATTATCATCGCATACCTGGCATTCTCTTTTATCTAATATCTAAAATATTTGGTAATTCCTGGACTTTCTCTTTTCAAACCCAGTACGGTTTAATTTCAATCTTAGAACAGTTGTCTTTGAGAAATTCTTCCCTCTACTGCATCTGTAAATGGCCATAGCATGGTTACATATATACTGTCGCCCCAGAGAACATTTGTTAAATTAAAACCAAAGTTTAAAGCAACAGCTTTAACTCACTGGTTTTACTAATGTTTTCCTCCCCAATAGCCACAACAATATTTATACCCTCACACCTTTTAACATAAAGCTTGGTGTTGTCTACTTTTCAGGTGCTGTCATCTATATGATCTCAGTATTTTAAAAATCAGCTTCCAGCCCATATGGTGGCTCATGCTTGTAATACCAGCAGTTGAAGAGGCTGAAATGAGAGGATTCTTTGCACCCAGGAGTTCAAGAGCAACCTGGGCAACGTAGCAAGACCCAGTCTCTATCAAAAGTTAAAAAAAAAAGGTGGGCATGGTGATGTGCACCTGTCGTCCCAGCTATTTGGGAGGCCAAGGTGGAAGGATTGCTTGAGCTTGGGAGGTTGAGGCTGCAGTGAGCAGTGATTGCACCACTGCACTCCAGCCTGGGCAACAAAGCAATGCCCTATCTCAAAAAATATATATAATAAAAATAAAAATCAGCTCTCATTGATTTCTGCATAAATATGCACAGGTGATGTCCATATAGACATAAATAATAATATATCTGACAACGGGCCCATATGATCTTCAAAATGTAAAATGCCTATCTGTGTAATTGACTGGTTAGTCTTGTTAATGAATATAGATTCAATTCTACTTTCTTGTTCTACATAAATTATATAATCTAGCTTTTCGTTTCACTTATTTACTGATAACAACATGAAGAATGACAAGATATCTATTTTGGAAAATTACTCTGGTAGGAGAAAAGATGAAACTGATAGAATTGCATGGAAAACTAGAAAAAAGTATGGTCTTCTGATATTCTATCGCATCATGTACTAAAGTCCTCATAAAACTCAGATATTTTATCTAAAAATGTTATTTTCATCTTAGGAATGATCAAAGCATGAGACTAGAATTGTATTACAATGTGCTTGTATCACAAGCACATGTGCTAAAAAGGAGGGGAAAACATCATTACTGATATTTTAAACGGATGTTTTACTTTCCATCAACATGAACCTCAACTTGATATGATGCAGATTGAAGGAAATCACCCATAATTCCACATTAAGAAGGCCTGTGATATTTTATGGGAAAATAAATAGAGAAAATGCTAACAGAAACCCTATTAAGCATTAAGCTTTATGGAGCAAAGACAAATCCAGTGGTGAAAGATACACACTCGAGTTCTGTTTGTTGTCTTGGAACAATACGGTTTAGAGGTGACTGGTGGGTGAGGAGAACATATGCGAGTTCACCAAACAGAAAAGCTGAATGAGGCAATGCCTCTTCCTGACCATATCTCTTACTCAGATAACTATATAATTTATTGTCCAGTAAAGGTTATATTTAAAAATCATATTAAAAGTCATGCAATGAAGTTGTCCAGGGAAATCAAGACTTAACAGTCTCACTCTGACAATAATGAATAGGGGGGTTCCCTGAAGATAGACTAGGACATGACCCCACACTGGCAGGTAGTAGTACCAGAAAAGAACCCATGGAAAATCTTTACCTTATGCTTGAGATAGGGACCAGGCTTAAGTGAAAGCCAGACATAAAATTCTATCTAAAATATATCCACAATCGACGAAAATATGTGGTGTACAGGCATAGAATGTCTTTACTGGATCATTGAAATAGTAAGATAAATTCAAATTTTTACATTGTTTTATTTTCCTCCAGTTAGGGCTTGAGGTTTGTCTCTGGAGAGTGACTGTCAATTGGAGCCCTGCCTTTCTGGGGTTCTGGGCAGGGGGTTGTGGATGCTTAACATGTGCCTTTCACAGGACACTTCCTTACCCCAGCAGTGGCCAGGTGTGCATCCCACGACCAGGCCTCCCTCTCACAGAACATCTGTTGAGACTAGGAGATGCCTGGTGACTGTTGCCTGACCTGTGTCCTGTGTATTTCTGACAAGAGCCACTCTCAGAGACCCTAGCCAGGAGGAGAGTTAGGTTCCAGTATAGGTCAGATCAGACACATGGAGGCCACAGGACCAAACATGGGAAATCACAGAAGTAGTTTAATTACTCACAGATCCAGAGAGAAGAGGGTAGCTGAGAAGAGGGTTTAGCTGTGTCCCCAGCCAAATCTCATCTTGAATTCCCACATGTTGTGGGAGGGAACAGGTGGGAGGTAATTGAATCATGGGGGCAGGTCTTTCCCATGCTGTTCTTCTGATAGTGAATAAGTCTCACAAGATCTGATGGTTTTATAAAGGGGAGTTTCCCTGCACAAGCTCTCTCATCTTGTCTGCTGCCATGTGAGACTGCCTTTCACCTTCCACCATGATTGTGAGGCCTACCCAGCCATGTGGAACTGTGCATCTATTAAACCTCTTTCTTCTGGAAATTACCCAGTCGGGCATGTCTTTACCAGCGGTGTGAAAATGGACAAATACAGTAGCACACCTCATAGGGCTGAACAAAACGGAGAAGATGAGTGGGGAGCAAGAGAGAGAAAAGGGGTCTGTGGGACTCCAGCCTTTATTGGGCCCAGAACAGTACCCAAATAAGTTTTCCACGGGGCTCTAGTCGGTGGGGTGAGTGCCAGCAGGCACATTTCTTGGCTTCCGCTGCAACTGAGCAGGTCACTCTGGCGTGTGGGGGCTGTCCAAGTGGGCTGTGAGGTCTGTGGGGTGAGTCATGCAGATTGTATCCAATGGTTCCATAGCGGGTAGTCACCAGGGGGAGGCAACTGTGTAGGGTCAGTATCTGGGCCAGCCACACTGAGGAACTGTGAGGGTTAGAACTGGAAATTGTCAAGGGAATCTGAACCCAGCTACCACATGAGAGAGTTCAACTTACATTCAATGTGAATGCCATGGCAATATTAAAAGGTAAGAATTCGCTCCATACGTGCTTGAGGTAAATAGGAGAAACCTAGAATTTATGTAAACAGTGAGAAGATTAGATGCGTTTTCTGTCACATATTTTAATACTGGCAGCATATTATATATGTCAATCCATCAGGCATTCAGAATTACATGCTTATGAAAATTTTTTGCACCATCAGACAAAAGACAAGGGTAGAAGACATTTTTAACCCTATAAACACTAGTAAATTAAAAACAGTAGGACCTTTATGTCCTAATATTTCTATGTTGTGAAAGGCTGCCCTGTGAAATATGGGATTTCTTAAACATATTTTAAAAATCATAGGTGTCAATATTTTTTAGAAATCCATTTAAATTTTCTCTTGCTATTTTACAATGCCTATTTGTTTAGTGGTTCTGCTGATTTTGATGTATATCCTAAACTTTACATTTTCTTTAAAGTATGTTTTATACAACTTTATGTAAAATGTTTCAGTATCTTCACATTCTCTCCCTGTCCTTTTGTTTTGCTCTTATATGGTGGCCTTGAGTCTTTTCTCTGGCTTTTCAAACCTAGTAAGACTAAGACACTAAAGTAACTTTGCCCGTGGTTTGGTAATGCCTTCTAAAGCACATCCTAAGCTCTGGTGCATACAGGGGTCTCCTTTGAGCTCTGTGCTTTTGAGATCCCATATACCTAAATTCCAGTACTCCAAATCAGTACTGCTCAGTTTTAGTTACTAAGTTTAAAAATGTATTTTAATAGCAAGTTAGTTTAGTGCACTCTTGCTTCTTTCTTTACTGCTGGTATACATGTATATTCCTTTAAATGAATCTTGGAATTTATTTAAAAATTTTAAATTATACTAATGGAACTGTATATTGTTGTGAATTCATAGGTGAATTTGGAAAGAATTTGTCTTTATGATACTAAATCCTTTTTATCCAAGAATCATATGTGCCTTTATATTTATTCCAGTCTATATTTATATCACTGAGTAAATATATAGAAATGTAGATACATACAGCTGTAGTTATAGATAGATACAAATATAGATATAACATGTTAAATCTATATCTATCCCATATAACATGTATACATGTTATATGTGTGTGTATATATATTTGTTTGTGTTATTAAAGAGCTCCCTTAAAATTTTTCTTTTATTTCCTATATAATTTTAGGTTGAGCTTGAATTTTCCTTGTATAAACAAACAAATATTTATACTAGTTTTAATACTGAGATTTAGACATTCTATCTTATTTTAGCATTGAATATTTTCACAATTATTATAAATATTATCTAATATTAATAACGGAACTGTTAAAAATATTTAAAATTGTACCTTTGAATTATTTTATTGTTGAATTTAAATTCCTTTAAGTATGATAGTAAATTTCTATTTTATGCTTTCTCTATGCATATGCAAATTAATCTATCCACTTCTCTATCTCTATGTAGTAACATGAAAATCAGGCCTCTCTTCTTCTAATGGACATACACATATTTGCATATAGAATATCAGACTCTTTATAGCATTTAAAATCTTTAAAGACATGAATATTACCTTTTGACAAATATATTTTTGCATGTACTGAGAATACCCTATTTATTTTTTATTTGGGCTAATCAATACGATTATTAATATTATTGGATTACCAAATTTAGAATCACACTTTCATCCCCAAGGTGGATATTTGTGGGTTTTTTTTGCCAATTTCTTGTCTTACTCTTTCAAATATTGTTGGATATTATTTTTATTTTATTTGGCATTTTAGTGTCAATATTTGTAAGTGATGAACTCTACTTATTTTTTCTTCAATATCTGGTGGGTTTTATAATTACTGCTATATTGGATTTTTAGTAGACATTGACAAAAATTATTCCTGTATGTTTTACAGCTGTATGAAGGAAACAAATATATTTTACCCCAAAATATATTTCCTTGATATATTTCAAAATGGCTATTCAGAAGGGCTGGAAATGCAAACATAGCTGCAAAGCTGTCTTGGGGAGATTTGCATCGGTAGAGAATCTGCCTTGATGCAGCCAGGCTTTCTCTGAGGTCTGTCCCCTTGTCTGGATCTAGGAAAGTTTAACTGAGAGTCTGAGGTCTCCAAAGGTCTGAAAGAAACATTTTCTGTCTATTCTCTCTGAGGACTGCTCCCAGTGAGGTTTCACCTACGTAATAAGGTAATAAGTCCACTGTTGCTAGCCAGGGTCCTTTTCTCACATAACCTTTTTTTTTTTTTTCCCTGTGATCCAGGACCCCATTCTTTCTGTAAACTTCATGTGGTAGATAAGCTTCTGCACCCATCGTGTGTCTGGGTCTTCATTCTAAGGGCTCCAGTGTACACACATTGCAGAAACCTGTATGCCTTTTCTACTATTTATCTGCCTCCCATTAGTGATTTTCAGGGAAACTTCAGAAGGCAAAAGGGACATTCTCCTTTAGCCCATACTCAGACAAAATCCCCCAACATTTAACTGATTCCTAATAGCTTAAAATCACTTTGAAAAATCCATATATTTATAACCTTTTCTTCCCTCTATGATTTCTGGTCAGCTTGGGTTTTGTTTTTTATTCCATTTACTTCATCCTCGAAAAGATCTATTTTATGTCTATTTATTCTCATTTATTGACATTGAGAAAAGAAAATAACTTTCATGTGAGAAATGCAAGTCCTTTTAAATAATCAGGCCCAGAGAGATATTCAAATGAGACAGCAGTACTGTCCTGCTCCTCTTTGAGCTGTGTGTTCATCTAGGCTGCTTGCTGTTCCCACAGTAGCTATAAATTAACCAATAATGCCACACCAGACACTATAATCCACACCCAATAATAGTGTAACAGTGTATAGCCAGTCACTAATAAATGTTATTTCCATAAGCCAATGAGAATTTGTGACAAACTTCTTTGCATCATCCCACTTCTTGTCCCTTTTTTGCCTTTAAGAAACTGCTTGTTGCAAAGCTCCAAATGGAGTTCATATCCAAGGATACTTGGCTCTGTTTCTTCCAGGCAGCTGTCCTCATTGTGGCTCAAGTAAACTCTTTGAATTACGTTTTGTGCTTCAGCCTCTTCCACTTAGATTAACAACATGGATTTGTGTCACCATGTACAGCAATTAAAATGTTTACGCTTTTCCCCTCGAGGGCATTGATGTGCTTTCCTGAGCACTTGGAATAGCTACATAGTGTCTACTTTCTAGATTATGGTTTCTCAACCTTGGTGCTACTTACCTTTAGGACCAGAGGATTCTTTGTTGTGGGAGGCTGCCCTAGCAATGCTAGGTATTTCGTTTGACCCCTAAATTTCACACCTCCACCAGTCTTGACATCCCCACAATAACCCTAGACATTGACAAATGTCTCCTGGGGAAAACTCTCCACCAGTTGACAGCCAAACTTCTTGAAATATTGGAATTGTCAATTGAGTTTTTATCTTATCCAAAACAAATATTTTTCTTTGTTTTTAAACATCTACTTCCATCTACTTATCTACTTATTTTTACTTTTATTTGTAACTTAATTCCATCAAGGAGAGAGAGTGCATTTTCTGTTATGCTAAATTTTTGAAGAATGTATTGATTTTTTTATGACCTGATATATGGGTGATATGTAGATATTACATCTTTGTATTATCAAATTTCAGGGTGATAATAAAATTAATACTTATAATATTTATATTGTCAGTGTATATTAGTTATTTTCTTTCTTCACTACAGGAGTTTTTCAACCTATAGGCTATTTTCAATTCTAGGTTATCCAGTAGATTTTGAAATGTTATGATTAAATATCTACTTCTCAAGCATTCATCTTTGCAAATGAATCAATTCCAAGCTCTTATAATGCACATCATATAAAGGGCAGATTAGTCAATATATGGTTCAGAAATAATTATGTAATATTTATAAGAAAATTAAAAATTTAGATCCTTAACTCAGATAACAATAATCCAAATTAAAATTGGATTTAATTACATAATTTAAAATGACACCAGAATGCTAGTAAAAATGCAGATAAGTTTATATAATCCTTTTTAGCTCTAGGACTTTATTAGCATAAATTCAAATACAGGAACCAAAGTAAGATTGAGACCTATAGTCAAAGGTTAAAATGTACACATTATAGGGGCATGATTAAACTAATTTAAAGCATAATAACATGGAGAAATATTGCAAAACATACATTTTACTGAATTAATTGTTAATATCTAATCATTAAGTGAGAACAAAGGTAAAGAGTAGCTACACACACACACACCCACACACAAGTGCAATATTGTCAAATAAATGTGATGTTCAGCTACACTAGAAATCACACCTGTGTTTTCTCCACAGAAGAGTAAAGATTAAAAATCACAATAATATTTATTGTACATATGGAGGTAAAGATAGTCAAAATATTACCCTAAAATACATTTTTTTTTGACATGGAGTTTTGCTTTTATTGCCCAGGCTGGAGTGCAATGGCACAATCTTGGCTCACTGCAACCTCAGCCTCCCAGGGTCAAGTAATTCTCCCAGCTCAGCCTCCCAAGTAGCTGAGATTACAGGCATGCGCCACCACACTCAGCTAATATTTTGTATTTAGTAGAGACGGGGTTTCACCATGTTGGTCAGGCTGGTCTCGAACTCCTGACTTCAGGTGATTTACCCACTTCAGCCTCCCAAAGTGCTGGGATTACAGGCATGCGCCTGGCCAACTTTTTGACATATTTCAAGATGGCTACTCAGAAGACTGGAAATAGCTTCTTCTACAAGAATAGCTGAAAAGTTGTGTTTGTTGGGGAGATTTGCATTTGTAGAGAAAATCTGCATTGATATAGACAGGCTTTCCCTGAGATACTCCCTTGTCTGGGTTTAGGAAAGATTAACTGAGTCTGGCACATTTACATTTCTAAAAACCATTTCCTATCTATACTTCCCAAGAGGAGGGCTGCTCCCTGTGAGGTTTCATCCATGTAACAAGACCACCTCTGCTGCCAGGCTCCTCTTTCTTCCTTGTCGTCACCTGTCTTCCGCAAAGCCTGATTGACCAACGTACAGCTCTGTGTTTTCTGTAACCTCAAGACAGCATAGGCATGTTGACTACCTTGCCTTTCCTGGAGTTTTTATATATATAGTATATATTTGCATATCTATTTATAATATACAAATATTTGTATATATATTTATATATATTATGTAAACTCCAAGTGCATACTTGTGCACATAATTATATCTGTAAACATTTTTTTCTGTTAATTTGTACATTATCAGTTTGTTTTATAGACTCAAATAATTAAAGCTTCAAGGGAAAAATTTAAACTTTCCTATAGAGAAAAGACAAATATATATGTGACAAATAATATTTAGAGTGTAAGATGCTTTTTAAAGGTATATTTGCAATTTCTGTCTAAACATTTAAATATACATTTGTTACTTTAACTCTAAAATTTCAAATAATTTAAGCTAAATACATAGTATATGCAGAAAATTTAGCAATATTTGTATGTAGCACCTTACTGTGTATTACTGTAACCAGTTGTGTAATATAAAGAACTAATTAAGGTAGCACCTACTTTTCAAATATCACATTTTTTCACAGACCTATTAAATAAGACAAATAACATTTAAACTTTATTTTTAAATTTGTAGAATAGTAGTTTTCAGCAGATGGTTTATTTTAGCAAATTCCATCTTCAGATTGTGCTATGCTTTTATGAGTTCCAGCTGTTAACGGATAATATTTTACTGCTGAATCTATCATGTGTGATATAATTGCTCATTATGTGCCTTAAAACACAAGCAATATAGTTATTTTCAACTTTTAGCAAATTAAAATCTTATCAGCAATTTAAAAACTCTAGAGTTGTCTTCTTCTGGTTAATTATTTTAAACTTGTATTTTTCTCTTTATGTTTTTAGTGAGTTGTCTTATCAAGGAGAAGAACTCAAGCTGATTATTCTTTTTTTTTCTCTTCCATCCACCTCGCAGGTGTGTTAATAATTTCATTTCTCAGAAAATGTTCTTTCATAGCCATCTTACAAGATGAGAGACCTTTTAACATCTTCCATTCGGATGTGATACCAGTAATGGAAAATATTCCAGCTTCATGAATATGGTGATACAAATAGTTATCCATCTAACCTCTGTCAGTGCCAAATGTTTACTTTACTCAGTGAATTACTCAGTTGACTGGTAATTTCTTCTGAAATCACTAATGAGAGGATCAGAGATCTGGCTGTTGTCTGTACCACATATGACTCCCAGTGCAGACAATTGTTTCTATGGAGCACAGACAGTTGAAAGGATTGACTTCCTGCTTAGAACAGTTTCTGCTGTGCTTCTTATCCTTCTTGTGGAGATTTCAGATTATCTGAATTGTTTTTCTATCTTAAGAAAAAACTCAACAATTCTCCCACCTGAGAGGAATGTAAACTGTAGTAAGTTAGCAGAAGCAATCCATAAAGTTTTTACATTGTTTGTTGTAAAATGCAGCGTTGGTGTCTCCATCACTAATATTTGGTATCCCTCATTGCTCTTTTTTTGACTGCAATAGGATACCTCTAGGCAAATCTGTATTCCCGAGACAGAGTGCCCTTTTGGTTAGCTATAAGTACACTCAATGGTAGGCTGAAATACTAGTTTTTATCTATGGTGAAATGGAATCATATCAGTGATTTTCTTTAAAAGGAAATTTAACTCTTGCTATGGTTTGAATGCTTGCCCCTTCCAAATCTCATGTTAAAATTTGATCCCGAATGTTGCAGGTGGGGCTTACTGGGAGGTGTTGGGTCATGGGGATAGACCTTCATGAATGGATAATACCCTCCCTTAGGAATCTCAAGCTATCCTCCCTCCTCGGTGCCCTCAGGAAAGAGTGTACCGTTCTTTATTCAACTATAATTCCCCCACCCATCCTTTTTGAGGTATTAATTACATGTATGTTACACTGCTGCATATGGTCTCACATATCAATGAGTTTTTGGCTTTCTTATTTTAGTTTACCCATTTTCCTTTAGTTTGTAAAGCTTCTATTTTTTTCTACAAATTTTCTGATGTTAGGGTAAAATCCATTACTTATTCTATCTCATGGAATTTTTATTTCAAATATTTATTTTTCATCTACACATGTCACATTTTTCATTTTATAACTTCTATTTTTCTCCTATGTTCAATTTTCATTTAAGTAATTTGACATATATATGTATTTATCTATATGTATTTATAAAATATATTTACTTTAAGGACCTTGAAAATTCCTTCTTCTCTGTCATTTATAAATGACTTATTTTTATCCTGTTAATATTTATCTTAAGAATATATATCTTCCGGCTTCTTTGCAGGTCAGAGTTTTTTTTTTTTTTTTTTGGATATTTTGATGTTATGCTATTGAATATCTAGATTTTATTGGCTACCTTTGAACAATGTTGTGGCAGGCAGTTCGGTAACTTCGGGAAGAGTAATTTTCTGTTGTTGTTTTAAATCTTCTCTTTAAACTTTGTTGAGTTAGTCTAGAGCCATCTGTAATTTGGAGCTAAATGAGCACTGTCACTAGGGCATGAACCTCCAGTGGTCTTTACTGAATATCCTGGAGGTACAGAGGGGATTCCCTTCTCTGGCTGGTCAGAGCTAACATGTCTTCCTGTCATGTGATGCCAGGGAAGTCTTCTTCTTCCAACTCCCTGGTAGAGTCCTTTGCTGAGCTCCTTAGAATTTCATCCTATGTACATTTGGCTTAGGGACTTGGGAGAAACCTTATGCTGATTCTTATTTCCTTTCTCCGTAAACTTTCTCTTCTACTACACATTCCAGCTGCTTAACCTTTTTTTGATTTTTATCTGGTTCCTCAGTGCAATGACAATGTCTGCTGTCTCTGGGATTCCACTCTACTGCTGTCACGGAGAACCTGGGAATAAAGCAGGACTCATTCTGGTTCCTTCTCTTCTCTTGCAGAGCACAGTCCTGTGCTGCCTGATGTTCAGTACTTCAAAAAAATGTTTCATATATTTTGTCCAGTTTACTATTCTTTAACTCTAAAAGTGTAACTCCAGTCCCAGTTACAGCATCATGTTCTGTAACTCTACTCCTTGTTGCTTCATTCTGCCATTGTCTGGTATGATCGCCCCTTTCCCTTCTGTAATCAGGCCAAGAGCATAATACTAGTCATAACTGCACAGCTTGCCTCCGTTGTGTTAAAAAATCACTGAGACTTAATTGTGTCCAACTTTTTAAATGTGAATATAAGTACAACTAAAGCTATATTTTGGTTAACATTTGCATTGCATGCTTTTCCATTATTTACTTTCAACATCTGTGAAATATAAATATAAATTATAAAAACTTTAAGAGAGTCCATTTAAAAAAGTCTGGTCTGAATACGTTTTCACTGGTTTATTACAATGTGCATTCTTGACTCCAGGGTCTAATATAATTGGTACATTTGTCTATTTGCAAAAAAAACTTGACAATATTTTAAAATTAATTTATCCGACTCACAACTTATATGCTTCTGCTGTTGTATGGAAGATACATTTTAAACTTTATGAGATAGCATTCTGTTATACAGTTGATATCCAATTAAATTTCTCTCCATGTTTATTTCTTTCATTAAAATAAATCATTCTTCTAACTGCAAACTTTCATCAGGGATCATGTCTCTTCTACCTGAAGAATAATCTTTAGTATTTCCTTTCCTGTGGGTCTGCTTGGGAGAAATTCTTTATTGTATCTTTGCTTTTGATGGATATGTCCACCAAGTAGATAGTTCTAGGTCGGCACTTATTTTATTTCAGGACTTGAACGATATCAGTACCTCACTTTTTGGCTTTCATCGTTTCATTTGAGAAGGTTGTTATCAGTCAACTCTTTCTCTTTGCAGTTAGCCCAATTTTTTTATCAAGTGCTCTTTATATTTTTCTTTTACTTTTCAGAAATTGTCCCATTATGTTTCTAGGTGTGTCCTCTGTATGTGGTTTCCTTTGCTTTGCAAAGTCTCCTGAACCTGTGGTTTAATATTATTGGTCAATTTTGATAAAACCTCTAACATTGACACTTAAAATTCTGTTCAGACCAGCTGTTTTCTCCTTCTTAGATTTCAACGTGTTAGATTATTACTGTATCCTTTATATGTTTTAAATGACCTTTCTCTACTTTTTTTTTAGTTGGTTAATCTGTATTAGTGTATACTTTGTTTTTTTATTTTATTTTATTTTATTATTATACTTCAAGTTTTAGGATACATGTGCACAATGTGCAGGTTTGTAACATAAGTATTCATGTGCCATGTTGGTGTGCTGCACACATTAACTCATCATTTACATTAGGTATATCTCCTAATGCTATCCCTCCCCCCTCCCCCCCACCCCACAACAGTCCCCGAAGTGTGATGTTCCCCTTCCTGTGTCTATGTGTTCTCATTGTTCATTTCCCACCTATGAGTGAGAACATGCAGTGTTTGGTTTTTTGTCCTTGCGATAGTTTACTGAGAATGATGATTTCCAGTTTCATCCATGTCCCTACAAAGGACAGGAACTCATCATTTTTTATGGCTGCATAGTATTCCATGGTGTATATGTGCCACATTTTCTTAACCCAGTCTATCGTTGTTGGACATTTGGGTTGGTTCCAAGTCTTTGCTATTGTGAATACTGCTGCAATAAACATACGTGTGCATGTGTCTTTATAGCAGCATGATTTACAGTCCTTTGGGTATATACCCATTAATGGGATGGCTGGGTCAAATGGTATTTCTAGTTCTAGATGCCTGAGGAATAGCCACACTGACTTCCACAATGGTTGAACTAGTTTACAGTCCCACCAACAGTGTAAAAGTGTTCCTATTTCTCCACATCCTCTCCAGCACCTGTTGTTTCCTGACTTTTTAATGATCGCCATTCTAACTGGTGTGAGATGGTATCTCATTGTGGTTTTGATTTGCATTTCTCTGATGGCCAGTGATGGTGAGCATTTTTTCATGTGTTTCTTGGCTGCATAAATGTCTTCCTTTGAGAAGTGTCTGTTCATGTCCTTCGCCCACTTTTTGATGGGGTTGTTTGTTTTTTCTTGTAAATTTGTTTGACTTCATTGTAGATTCTGGATATTAGCCCTTTGTCAGATGAGTAGGTTGCAAAAATTTTCTCCCATTTTGTAGGTTGCCTGTTCACTCTGATGGTAGTTTCTTTTGCTGTGCAGAAGCTCTTTAGTTTAATTAGATCCCACTTGTCAATTTTGGCTTTTGTTGCCATTGCTTTTGGTGTTTTAGACATGAAGTCCTTGCCCATGACTATGTCCTGAATGGTAATGCCTAGGTTTTCTTCTAGGGTTTTTATGGTTTTAGGTCTAACGTTTAAGTCTTTAATCCATCTTGAATTAATTTTTGTATAAGGTGTAAGGAAGGGATCCAGTTTCAGCTTTCTACATATGGCTAGCCAGTTTTCCCATCACCATTTATTAAATAGGGAATCCTTTCCCCATTGCTTGTTTTTCTCAGGTTTGTCAAAGATCAGATAGTTGTAGATACGCGGCATTATTTCTGAGGGCTCTGTTCTGTTCCATTGATCTATATCTCTGTTTTGGTACCAGTACCAAGCTGTTTTGGTTACTGTAGCCTTGTAGTATAGTTTGAAGTCAGGTAGCATGATGCCTCCAGCTGAATTTCATTTTCTCGTGTCCCTTGAAGTGCTTAAAAAGGATTACTTGGGTAATAATTATGTCTGTATGTGAGAGGACTCTTATTTTCTTTATTATAGCAACAAACATAATATTATATTGCAAACAATATCCAGATAAAGTGTCAGTAGTGGTTTTGATTAAATGATAGGTCTTATTTGTTATTAAAACCAATTACTGATATATCTGAAAAGAACCTTTGAAGTTTGGATATCAGATGAATTAGGGACAGATTAGTAGGTTAGTGTTGACTTACATGAAAAGCAGATGCTTTAAACCCAGGCAACATGGATTTTCATGTGGTTCTTATTATTTTAGTCAATGCGTGTTGTTTTCTGGATTTCGTTCCTAAAAATATTAAACAAGCACCTGTTATGCCACCAAAACAAACAAACAAATAAGCAATCAGCATAAGATAATACAGTCACAGGCATAAAGGTGCAGAAATGTTTTAAAGAGAAAGCTGGTTACAGAAGATGCTTCCCTAATGTATAGGACTAAAATTATCTTGCTATCTTTAAACTCTTTTTTCCTCTGTATTAGTTTGTTCTCACATTGGTATAAAGAAATACCTGAAACCGGGTAATTTATAAAGACAAGAGGTTTAATTTGCTCATAATTCTGCAGGCTGAACATGAAGCATTGTGGCATCTGCTTCTGGGGAGGCCTCAGGGAGCTTTTACTCATGGTAGAAGGAAAAGTGGGAACAGGTGTCTTACATGGCAGGAGCAGGACCAAGAGAGGGAGGGGGAGGTGCTACATACTTTTAAACAACCAGATCTTGTGAGAACTCACTGTACAGTAGCAAGGGTGGATGTTGCTAAACCATTCATGAGAACTCTGCCCGCATGATCCAATCACCTCCCACCAGGCCCCACCTCCAGCGTTGGGGATTACATTTCAATATGAGATTTGGGTGAGGACACATCCAAACCATATCATCCCCACTCCCACTTAATGACCTTAAAAATCAGGGCCCCAAACATGTATTTTACCCAAGTGATATTGTATATAATGCTACTGGACTTAACAAAAACCCACTGCGCTCCCCGTACTTTTGAATCTTGATCCCCAAGAACAATTTTTTCCAACCCCTTTAGCTCTTTTTCTGGTATTCATCTCCATTTTTCACATAACATTTTTATGTTGCAATTTCTTGATTTTTTTTTAGCTTTCATTTTGATTGTCTGTCTACTACAGAATATGATGACTTAACTCCCCACAGTGCACACATTGCACATGGATGTGTGCATGAACACACATACACTTCCTTTCCTCCAATCTTTCCAGTAGGATTGTATCATAATTCTGATTTAATTAGTATTCAGTGCTTGTATTATCATGATTCTGCATTTGATGTTGCAGTTAATCTAGTGTACTAAAATACCATTTCTATTCTTAAACATTTGGTTTTTCCTGAAATTAATCATTTCTTGCTTTGTCATATGCTTAGATTTCTGTATAACTTATCAATTCATCCTCAAACTTTGACAGAACTATACGTATCCTTTCAGTATATCCAAACACTTCAAACAGCCCATCCATTCAGCTTCTTTTCTTCTTGGAGATTCTTCTGGAGGCTTCCATTTCCCTGCTCTAATCTGGGTGGGATGATCTTTGGACGTTTGATGGCTGTTAACTCTGCTTCTCTTCATCATCACTTTGAGAAATCCCCTTTCCTTCTCCTGTGCTGAATTCCCTGCTACTTGGATTCTGGGTCTTGTTCATTCTTGTTTCCTTTCTTGGTTTGGAAAGTTTCCTTCCATCCCTGAGAAGCTTCATAAAAAAGGTATGCATGGAAGGTAAATGATTTTTTTGAGTTTTCTTCATATTTTAAATAGACTTTATTCTACCCACACACTTGATATATGGTTTAGCTTGCTTTCTTTTCATTTCAAATAAAACTCATTTTTTCTTATAATTTTGAAGGCGTTGTCCATTTTCTTCTGACTTCACATTATTGCTGTGAAAATCCTGAAACCATTCTGAGCCTTAATCCTTCCCTGTAATCAGTTTTTACTCATGAGTGTTTTAAAATTTTGTGTTAATGTTCCTTCACATAGGTTTTCTTCCTTCCCCTTCCTTTCCTTTTCTTTTTGCTGGCATTTTATAAGTATTTTCAATCCAAAAATTCTTATTCTTCAGCTCTGAGAAATATTCTTAAAATTTTCTTTGGTAATGGCTTCTCTTTATTTTCTCTTTTGGGGATTTCAAAATTGGAAAGTTAAGCCACTTGAATGAATTCTCCAATTTTATGGTCATTTTCATTTGTTTTACTTTCTGAAATGTTTTCTCTACTTGCTCTTATACCTTATCTATTGAGATATTTCTATCTTTTCCTTTTTAATTTCTAGGAGCTCTTTCTTGCCCTCTGAATGTTTCTATTCTTTTAGCCTCCTATTCTTGTTGCATGGACACACTTCTTGTCTCTGAGGATATTAATAATCTTGAAGTTATCTACGTATGTCTTATTTCTATGTCCTCTAAGTTTATCTCTTCTGTTTGTTTCGGTTCCTGACTTTCACGGTAGAGGCTCCTCTCAAATGTCTGCTGTGATATTAAGAGTGAGGTGCTGACATGGTGTTTGTGAGACTTGGAAGTGAGGACAAATTCATTGGCCAGTGGGCTTTACTTTAGCTCGAGCAGGTGGAATTGGTCATTTAGTTGGGAAACATCCATGTAAGTATCATTATGTCATTACCCTTGGACCAGATTCTCCAGAGAAGACTCTTCCAATTTTCTTTATGGGGTTTAGTGGGGGCAGGGGTGGATGGGGGGAGATAAGTTAGGCTACTGCAGTCTGGATGCTAAACAGGGAGAGGGGACCAGGGACTATCCATTCAGCATGCAGACTTTTATTCTATAGAAACTCGCTATGTCTTCAGCTGTGTTTGATGTCCCTGAGTTCATCATCTATAGAAAATGACTCTCTGATCTTCTGTGCAGAGGGACTGGAGTTGAGGGAAGGGACTTTAGAGATTTTCAACCAACTCCATTTTCAACCCCACCTTCTGCAGCCTCTGGTACCTCCACTCCAGGGCCTTCATCATGTTAAGTGGAACACCAGCTTTGTTTCTGTTGGCCTCATCCCCAGCCCCACTCCTTGTGGGCTCTCACTGAGCTTTTTCTATTCTGGTAAGTCAGTTGCAACTTGGTAATCATCTGCTTTTCAGCTTTCAAAATATTGATGACATTTCCCTCCTCTTTTCTCTGCTTTTTTTATAGTAGACAACTTAGTTGGGTATTTGGAGGAATTAGAGTGTCTTAGCTCAGGTTGCTAAATCAAAATACCATAAACTGAGTACCTTAAACAAGAGACATTTATTTATCACAGTTCTGGAGGCTGGAAAGTCTGAGATTAGGATGTTAGCCTGGTTGGGTTCTTGATGAGGGCTGTCTTCCTGGCTTGCAGACGACGGCCTTCTCACTGTGTTCTCACATGGTGAATGGAGACAGAGAGAGACAGAGAGAGATCAGTCTGATCTTTCCTCTTCTAATAAGGACACTAATCCCATGTGGGAGTCTTACTCTCATGACTTCATCTAAACTTCATTACCTCCTAAAGGTAATACTATCACATCAGAGGGGTAGGGCTTCAACATGTGAATTTTAAGGGTATACAGACATTCAGTTTATAACATGGAGGTGAATGAATGTGTTCTATTTTCCATGCTCAACAAGAGGCCAGGCCATGCAACAGTCCTTTTTTTGCTGCTGCTATTAGTGAGTCTCAGTAACAGGATGGAAGTAATTGAAAGGGTGCTGTATCAGGTGGCTCATCTCCATTTTCAGGTTTTTAAAATGGGAAAGACAGAGTAAGAGAAGGGAAGGGGAAGGGAGAGAAAGGGAAAGTTGAGCAGGATCAAGAAATAGGAGAGAGAAATGGATGAGGAGAGGAAAAGCGAGGCTATTATTGAATAGTAAAATGGAAGCCATTGTTGTCTTCATCTTCAGCCCATCCCCAACACTCCTTTCATTTTTTTTTTTTTTTTGAACTGACAAGAGAACTATAATGCTTCAATGAACTGGTCATCAGACCCCTAGCACCTGACCAAGGCTCCAATACTCTAACAAAAAATAAGTTTTTAAGATCCCCAGTCATGCTTTGACTTGTGAAGTCAGGATTTATAATTTTGAATTGGAAAAGTTTTCTGATGTACCCTCTAGTTCATCTCCTGTAGGCTTTTCAAAAAGCAATTTATTGTATTTTACATGATGTTCTATTCCCATATTAGAATTTACATAATTCACAGTACTCATGGGAGGGAGCTATGTGGTATATTCATAGAAACACAAAATGTTGAAATTCAAAGGCATCTTGAGATCATCCTGTCAAGCACCCTTCTTTTTACAAATGAAGGAACTGATAGCCACAAATGTTACACATCTTGCCCAGGGTCATGCAGAGGGAACATGGGTGTGCTCCATTGCAGGGATGAGAAGAAGATAGCATGCCATGAGTGAACTTGAACGAGTGCTTCTGTTACTCTGTTTATATTCCAGGATCTTTTTTTTATTAAACAAGCTAAGCTGCTTTTCATTTGTAGATATTTACATGTTATATATGGTTAAGCTATAATGCATTTGCAAGGAGAATGAATTTTATCTAGAAGTCACTGCATGAACGGAAATTAGAAATTATATCACAGAAATTTATGAAGTAACAAATTGTTATCCTTTTGTCATTTGCAATTCTGATCGATTTTCATTTTTGTGCTTGGATGATGTTGGGATTGTTGGAAGCTTAATGTTCTTTTCTAAGAACTCCGTTAGATAAACAATACCATTTAATGCAGAAAGTTATAAAACACCTGCTATATTTCCTATAACACTGAGAATGTAGATGTTTTTGGTTTCAGTAAAAGATTGTTTGACAGTGCATCTTTAAATTATGCAATATTGACCTGGCTTGCACATTTTCAGAATTTCTAATAATAGGAATAAATTTTTAAAAACCTATTCTCACAAGTTCTGATGTGTTTTAACATTAAAATAAAGCCTTGTAGATAGCTGTTTGATTAGTTGTGATTACATTTTATTGAGTCCAGCTGAAATCCTTCATTCTTAGGATTGATGTGTTGCTATTTCCTCTTCCAGTGGTCATTTTAATGGTTAATTTTTTTTCTGTATTCCTTCTGCAGTAACATGAGTTGTCTGCTTCTTATCGTGGAAAAGTGAGATTAAATCTCCTTTTGTACATAAAGCAGGGTGTTTATTACATCATATTTAATGACAACATTGTCAAAGGAAATATGCATCTCTGTGGACGGTAGTATCCATTAGAAATAGATTTTGCTGGTTTTTGGCTGTCTGAATCAAGCATAATCTCACTTCTGAAATGTTTTCTGACTTGTTGATTCCGAGGCATATCAATGTATCATACAACTATTTTTTATGCTTCTCTGACCACGTAATTCCAAGGCCGCTGGCAAGAGCCAGTAAATCTTACTTACAGTTGCCAAATTCCATTTTCTTGGTCTTTTGTCCCTAGGCTGCCCTATATGATAGCATTTCTCACATCAAATTGTAATATTTGTTTACGTATTGTGTTGTTTACTGTTATCTCCTGAAGATGAGGGACTGTGTCTTCTTATTCATTCATGTAACTCCAGATTCTAACAGAGAGCTCAGCATGTAGCAAGAGCTCAGTTAATGCTCCACGAGTGATGACAGGCAGACCCAGGTTTATGGGGAAAATAGCTTGCAATAGGCTCTTTTGAGAGGATGTCAGTCAATGAAATTTCTATCCAACTTGAACCAGACCAAAAAACATTTATCTAAACTGTGCAGCCTTGATGATGTAAAACTTTGAAGTTCACATTTTGAATATACCACCTTACCTGTTGATGTTGTATTTAATTATGTACATTGAGGTGACCTAATGACCAAGGAGACAATTATTGAGAGATAATAGTAAAGTACAGTAATTATTTGCTATTAGGATTAGGTTGACAAGGTTTGCATTTGACTCCTCAATAGCCATGTGATCTTGGGGACAGTTTTTTCCATGTAAAAAGAAATTTATAATGTTTACCCTACTAACCTGATAGTATTAGGATATTATGAGGCTGAAATTAGATATTAAAGCATTAGTGAAATAGTATTTTTCTGTTCAAATATATTATTATTTGCTATTTGTTCTAAAAGTAGATATTTCATTAAGGAAAAGGTAATAGAATCGTGTGTGTGTGTGCATGTGTGTGTGTGGTTGGAGGAGGTCCTTGCATCTCAAGCTACTAATTATCTTCTATTTTGAATAAAATCTAGTCCAAAATGTATTTTGACAAGAGTCCTTCAAAGAATTATGCTGGGCATGGTGGCTTCCACCTGTAATCCCAGCACTTTGGGAGGCAGAGGCAGTAGTATTGCCTGAGGCCAGGAGTTCGAGACCAGCTGGCCAAAATAGCAAGACCCCTATGTCCACAAAAAACAAAAACATTAGCCAGGCATGGTGGCACACACCTGTAGTCCTAGCTACTTGGGAGGCCAGGATAGGATCGTCTCTGGAGCCCAAGAAAATGTTAGATGGCTTGCTATCCAAAACATATCTATTCACTATCCTTTCTTTTTAGTACTATCTGAATCCAAAAAGTTAAAAACATAACTGCATTTTTAACCTTTTTATGTACTAAACACATGGATCAAATCCTCCTATAGGGAATGATCTTGCATTACCTAGGGAAACACTACATGTTACTTGCATTTCCTTGAAAGACTGAGTTTTTAAATGCTTTGGGTGCTGATGTTTGTTCTCTGAAGTTCATTTCCTAGTTTGGTTACTGCCATACATTGGTCATTGTACAACCCTTGCTCAGAAGGGTTATTTGGCTAAAATAATAATGACCTTTCTGCTATCAGTTTATTCTTTCTTAAATTGAGAATCTCAGCCATTGTATCTGTTGAAAATGCTGCTTTGAGCAAAGACCCCTCACTGTTTGAAAGCTAATACATAGCAGAATTCGGGTAATGCTGATAAGTAGAATCAGATATTACTTGGTGCTAGGTAGAAGAGTGCACATAGACTATAAGCTCTAATACCTGCTGTTGATATACTGTTGAGAATGTCCTATCTGCAGAAGGTATTTGGAAATGACTTTATGATATGTACACATATAACACAGATACCAGGATACTTTGCCTTTTTCTGAATGATGGTGGTTTTAAAATGTGGATATGCTTATCTATTTATTAGATAATTTCACTGTATCAGGAAACAGTGGCTTCTCATTTATTCACGTATTTGTCACACATCCAATGAGTATTCACAGCTATCAGGCTTCACTAGACTTAGAGATACACTGGGGTGTTTAATTGCTGCAGTTCTGTAATGAAATTATTAATTCTGTAATGGGCTTAATTCAAAGTCTAATGCTGTTTTAAAGTCCAGAACAGGTAAGAAATTTAAACAGTGCTCACTTTGATTTCAATATTGTCTTTGTCATAATGGTTTTTCCAGGCAATGGGCTGGAAAATATGTCAGAGAGTCTGTTCATACTGGTCATTTGAGCATTTAGAGGGAGTTAGTTTTCTCTTTTGAAAACTTCCTGTCGTATTTTTTGCTGCGGAGTCTGGGAACCTAATTTGAAATGGCAAAAACAAATAGACAGAACAAAATAAAGGTCACAAATCACTCACCAAAAAATAATCTAAAGAAAATACAAATGCACACAACACATTAATGAAATTCATTTAAACCTAGTCAAGTGCTCCTTCTCCAATTGTTCCTCACCTTGCACTTGCTTTTTTGACCCTACAGAGAATTCCTTTTCTGCCCAGTTCCATAGATACCTCTGGACTGGGTGTTCTCTCTCAGCTCTCCTCTTTCTACTCTTATTCTCTTTCATTCTCCCCCGACGCCATTTCTCTTCTCCCCTTTCCCCTTCCTGGTTCTCTTCTTTTATATTTCTTTCTTTGTTTCTCTGAATCTTTCCCAGTTCCTGTACCCATGTCTCCTTAGACATTTCTAATTCAAAGGAAGAGGTAAGAAGAGGCAACATATCAGACATTCATTTCTATTGTGGTGAGCATAAGTTTTTCTTCTAACTATACAGCTTTCTGCAGCCGACTCTATATCCCCCTTGAGGAATCTCTAGTATGAGTTGTGATTCTGTGTATACTTGGGGAATGAAATTTGAGGTTTCTAGAAATAATGCAGGTGAATATCACTTGATGAAAGACAATCACTGTTTCTGTGTGGGGGCTGTTGATTTTGATTTTAAACAATTTACAACTAGCAGGTGTTTTCTGAGGAAAACATAATGTGTTGAGTGTCTATTGAATCTCTTCACAAAGCCCATTTGGGCGACATCTTCTCAATCTTCAGATGAGGGACAGAGGTACAAAGAAGCCACCTCACTTACCCAGTCTCACATAGCTAAGAAGAGAAGGGCCAGGATTTGGACCTAGGAAGTCTGACCCTAGAGATGAGATTCATATTCACCCCACTCCTCTGTTCCTCTGAGCAGACCTCCAGATCAGTGGTGAGTTGTGGCTGAGTGAGAGCCCAGTGTGGACGCTGACCCTGTGAACCTACCTAGACCCGATCCACCTCCAGATCACAGCATCTCTCTGAGAGTACATCTGCAGACAGGCAGGAGAGGGGCTCTCTGTGCCAAGGTCCTTTTCTTTTCTTTTTAATTATGATTTTCTTTTTTTAAAAAGTATCTATTTTTATTTTAGATTGGGGGGGTACATGTGCATGTTTGTTACAAGGGTATACTTGTGTGATGCTGAGGATCGGGTTTCTGTTGATCCCATCACCCAGATGATGAACATAGTACCCAATAGGAAGTTTTCAGCCCTCGCCCCACTCCCTCCATCCTTGTGGAGTTTCCAGTGTCTATTGTTCCCATCTTTATGTCTGTGTGTAGCCAAGATTTAGCTCACACTTATAAGTAAGAACATGAAATATTTTGTTTTCTGTTTCTGCATTAATTTGCTTAGGATTGTGGCCTCTAGCTGCATCCACGTTGCTGCAAAGGGCAAGACTTCATTCTTTTTTATGGCTGTATAGCATTACACAGTGTATATCTACCACATTTTCTTTATCCAGTCCACTGCTGATGGGCACTTAGGTTGATTCCACGTCTTTGCTATTGTAATAGTGCTATGGGGAACATATAGGTGCATGTGTCTTTTTGGTAGAACAATTTCTTTTCCTTTGGGTAGATATCAAGTAATGGGGTTGCTGGGTTGAATGGTAGTTCTGTTTTTGGTTCTTTGAGAAATCTTCATACTGCTTTCCACAGTGGCTGAACTAATTTACTTTCCCACCAACAGTGTATAAGTCTTCCTTTTTCTCTGTAGCCTCATCAACATGTTATTTTTTGACTTTTAATAATAGTCATTCTGACTGGTGTGTGATGATGTCTCATAGTGGTTTTGACTCGCATTTCTCTGTGACCAGTGATGTTGAGCATTTTTTTCATATGTTTGTTAGCCACCTGTATGTCTTCTTTTGAGAAGTGTCTGCTTCTGTTGCAGTCTCGTTTCACAGTGGATTGTCTTTATTTCCCTATGCATGGTAGTGCATGCCTCTTCTGTACCATTCCTTCATTGCATTGCTTTTCAGAGTCCCTTTAAGATTCCACATGGCATTTCATAGAGGAAAAAGTATAAAATGTTTGAAAGTGAGAAGGAGAAAATGAACACAAATATAAGTGCAGTTTTGCTCTTTTAATCCATGTTGGTAGAGATAACACTTTTTCTTTACAGTGATGTGCGAGATAAATCTTCTCTTTTGCAAAGTACACTTTAAGCTGATAAACTTACAGTTTCATGTTGTGCACTTTCCTGCTAAGTCCCAGTTGTACACCACATGAGGAGGCGAAAATATTGCTACAGGAGGCGTGATTACACTCATTTAAACCATAGAACAAATTTTACTCAACTACCACTAAAGGACCAATTACTTTAGGTCAAATTGTTAGTTTACTTATGTCTTCAGAAAGATGGAAATATAAATTATGCTAAGGATATTTAGGGTAGAGAGTTTATGTGTTTCTATTGCCTTAAAAAAAACTGGTTATTTTGTTTTGCTCATTACTATTATCTGAAGGCATGTTCATAAGAAATAAATAATGGTGGATGGGCTGTATCACATTTTTATTAGATCAAAAAATGTTTAATTCTAGGCAAATTTCTTATGGTCAAACTGTAAGTCTAATCATTTTTAACCAATAGTCTAGTCATTCTCTTTAACAATTGATAAAATGGTAATTTTGTTTGCTTATTTGTACACCAAAACCAAGGTCTGTCATGTAGCTCTAACAAATTATATAACCACAGACTTGAGTTGATTTATGTAGAATTTAATTTGATGGAAATTGTGAACCAACTTGAGATACTGATAATACTGTAGTCATGTTGTTTTTTTAAAAAGCACACTTAGTATTCTATACACAGCTTTGTAAGTAATTTCATTCCAATAAGTTAATCCTCAATTTCCATCACAGTTGGAACTTGGTGCTGTGACATTGTTTCTTGTTTTATTTTTCTCCTACTATATTATTAATAGAGATTTTTGTCTTATAAATGAGCAACAACTAAAAACACAATTCTTTATCCTTTTAGATTGTTTTAACAACACTTTTTTATTGAAATACCAGAAAGAATGAAGGTCCTATTTCTCCTACTTGTGCTGGCTACAATTCCAGTTTTCTACCATTTGTATAGATTGCCTTTCTTTGTGCAACAAGACGTCTTTGAAAGGAAGTTTTAACATTAAATAATAACATTCTATTAATTATTTGCCTTATAAGGCAAACAATAATCTACGGTTGTTTCAGAAAAATGATATCTTCATTTTTGTATACATTTCAATTATACATTATTAACACTAATGTATATATGGTGAATTGACCTTCAAGATCCCATCAGTGCATGACCTGTTATTCCTATTTCTGGGAGTGCTATCGGCAGACAACCTTCAGCTCTGAACCCTGTGAGGGAATGCCCTGGCTACAGAGAGCTGCCTTGCCCAAGGTCACCTTCCCCTCTTCCAGAGTGGCCCAGATCTGATGATTCATTGTATTGGTCAGGGTTCTCCAGAGAAACAGAACCAAAGATATTTTTTGTCAGATACTGGCTCACATAATTTTGGAGGCTGAAAAGTTTTACAATCGCTGTCTGCAAATTGGAGACCCAAGAAAACCAGTGGTGTAGTTTGAATGCCTCAGAGCCAGAGGCACTGAGAGCAGGAGAAGATCAATGTCCCAGCTCAAGCAGTCAGGCTGAGTTCATTCAACCTTGGTCTACATTTTTGTTCCATTTAAGCCCTCAATATCCCAGCCTGCATTGGAGAAGGTAATCTGCTTTACTCAGTCCACTAATTCAAGTGCTAATCTTTTCTGTCTTTTTTTATTTGTTTTTTTGTTTGTTTTTGAGACAGAGTCTCGCTCTGTTGCCCAGGCTGGAGTGCAGTGGCGTGATCTCGGCTCACTGCAAGCTCCGCCTCCTGGGTTCACGCCATTCTCCTGCCTCAGCCTCCCAAGTAGCTGGGACTACAGGTGCCTGCCACCATGCCCGGCTAATTTTTTTTTTTTTTGTATTTTTAGTAGAGACGGGGTTTCACCGTGTTAGCCAGGATGGTATTGATCTCCTGACCTCGTGATCTGCCCGCCTTGGCCTCCCAAAGTGCTGGGATTATAGGCGTGAGCCACCCCGCCCAGCCAATCTTTTCTGACACACCTAGAAATAATGTTTAACTAGCTATGTGGGCGGCTTGTGGCCCAGTCAAACTGATACATAAAATGAATCAATGCACTGACTGATGTGGAGGTATAATGGCCTGGCCTTTGTGGCCTGTTTTAAAGCAACTCTGAAGGCCACTCTAGCCTCAGAACTTCTTGTGGTGTCAGCAGCCTCTCACTGGGCCACAGCCAGCTGGATTTCTCTGCTTCCCCTGAGCCCTCCATCAGGTAGATGCCAAGAGCAAATTTTGTGCATTTCAAACTCCTTCTGAGGTCTGCTTCTAGGACAGTCCAACAGTATTATCTCAACACATTAGATTCCAGCCTCTTAAAAAGGTAGCACAAATGTTTGAATGAAACAGAACATGTGGTTGTTTCCATAACAACTTTTGCTTAACAATTGGCACCCGTTAATATTTTAATGGTTTTAACCATTTTATTAAAGAGTTAAATTCTAATTTCAGCTCAGATATTGGAGCCAAATCTTTACTACTTATGGAATCCATTTGAAAGGAGAAATAATTCTTGGGGGTAGGAACTGGGGGATGGGAGAAGAATGTAAATAACTTTTCTCATTCTCTCACCTTAAAATTGCCCAGATCACATTGTAATCAACAATGATGAAGAGTGAAATCTAGTCATTTCATCTACTGGCACAGGCAAGTGAGTAAGTATCACTTTTCAGAATTGAGGATGTTTGATAATATTACACATAAAATGGTGAAGGTTCAAAAATATGATCTGTTGAAAAACCTGTGTTTTGGGGCTGAATGTCAAGTATCTCTCAGTGTTGGTGATGATTCTTGTCTGGTTATGATTATTAGTGTTATTAACACTAATAATAATGTGCTACATTGGCATACGAATTTACCCTTTATAATTGGATTCTCACAGTATACCTGAGAGATAGTTATTATGAACCTCATTACAGAGATGAGGAAACTGAGAGATGAGAGACTTTTCAAGATTACGGGGGGCCACTCTCAGGTCTTCTGACAAGTCTATTTTCTTTCTCATTCCACCATCTCTCTGCACTAGCAAATCATACATACAAGCCTTTTATCTCTCATATCTGAGACACCTGACCACTCACCCACAAGTCTCAGCCTTCTAAAGAGGTAAAAATTCTGAAATGGCGTTGTTTACAAATTTGCTCTTGTATCAATATGAAGAAATTCTAATGCCACTCTACAGATGAATACACTAAGACCTAGGTAGTATTCTAATTCATGGCACCCTAATAAAAACTATTTTGGGAGGCAGATCCCATTTCAGTGACAACTTCCTCTGAATTGTCATGGCCCAAATATTTTTTTACTTCTTTTAATGACATCTACTTTTAAACATATATTTACATGTAGCTATTTGTTCCCCTACTTGATGGAGAAGTCTTTGAAAGCAGCACTGTCTCATTTGTATTTCTCTATCCTAGCAGTACCTGTCACAAGTCTTGCATTTATTCATTCAACAAATATTTGTTGAAGTCTATGTACCAAACACAGTGATACGTGTTGGGGTATACTGATAAATTTGAAAGACAAGGTTCAATACTCATGGATTTCTAATAGAAGAAGAAAAAGAAAAAGAAGTAACAAAAAAAAGTAAAATTAAAATTATTATGATTGCTGCAGCATGAAAGAAGTGGAAGACAAGAACCTCAGAAAAGTCTTCCTGAGAACATGCATCAACAGAAACAACTGGAAAGTTTGAAGGGTAGACTGGCTATTTGCTGAAGAACTTTAAGTCACTTCTATAATCTGCATGGATTCCAAGTATTTTAATTAAGCTCTTATTTAGGATAACAGAAGGACTGTATTTATGTAGCTGTCAATTAGATTTACAAGGGACAACTGGCAGGGTTTTAAAAAAAGAGTCTTTAAATTTGCTTTATCTTATCCATCAATCATTTGCAGCCACTAAACCATTAAGCCACAGGTATAGTCAATTGTGGATGGGCAAGATGATGCAAGAAGTCTAGACTTAGAGGCAGACAAATCTGGCTTTGAAGCTGGATTTCAGTATCTTGCAAGCCATTGGTACCCCTGTTTCTCATTTTCCTTATCAGAAGGATGGTCATGATACAAACCTTCAAGTTCTGCCATTAGGAATAGAGATGGTGTCACTGAGTAAATGAGACTGGAAAGGAGTGATCATGTATATTGTAAAGTATACATAAAGTGTTAAATTCAACAAATGATCTTTAAATTATTGTTAAGTAACCAGAAGGAAAAAAAATACACAGGCTGCAATGAAACTAGCCAGGAAATTCTAGAAAACAGTCAATTATAAATTCCTTCATACAACATTTTGCCTGTAAGTACTGAGCTTTAAAAATTACAGAACAGGAACACCCCTGCAGAATAGGAAAGTTAAAGTCCCTTGAATTGTACACAATTAGTAATCTTTCAGACCGAGACATGGAAGAATAGATGTGGTGGACACATTCTTTGATGAAGGGCAACTTCTCTTCCTCCCACCCACCCCAGGAACTTAAATCAAGACAGAGAGTCTCTTTAAAAAGTCAAGCAATGGATGTGGAGTATTGTATGGAAAACGTATCTTTGAGGTCTGAATCTTTGAATTTCATTTTATTTTTAAAACCAAATTCTAACAGTATGTAATGACCTCTTCCTCTTATGAAGTCATAGGACTATTTTAGGGGATGACCTATTTGTCATTTATGACTGAACTGTGGTATATCTTATGCTGTTATCTGTGTTACCTAATTTACACCCTTGTCTGACATTTCTTATGTGTACGTATTGTCATTCAATTATATCATAACTGCTGAGGACTGGTGGTCTTTGTCTGTAGCTCCTGAAACATAGTAGACCATGAGTGCTTATGAATAGATTAGCTGTCTGGTTTTTGACTGATATGAAGAAAGAAAGTGTGAATGGGTATCAGGGTTAAGGAAATAATCCCAGTCTTCTAACTACAATCATTTGAGAAATAATTAATCTACACTTTAATAAAATATCCACAGGCACCAAACAGCACAATGCCATGTGGAACAGGTTCTCTACAAGCATTTGTTCAGCTTAATAGTCCAGTGCCTCTTTCCAGTGCCTCTTTCCAGGAAAATTCAAACTGACCAGGTTGAAAGATATGAGGTGAGATGCAGGAATAGCAAAAAGTGAAATGGATTTAAGCTATGTTAAAATTCAACTCAGCTAACTCAGCTCTTTACAAACAAAAATGTTTAATAGGTCCATTGTGAATAAATAAATCAATGAATTCAGACTAAACTATGTTTGGATTGCTTGTTTGCTTCTTCTGAAACAGTAATAATAAAAATTTTCAGAACTTAATTTTTTATGGCTACAGATTCAGTAACAGTCTCAGAATGATGCTCAGCATATAACATGTCTTTAATGAGATGCTTAAGTAATCATGGCAATTTAATTAAAAGGGCAGTCATCTTTTGAAACAGCTATTATTCCCTAGAGAGTGTTACTTCATGTTACATTTTTGCAGTTACCTAATGTTTCCACTCACGGAGGTTTGCTTGTTTGCATTTTAAAGAAATTATGCATAGTCTTCAACTTACCTCTAGACTTCATTCCAAAAGTTTTCTCAAAATATGTAATCACTCCTTTCCTCCTTCTCCAAACCTGATTTTTTTCAGAGTTCTATAATTCACCTTTTCTATTGCTGATTTAAATATTCTCTCTCAGTGACCTCTTTGCCCCACAACACTTCAAATACCTAACCTATCAGCCCCTGACGAAAGTATTACAGTTTCCTTCTCTCTCTTTAGCTCCAGATTCACTTTTTCAGTTTGACATTCCATGCATACTTTGAAGACAACCTGCCTCCAATCAAAATCATTCTTTCCTCCTCCTTATCCTCCTGGATTTCCCACTTGTTTAATGATACCATCACATAACTGGTCACAAAGACCAAATCCTTGGAGTCATACTTAGCGGTTTCCCATTGCTTCGCTGCTTACATCAAATCAATACAAAGCCCCATTGATTCTAACTCAGAGATTCTGCCTTAGCTCCAGCTGCTCCTCCCCAGCACCAGTAGCGCTGGCTCAGTCATCATTTCCCACTGCCTATTCCAATACCTCCTTGCTGGGCTCATTGCCTCCTGTTCATCCCACTTCAGGCTGCCCTCTGTATCAGCGATCCTCATCCATTTTTCTTCCATGGAGTGCAATGCTCATACATGAGACATATTCCTATGGGCCACTCAAAGATCGAAGAAGTAGAAACATTTAGTGAGAAAATTAAGCATTTAATTGTTCATAGTCTTCCACAGGCCCTGCAGAGCCACACACAATCGGACCCTTATCTCCATCTTATTTTTGTTGCCCACTCCTCTCACCCTCTTCTGCCTCTTCTGCTTCTGCTTTCTCCTCCTCCTTCCCCTTCTTCCTCCTCCTCCTTCTTTCTCTTCCTCCTCCTCCTCCATCCTTCCTCCTCCTCCTCCATCTCTTCCTCCTCCTCCTCCGTCTCTTCCTCCTCCTTCCATCTGCTCCTCCTCCTTCCATTTCCTCCTCCTCCTCTTTGTCCTCTTTCTCCTTCTTCCTCTTCCTCCTCCTTCCTCTTCCTCCTTCTTCCTCTTCCTCCTTCTTCCTCTTCCTCTTTCTCCTCCTCCTTCTCCTGCTCTTCTTCTTTCTCCTCTCTGTTCTTTTTCTCTTCTTCTTCTTTCTTTTTATTTTGCATTAAGCCTGATATACCCACAATATTTCTGAATTCTGTGAACTTAGAGAATTTCTTTTATTCACCATTGTGTCCACAGCACCCACACAGTATCTAGCAGATACTGGGCACTCAAGAAATATTTACTGAAGGAATGAATCGAGTATCACAACTAGTGGTGGTATATCGGTAGACTAGCTAACTGCGGGTAGTGACAGCCCAATCTGTGTATTATAGGCAATCCCCACCCCTGGGATGCAAATTGTAAGGTTACTAAGAGTCCTGCTATTGCAGGCATAATTTTGAATGTTCTCTAACTTAAAAGAAAAATAGTTTTATATACTAGCACCAGTTAGTCATACATCTGCTGTACATATTAGGTCCTATCACAGTGCCCTGGAAATCTATCATTTGGCTACCAGACGTTTCTTCTTTGAAAGTCTACCTAAAGCATAAAGCTCAGCACATACTTCTGCTGATGAACCTAATGGATCCCCATTGTTTTCAGAATAAAGTCCAAGTTATGTGATGTCTTAGTCTCTTTGGGATGCCATAATAAATTATTATAGGAGACCAGTGCGGTGTGGTGGCATGTGCGGAGTAATCCCAGTTACTCCGGAGGATGTGGTGGGCAAATCACTGGAGCCTAGGGCTTTGAGGCTACAATGAGCTATGATCTGGCCACTGCACTCCAGCCTGGATCTCAGAGTGACACCCCCATATCTAAAAAATAAAAAATAAAAATTATCATATACTGGATGGCTTAATCAATAGTAATTTATTTTTACAGTTCTGGAGGCTGAAGGTCTGAAAGCAAGGTGCCAGCGTGGCCAAGAGCTGATGAGGGCCCTCTTCCTGGTTCAGTGTCTTTTTGCTGTGTCCTCACATGGCAGATGGTGCAAGAAATCTCTCTGGAGTCTTTTTTATAAGGGTGCTAATCCCATTCATAAGGACTCCACTCTCATGACCTAATCACCTCCCAACAGTCCCATCTCCTAATACTTTCACACTGGGGATTAAGTGTTAACATATGAACACTCAGCCTACAGAATTTGGCATGTCTAACAAAACCATTCTCAAGCTGGACCTGGTCATTGTTTCCAACTTCAAACCCAGCCAGTGTCTACCATAGGCCATGATCCTGCTAGGTTTTTACATACTTTGGCCTCCACCAGACATGTTCCACTTTTGTCCCCATATGGATGCATATTTGCTCTTTAAAATTCAGCTCTCTCAAGCACTTTAGTTACTCCTTCTTCTGTGTTCTGATTGTATTGGGTATCCTATTAATTATATACTTTATTATCTATTCCATGGTAACTTATTCAAATGCCTGTTTCCCAGACTAGGTGGTAACTCCTGGATTAGACTGTGCATTTCCAATGTTGAGCCCAGTGTGTAGAATATAATGGCATCCAATAACAGTTGGATGACTGAGTGCATTGTCAATTGTTTGGAAGTAAAAATGCCTTTGCCTACTGAAGCAATGCTATAAATGGTGATTTAATTCTTAGCTGACTAAAAAAAAAAATACTGTTTATACCATAATGCAACTGAAACCTATTGCTAATATTGCTTTCTCATCTAGTTTCAGAATGTTATCTCTGTTTCACTGCAATTGGGGGAAACTCTTTCTTCTCCTCCTACCCCAGCCCAGAGGCAGAGATCTTTTCTATACTTTTCTCTTTTGTCCTTCATTGCCTAAGAAGGAGAGGCCAAAAGAACGGTTCTGTCTTTTTATTTGCAGTGAAAATGCGATGGTATTTCTGCCATATCGATTTTCATAGTGGAGATGTATGTCAATCCAAAGTTGGCATCTTTGGGGTTTGCCTGTGTCTTATATAGCCTTGAAGACCACTTGTCTCATAAGACATTGCTATGCTGATGCATGAGGATCTTGCTGCAGTTCTATTAGCTATACAATGAAATTAACTTTAAAAGAAGTCTACCAGTAAATAAAAGTAACAAAAGGACCGTGCTACTTAATAAGGGTCTCAACTATAAGACATACTCATACTTTTATTAATTCTGTCACTTGTCCTTTGGCTTATATTGCATAAATCAAAAGAGCCCTTCTTCTTTCCACCTTTTCACTCTCATCACACATCTTATACACCTTGGTTTTCTTAGCTATATCCACAAAAATAATGTTTAAATTTTGGGAAAGAAACCCATGTCTGATTAATAATTGTTGTCATTTATTTGGTGAATATATTATAATGCAAACAAACATAATTGCTCTTAATAGGTGAGAGTGACACAAAGTTTGAGAAATAATATTCATACAGAAGTATGTGCTTTTATAAAGTAGCTAATTGGGTTTGCTAATTAAATAAATGCTCTTTCTGAATCACCCCCTCCCTTCTTTTTTAAATGGATGGTGTTTGCATTGCTCAGTCCCAGAAAATCCCACGTGAACCAAGACCTGGAGAATTTGAAAAAATTATCAAATGCCTGCTAGAAACACCTAATGCTCGAGCAGTGATTATGTTTGCCAATGAGGATGACATCAGGTGCTGATTACTTTTCTTCTGTATGCAGGGTCAGATTTGTGTCCCATATCCTCTTTCTAACATATTTCATGTTCAACATAAAAGTTTGTAATTCCCTTCCAACAACAGACTGCTTTCTGCTGCCTTCTAGTTTGTAAATCTGAAATACGTACAGAGTAAAACTTGGGGACTAAATGAGATAAGACAAACAAAGGTGATAGACAGAATGATGTGAATGAGGTTAAGGATAAGGCTAATTAACATATGTTGGAGTTAGTCTCTGCTATATTGCTTTTAGGAGATGATAAGACTCGGGCAGTTAGAATGATTGTCTTAATTGTTAAACAGTGACCTACTGAGTGTATAAAACTTCCTAAAGCTGGTATTGTAATATTCATAATTGTGGTATTTTTAATACATGTGACATGCATTATTTATTTTTATTCCTACAGGAGGATATTGGAAGCAGCAAAAAAACTAAACCAAAGTGGCCATTTTCTCTGGATTGGCTCAGATAGTTGGGGATCCAAAATAGCACCTGTCTATCAGCAAGAGGAGATTGCAGAAGGGGCTGTGACAATTTTGCCCAAACGAGCATCAATTGATGGTAAGAATGCACCGTAGAGAATTTGTTTTATTCCACTTGGATCTGAACTCAAAGGCAAAACTGGAGTATCATAATATGAGGAAATGCACTCATTACTGATGACTTGATACAAATTTTAGCTTTGGTGGCAGAATTGTCAAGACCAGTATTTAAGCCAGCATGCATATGCATATATATATATATATATATATACACACACACACATATATATACATATATGTACACACATATATATACATAGATACACATATATATACACACATATATATACACATATATATACACACATATATATATGTATTTTGTGTGTGTGTGTGTGTGTGTGTGTGTGTGTGTGTATTTAGGAAAGAGGACCCATTATATTTTTTTAAGAAAAAGACCGTAGTCAGTTATTTCCATTATGTTAGTAATTGCACTTTGAGTTTGAGTTTGCATATTTCTGTGGGTATTTATGGTGGTTATAGCATTGTTGGAGGGAAATGCTTGATTTATAGAAAATGAATATATGATGCTGGGCTTATCCTATGGATAAATAAATGCAACAGGAAAGGCTTGGAGCATCCTGAAAGGCAGTCTGTCTTCTAAACATCTTTTCCAGTCGGTTTGACAGTAACTGAAATTCCCATCTTAACATTATCCTCTGGAGTAAGGCATTATTTCCAGGGGGTCTCCCTTCAATAAAGTAGTTACCTGAGTAAACCAACACTTGAGTTCATGACTCCATAAGATGACATTAACATGATTGTTTTATTGAATTAGCTGAAAACAACATATGGGAAGGAGAAATTTTGAAGTATGTGGAAACACAGGAAAGTCTGGAACATTGATCCATGCTAGGAAAGAGAAAAGAATGAGGGAAGTTTAAGTTGGGTTCTGAGTATTCAGGATTCAGCATGAAGTCACTGGTTGCTGCCTCTGGGAGAAGTAGAGTAGGAGAGGGTATAAGAAGGACGCTGACACCAGGCTTTCCTGTAGTACTTATTCACAGAGCCAGGTGCTTGAGTACTGGTGGTGGTGTGGGGGGATTGTCCATTGATCCTCCTTGACTTTTGCCATAAGAGAGGCCTTATTTATGGGCTACTGGCTTTCTCTCATTTGTTATGTGTTTTTTTTTCTTTTCATGCAGTGATCAGAATATAATGTCCATTTGAAAGTTCTGACAATATTTAATTTTGAAAGAATATTAAAATCATACCTTTCTCCTTTGAAATAGGATTTGATCAATACTTTAGAAGCCAAACTCTTGCCAATAATCGAAGAAATGTGTGGTTTGCAGAATTTTGGGAGGAGAATTTTGGCTGCAAGTTAGGATCACATGGGAAAAGGAACAGTCATATAAAGAAATGCACAGGTAACCACTCAAATGTTTCCTGTGGTGCATTTGTTTCATTTTCATTTGTTTTCATTACTTGATAAATTATGTTTTTCTATATGGACAATGATGAATGTATTTTCTATTTTTTGTGTCTTTTTGTTATAGTGTCTCAGGGCTCAGCATACACTGATCATTCAAAAAACTTAAATTTGTTTATTGGTTCTTTCAATTGATCAGCAAGTTTTTATTGAACATATACCATGCATACAGTACTGAGGTATCTGGGAAACATTTATTGTCTACTTTGGAAAATGTACTTTATTAGGTTTGATGGAATACAGACAAATAAGACATGGTATTGCTCTCCAGGGGTTCAAAATGTAATATGTATCATAATAAGTTGCTATAAGACAGTATTTTTCAACTATTTTAATCCCTGTCTCCTATAATACTATTATTTTCTTAAATCCTGCATAGCAGCTATCTTGGAACATGTATGATTTTTTGATGCTTTACTTTCCATAGCTTGTGCTTGAAAATAATAATGATATTGAATATGCATTTTTGAATATATGATTAAAACTATATTTATTTTCAGATGATTGTGCACATAGAAAAAAAACTCGCATAATTTTTTTTTTTGAGACAGAGTTTTGCTCTTTCACCCAGGGTGGAGAGCAGTGGCGCGATCTTGGCTCACTGCAACTCTGCCTTCTGGTTTCAAGCGATTCTCCTGCCTCAGCCTCCTGAGTAGCTGGGACTACAGGTGCATGCCACAACACCTGGCTAATTTTTGTATTTTTAGTAGAGATGGGGTTTCACCGTGTTGGCCAGGCTGGTCTCAAACTCCCGACCTCGTGATCCACCCACCTTGGCCTCCCAAAGTGCTGGGATTACAGGCGTGAGCCACCATGCCTGGCCCAAAACCACATAATTTTAAAAGTTACTTAGAAATGAGTAGTAAATTTAGCAAGGTTACAGATATGAGGTCAATATAAACATTCACTTTTAATGTACATATTAGAAACTAACACATAGAAAATGAAATTTAAAGAATACTGCTTATAGTAGGATCAAAAACATACAACATATATAAGGGTCAATTTTAACAAAAATGCGCAAATCCTTTACACTGAAAACTACACAACTTGAATGTGTGTTTTAGAAATGATTCATTCCTTCTTCTACCCCGCCACCCCCAGACTTTGATATGTCCTCCTTTCCCTCCTCCTCACTTTCTTTGGAAATAGCTGTTCAAATAAAAGATGTAATATACTAAAAGCTAGCACAGACGTATAAACAGAGACAGAACAAGGAGGTGGAAATGGGTGCCACGCTGTGGAAGAATCTGATTTCAGGCTTCCATGTGCCAGGCACTTTTCCAGGAGCTGGGTTGAGTGAAGAAAGGCAATATTCATGCTCACGGGGCTTACATTTGAGTGTGGGGAGATGGACACTCCATAATAAACATAAATGAACAGATGTGTTCAGATGCTGAGATGTGCTTAGAAGAAATACAACAGATTAACTGTGAAAGACTAACCTGGGTATTAGGAGGAGGAAGGTAATTAGACTGTGTGGTCCAAGTATGCCTCGCCAGAGGAGGTGACATTTGAGATAAGACCTGAGTGACAAGAAGTGATCAGTTGTGTAAAGATATGACGGGAGTGCATGACAAGCTCTAGCGCCAGAGTAAGGCTCTTTTGTTCAAAGTAAAGGAAAAAAAAAATAGTTCAGGGAGGTTGGAGCAAGAGTGAATATCGCGAGAGGAAGCGTGATGACAGCTGAGGCTTTGATGATAGTCTGGAGCCAGATCATGCACGGTCTTGAAGTTCTTTCCAGAAGTTCCAGAGTTGCGGAATTTGGGCTTTATTCTACCAGTAGGACACAATGTCTTGAGGCTCTTCATCTAGAGAATTGCTCAGACACTCGGTTCAAGAAGATTTGCCTGGCAGAAGTGTGAGGAGGATTGGGGTTCAGGGGAGAAAATGGAGGCAGGTCAATGAGGACTCATCCAGTATCCTGGGGACAGGCCGTCATGGTCTAAGAAGTGCTAACTAGGGGCCGGGCACGGTGGTACGGTGATGCACGCCTGTAATCCTAGCACTTTGGGAGGCCGAGGTGGGCGTATTGCCTGAGCTCAGGAGTTTGAATCCAGCCTGGGCAACATGGTGAAAACCCATCTCTACTAAAAATACAAAAAATTAGCCCGGCGTGGTGGCGGGCGCCTGTAGTCCCAGCTACTTGGGAGGCTGAGGCAGGAGAATTGCTTGAACCCGGGAGGTGGAGGTTGCAGTGAACCGAGATTGCACCACTGCACCCAGCCTGGGCGACAGAGTGAGACTCCATCTCCAAAAAAAAAAAAAAAAAAAAAAAGCTAGCTAGGGATGTAACACACAGGACAGACGCTCTGGTAGGTAGTGTTATGTTTATCTAACGCTATATAGTGTTGTATTTATATAACAACCAGCTGAGTGGTTGATGCTGGGGCGAAGATCGTTAAATCATGGAGGATGCTGATGTTAAACCTCTATCGGGGAGGTCTAGGAAAATGGTGATGTAATTAGTTAACAGAGGAAAAATAAAATAAATAGAATGGTTAGGTGTTTGGGAATAAACTTGAATTTTGTTCTGAGATAGCCCCGTGAAACTGGCCAGCAGGTGGCAGCATAAGGTCTGGGACCCCACAGACAGTTCACTAAAATTTGAGATTAGGAAGTCTTGGAGATTTTGAAGTTAAAGACAAAAGCAGAAATGCAATTGCCATGGGAGACTGAGAAAAGATGAGGAGTGATGACTGAGAATTCAAGGGCAGGAACCAGGAAAGGACACTGAGAATGCTGGGCTTGGGGGAAGGAGATGAACCGGGAGTCAAGGTTGTCTCAGTCTCCAGGAGAAAGACAGGTGCGTGAGGTTTCAGTGCTGCAGGGACTTGCAGCTGAGAGATAAGGGTGTGCCTGGGTAACCAAATTAGAGGGGTTGAGAGAGAACAGAATAGAAGTGGAGGAAGGGATGCTGTTTAAAGAAGTTTTGAGAGAAAGAAAGTAGATATGGTGGGAGAGCTTGAGAAAGAATTGGAGATTTCTTTAGGATAGGGCACGTTTAAGCATGTTTTCAAAAAAAAGAGAAGGGATAACTAGTGAAAGAGAATAAATGCAGAGTAGGATCTTGATGGAAACTTTAAGGAGAGGCATTAAAGACCAATGTTACCTTTAAATCATGTGATTTGGTTGGGGGATAAAAAGGTACACACAAACATATACTTAATCAGAGAGGAAAGTTCTATGATTAAATGCTAAATTTGGATATAGATAATTAGGGAAGTTCAGAAAATGTATGTAAGTTCACATTGTAAAATCCAAAGCTCTGTGGAGGAGATGAGTGTTTGATGACAAGAAGGATTTGGGAAAGACATCCAAGATGAGAAGAAATGGGGAGTCAGCAGGACAAAGGCATGGAGTAGGACGTGATGTGTAGGTGCGTGAACAGCAGTAAAAAGGTCCAGCTTCTTGGAGAGGAGGATACATGAATGGAAAATACAAAGTGGCAATTTATAGATGGGTTTGGAAGGAGAGTTAAGACACTTACATGCTTTCCACTGAGATATATTTTACACTATGCTTAACTTTGAGTTCTGAATGTTATTGTTTGATTCTCTTTAAATTCATTTCCTGTTATTTAGACTGTATTGGTGAAAATACCCCAGTTAATGAAATGGATGGACTCACACACACACACACACACACACACACACACACTGTTAACCAGTCACATAACTTTTTAATAGGCTGTTTTCAGAATAACCAGTTTCTCCAAACTCATATTTTCTTTCTTTTTTTTTTTTAACTCGTAAGTGGGAGTTGAACAATGAGAACATATGGACACAGGGAGGGGAACATCACAAGTGGGACCTGTCAGGGGGTTGAGGGCAAAAGGAGAGTGAAAATTAGGCCAAATACCTAATGCATGCGGGGCTTAAAACCTAGACGATGGGTTGATGGGCGCAGCAAACCACCATGGCACATGTGTACCTATGTAACAAACCTGCACGTTCTGCACATGCATCCCAGAGCTTAAAGTACAATAAAAAAAATCATATTTTCTAAGTTCAGCCGAGGTATGTAGCTGTTCCTTTAGCATCTGTAGATGGTATATGATTAGACTTTTATTTCAGGCACAAATACTGAACTGGTTTGTGGCCGAATCCAGATTCTGTGGCATCTCTGCCTCCAATTCCTTTGATTTAATTGGGTGTTGCTAAAATTATAACAATTTGTCCAATTAGAACTATTTCTAGTGCAGTGAAAATGGTGTTTACTCCAAGTGCTAGGGCAAATGCACCCCTAGGGAACTGGGTCAGTAAACAGATTTTCATGCAAATTCCATTGTGGGTGATACCAAAATAACTTGTCTCTGGGTGGAAAACAAATAACACTAATTTAATTTTTTTAAAAAGCAACATATGACAGTTTTCAGATGATGAGAGAAGATATTTGTCCCCCAAATTACCATTTTACCCAGTTTTCATTTCTGTTTTAGGGGAGAAGGGAAGATGATCTGGCATGTTAGTGGTCAAATGTACTTGAAAGGAAAAATTTACAGGATATTCACGAGTAGAGGTGTCCAGCGTTTGCAAAGTGCTTTAAAATGTGGCCGTAAAAAGTTTACATTTTAACTACCTGCAATGAGTCAAAAAGTTAAGACACTCTCTGAAAGTGAGATATCCATGACGCCCTTTTTGCTCATTCAGAACATCATTGGTAGGTTAGGTTATACGTGTTGAGTAACATTTTACATTAGGCAATGGTGATCTGCGAACGTAATTATTTGCTACCATTGGGGGCAAAATTGGCAATGTATTTACATGGATGAGAGAGTGCTTCCCAGCAGGGAGGGACTTCTGTCTTAGCAGTTTTCCAGAGATAGAACATCTTCAAGCAGTGAGGAGCATTTCTTCCTGAAATTTACTCAGTAGAAACAGTTTTCTTTGATAATTTTCCCCTCTAGAATCTCAGGAAAGCTTTCAAAAAGATGTGATATTACTGCTAACTTTTGATTTGCTGGCCAAATTCCAAGTGAGGTAATTCCTACCATCCACTTAGCTATTTATGTAGTTATTATTGCTTCTGAGAGCTGCTGAGTTCTGAAAGCTACTACTACTTAATCCTACTTAAAATTCCCTTTGTCTTTCTCTAGAAGAAAAAAGGACTCTTTTATACTTGTTATCAGTGGTGATGGGTGTTATTTTATAGACTTTTATCTGACCTCTCCCTCCCTCCCTCCCTCCCTTCCTCCCTCCCTCATTGTACTCTCAGGCTTAATGTCTTTCCACTCTCCAAAACCCAGACATCCACAGACTCTCTTGAGAATTGCATCTTCATACTCTCCCAGTCTTTACACATTTTTCACACACTTATTTCCCCACTCAGGCCTCTGCCACAATTCCTCTCCCTTCATTGCCTCATTTTTTCTCATTCATATCTTTTCTCTGATCAGTCCCTTACTTGACCTTGTTTTGTCCAGCAATATTCTCATTGGCAGTAGAGTCTTTCTTCAGAAGTTTTGCTTTACTTTTTAAATGACTGTCATTCTGATTTCTTGTCTTCTGTAGTGAGGACCCGATAGTGAATATTGCAGAGACCTGAGTATGTGGGTTAAGCTGCTAAACAAAAGCCAGCTCCCTCTGGACTCAGGCCGGGTCTTTTCCTTCCTGTCTCCATCACGAATTGTAAATAGCTCTGCGCTTATCGAAACGACATCCCTTGACTGACCCAGTAAATACAGTTGATTCCATATCCTATCTTAAAACCTTCCTTTGTTTCATTCATCCATCCATTCATTCATTATTCATTTAGTTGTTTATACATTTTGAAGCTCCCCATGTGCCAGGCACTGTGCTTCAGATAGAGAGACAAACAACAGACCTCCCTTGCTCTCAAGGAGCTCACAAAGACATATACACTGTCTTGTGGAATTTGAGGTGTTTTCTTTGCTGGGTTTTAATTCTCAGCCAGGAGGCTGGGGCACTGCTGCTTAGCCTGCATACAGCTGACACTCAGATACAAAATAGTGGTGAGCATATGCTATGCAAAATGGCCTATTGATTCTTATTTATGATGATAGAAATAGCGGTAATGCAAAAAGCAATGCACAAATATGTTTCTTCCCACAAACAAGCAATCCTGTCAGTGAACCAAATAGCAGGCTCAATAATTAGCTCCCTGAAAGACCTGTCAGTTTATTTTCTGGTGCTAGATTAACTATGTAACTCTTCAGGTATAACTACCTCTCAGCAGTCCTCTGTTTGTTTTGTGAAGTTATGAAAGGTATAAGCTCTCCCGTATTCACTCAGGACACATAGAGACCATATGAAGGAAGTAGGTAGTCATCAAGGGGGATGAATTTACATAATTGGATTTGGTGATTCAGAGTGAAAGATAACCCAGGTAGGTTCCCCTGAATTAAAATGTGTTCTGCCTTCCCCATTTGTCCCCTTGCCTAGAGTAAAACTCTGTTGGGGAGAATGCCTTTACGTTAGCACTATGAGGTAGGCATCCATATGCTCTTGTTCTTCGCAAGTAAAATAGCAGAAATCCAAGGATGACTTATTTATGCTGTTTCTGAGATTTCATGGTGAATTTCAATAGATCCATCTGAGATGACAAAACAGGCATTGATTTCAGACATACTAGATTTCAGAATTTAGAGCTGGGATGTAAAATAAGAATCAATCTCTTGTTTTCTAGTGAAGAAACTAGAACCCAGAGAAGTAAAGTGAATTACTGACAAATCACAGTGTTAATCTCAGAGCTGCAGCCAGGATCCTGGTTTCTTTTATTTGGATTTGTCCTTGACATTTATATCCTCCATTTATTATTTACTTATATTAGACATTTTACCACATAGTTGAAAAATATTTTCCTGTTTTGCTCTTTATGATACTTTATGTGTGATGGAATACATTTTGGAATTTTAATCACCAACTATAAAGTGAAGCAAAAATAACATATTGGTTATTACCTAATCCTTTATAAAGTAGTAAATATTTTAATATTCTTCACATTGATTTTCATTTATACATGTAGTTTTTGCTAGTGGGTCTTGAACAGCATAAACCTTTACATCCAGTTCCCTGGCCTCTTGCCTTGTATAAGAGTAGACCTATGACTACATTAAGCAAAAAACAAAATAGGAGAAACTATCAACTAGAAGTTTCTATAACTCTAAGTCCAATGACATTGAATTATAGCAGTTCACGTTGCTAAATTATAGTTAGTTTACTCATTTATTCATTCTCTTAAAGAAAAAATCTATTTTAAAGCAATATGGGCAGCACTATGTCTAACAGCATTTCTAGAATGTTAGCATGCACACAAATCACTTGAGTACCTTGTTAACATGCAGATTTTGATTTTGTAACTCTGGAGGTAGGCATTCTGCATTTCTGACCAGTTCCAGGTGACATGGATCCTGGTGAGCTCTAGGGTATGCTTTGAGTAACAGAGAATATTAGAGTTAGTTTATAATGATAACCATAGCACCTGAAGCTAAATTAGCAAAATAAACATTCAACTGTGCTAAAGGTTACTGATAAACTCAAGCTGTCTTACAGAAGACCGTCTAAACAAGACTTGATCTATACATTATCAATGCAAAAACATGCAATAAGTAGCCAGCTTTATATACTTACTCGAGTATGTATTCAAATCAGTAAAGTATAATGACAGAGTAATATGTATATGTGTGTGTGTGCGTGTTTTTCTCATTAGTAAATTTGAAAGTGGGAAGCTTAATTACTAAATTACTAAATCTAAAGAAACATACACAGATGCACCTGTATCTTCAAAGTCTGCAAAGCAGATTGTAAAGTTTGCCATGTCAGAAACAAAAAATATTCTGAACACTTAGAAAACTGTACTGTCAATCGTAAATACACATAGAGTGGAGGAGTTGAAGAGGTCCTTAGAGATTATTTAGCTCAGTTTCCTCACTTTGCAGAAAGGGAAATTGAGGCTCCTCTGGTCAGGTTGGTTGTCTAAAGCCCTGTAGCTACCTAACGATGATAGGACTGAAGTCTGATTTGATATTTGCTTCTTTCCTTCATCCTTTCCTGCTCTGAAGAACTTTACCAAAGTGGGGCTCAGTTGCACTGACCCATTCTACTATTTTTCCTGGTATATGGGCCTGTATGTTTTTTTGTTGGCCACCTAAGGTTAAGTATTCCCTCTTTGTGAAGCGCCTGACTTCTAAGGGAGTCAGATTGATACATTTGGTCTGAGAAACTAGCATGTTTAGAAGGGAAGCAATTCTAGTTAAAATTTCGAGTACGTAACTGCTCACATTTTTTCAGACAATAATTTAAAACAAAAATGCTCATCCTACAGAGAGAAAAAATGAATTCAGGAGTCTAGGAAATCCTTTCTGCAAAACCCACAACAGAAGCTGGCATTAGCTTGATTGATTGGAAGATGAATGTATCTGAATAAACACAATCTCTGGAATATTACACTGAAGAACTCAGAAATGGAAAAGAGTGTATAGGCAAACAGGTGACAGTTCAGCATTTTTGATCACCAATTATTTGAAAAACTATGGTAAGGCTCGGGCCAGAGAGGATGAGAAAGTTTAGAAAAATACAGAAACATCAGGATAAATTGTCTTCCTTTAAATGGCTATTAAACTTCAGTTGAAGGAACCAATTCATTAAAACCAAACAAAATTTTAAAAAGGAACAATGTATAGATGATTCAATATCAGGAAAACTTGATTTCTCCTCTTTTCTAAAAATGATACAAAGCAGATAAATACAGGAGACTATTTATATTTCAAAAATAGTATTTATTCTCTGTGTTTTATCTTGGGATTCTTTTTAACTCAGAGGATTTGAGAGAGTCTCATAGATATGATTTGCTGAAATACAAGAGAATTACCACAAACTCTTAGGAACATAGCTAAACAAAAGAACTAGCTGAACAAAGGATTGGATACAGTAGGGCAAAGGAGACATAAAGTATGATTAGAGCTTACTAAGGCTAATTGAGAAATCAAGACTACCGAAGAGTCTTGATTATTTTTTGATTACTTATGACATTTGTTAAACTCTATATTGTGCTAAACATCTGCCCTCAAGGAGCTTATCTTTTGTGGGAAAGATAATAGTCAGACAATAGTTTCTAAGTTGCTAGTAAGCAGGGTCTGTATCCTCAAGACTTAGCATATGCTTAGCATTATATATCTGTTAAGTTAATTAATTGGTCTATAATGTATGGCCAGATAGTCACCCTGTTCTTCATCATAGTGATGTAGATATGATGCATGGTGCCTAGCTTGGCATGCATTTGATAAATATTTTAATTGTTGGAATGATATTTTTTAATAAAAGAAAAAGCTCAACATAGTTATAAAAGGGCTTTTACTGTAATTTAAGAAGAAAATGTACTATTCTGATAGTTTGTCTTTAAATTCCTGACTGCGATGCTAATTTAAATGGGAATATGATTCTAGAAACACATATAGGCCTGTGTCCTATAAAATCAGTCAAATTTTATTGGAATATTTGGTTACCTGAATATTTAACTGGAATATTTGGTTACCTGAATATTTAATTGGAATATTTGGTTACTTCATTATAAATGCCATGACTCCATAGTGTTTTGTTTTTCTAAAAAAATAAAATTACATTTATACTATTTGAGGGAAAGCACTTTATTTCCACACTACCTCTAATGAGGTAACAGAATAATGAAAAGACAACTTGGAGTACATAATGAAAATGTCATTTAAAAAGGTTTCATTTATACAATTTTAAAAATGTAAAAAATTCATGTCCTTTGCCCACTTTTTGATGGGGTTGTTTGTTTTTTCCTTGTAAATTTGTTTGAACAGACACTTCTCAAAAGAAGACATTTATGCAGCCAAAAAACACATGAAAAAATGCTCACCATCACTGGCCATCAGAGAAATGCAAATCAAAACCACAGTGAGATACCATCTCACACCAGTTAGAATGGCGATCATTAAAAAGTCAGGAAACAACAGGTGCTGGAGAGGATGTGGAGAAATAGGAACACTTTTACACTGTTGGTGGAACTGTAAACTAGTTCAACCATTGTGGAAGTCAGTGTGGCGATTCCTCAGGGATCTAGAACTAGAAATACCATTTGACCCAGCCATCCCATTACTGGGTATATACCCAAAGGACTATAAATCATGCTGCTATAAAGACACATGAACACGTATGTTTATTGCGGCACTATTCACAATAGCAAAGACTTGGAACCAAACCAAATGTCCAACAATGATAGACTGGATTAAGAAAATGTGGCACATATACACCATGGAATACTATGCAGCCATAAAAAATGATGAGTTCATGTCCTTTGTAGGGACATGGATGAAATTGGAAATCATCATTCTCAGTAAACTATCGCAAGAACAAAAAACCAAACACCGCATGTTCTCACTCATAGGTGGGAATTGAACAATGAGAACACATGGACACAGGAAGAGGAACATCACACTCTGGGGACTGTTGTGGGGTGGGGGAAGCGGGGAGGGATAGCATTAGGAGATATACCTAATGTAAATGACGAGTTAATGGGTGCAGCACACCAGCATGGCACATGTATACATATGTAACTAAACTGCACATTGTGCACATGTACCCTAAAACTTAAAGTATAATAATAATAAAAATAAATAAATAAAAAGTAAAAATAAAAATGTAAAAAGTTATACAAATATTAAAACTATATTTATTTATACAATTTAAGCATTTTCTAAAAAATTATTAGTTTATTAGGGTTTTTTGTTTGGTTTTTTTTTGTTTGTTTGTTTGTTTTGTTTTTTTTTTACCTTGCAAGAACATGAGCTTCATGTAGGAAGAGATTTTGTTTCATTCACAGCTGCATCTCAGTGCCTTGGGTGGCATCTGGCACAAACAGGCTTCCTTAAAATATTTGTGGAATAAATGAAAGAATTAAATTCAGCTTATTTTCTGCTCTTTGTCAAGCACTAGCTATTAGATGTCAAGGACATGTTCGTGAGCAAAACGAAAATGGTTATTGTCCTCATGGGGCTTATAGTCTAATTGGGAAGGTGAATAATTTAGCACAGTTCCTGCAATGCAATGTGTTATGTTAACTGAATAGTCAGCATATAGCAGGGAGAACTGATGTAGCCTAAGGGAGAAGATGGGTGTCATTGAAGTTGAGACTAAAATATGAGCAGAATTAAGAAAAAGAGGTTATCAGTAGTAGTATTGTTTTAACCAGAGGGTGGCACAAAGAGCAGTGGGCAAGAGAAAGGATGGCAGTTGTAGAGACTAGGAGAGGGGGATAGTAGGAGAGTAAGGATAGAGACCTAGGCAAGGGACAGATCATATAAGACTTTATATGCCTCAAGAGGCAGTTGAAAAATGTTTTGAAAGTCAATGAATGGGCACCAGAAGGTTTTAAGCAGAATAATAGAATCACCATCTTAGAAAGATTATTCTGGCTGTAGTATGGATAATGTATTGGTGAGGCATAACACTGGAGGAAGGGAGACCCATGAGATACTACAGTAATTTTCCAGAAATGATAGTGGCCCAGCCTATGATGGTTGCACTGTACTAGGAATGGACAGAAGTAGATGGACATATTAATAAAAAGACATTTTAGGGATATATGTAGGGCTTGGCAATTAATTGGATGTTTAAGGAGAGGACAAATCAAGGATGATGCCTTGATTCTTGGCATGGGAAATTCGGTCATTGATTGAAAGAGCATTCCTGATATAATGAATGATTGGGGAAGAGGGGGAAGGAGGATGATGAATTTTGTGGGATATACTGAGTTTAAGGAGCCTATGAGATATACAGCTGCAGATGTCTGGGAAAGGTTAGTTGGTTATGTGAGTCTGAAGCTAAGAATACAAGGTCTTGCTGAGACAGAGAATTGGGGCCTCACTAGTATATTAATGGGACTTGGTGAGACAGATTCAGAAAGTATGTGGGGTGGAAATTGCAGAGGGCCTGAGATAGAGCCTTGAGGACTCAGAAATGTGTTGAAGGAGAGGACCCTGGCATTCCAGTTTCTCTAGAAATCGTTTTCCCTGTCCATAAGTGGAGCCCCTCCGGCCATGTCTCTATTCTACAACCCTGATCCTCTCCCTGGTGTCTCTTCAGCCACAACTGATTGATTTAACACTGAGCTCTTCACTAAAGCTAAATTATCAGAGTCCTTCCGAGTAATATCTAAAATGGGAGTGAAAGGAGGAGGATCATTCTCTCTCAGGGGGTGGGAGGCAGTAGTTTGAGGCTGTGAGATATGAGGCTGGGAAGTTTCCACCACAAGGGGGAAGCTGACCTGGAAGAATAATACTGACTTGTGCAACAGAATAAAGGTGGCAGATGGAAAGAGTTCTGATGGTGATGAGGACCTTAACCAGGCTTTTCTTGTAGATATGTGAGATAGTTCAAGGTTCTCCTAATTATGTTTTCCCATTTTTAGCTAGCAACCTAGAGTCCAGACTAGTACATTATAATAATAGTTGCCTCATAGAGCGGTTGGGAAGTTAAAGGAAATAATATGCATAAAGATTATTGCCTGCTACATAGGGAATATAACAGATACTGTTGCCTACTGATTTAACAACTTCCTTTTCTTTGAAGCCAGCACTGTCTAATAGAACTTTCTGAGGTGAAGAAGATTTTTCCATATCTGCATTGTTTAATAGAGCAGCCATTAGTGACATGTGGCTATTGGTCACTTGATGGAATATGGCTAGTGCAAACTGAAAAAATTGAATTTCAAATTGTATTTAACTTTAATTACTTTACACTTAAATGTAAATGTAACTTTGATTTCTTTACATTTAAATGTGGCTAATGACTATCATATTGGACAGCAGAAGTCTAGGGTGATAGACCTAAAGAACAACAATTTTTAAAGCCATTTTGGATTGGATTTTCTATCATTTGCAGCTGCAAGCATCCTAACTAATACTATGTATTAAAAATAAGTGGAAATGATTTATTTAACATGGCATGAACATCCCTCATTTTAAGATGATATTAAAGAATTAAATTTTTGTTTTTATATAGAAATTCTGAATTAAGTCAGAAGGTGAATGTTTGCCATACACACAAATTATTAAAGTAATTTCTCACAGGTTTCCTAAATACCAACTTCTCAGTCAGTGAATATAAAATGTGACTCGATTTATTAAAATTAAAATGATATACAGCTTTTCAACAACATTTCATTCAGATATATTTCTACATAAGTTGCAGAATTATAAAACACACATACTAGAGATTGTCCCTAACTTTATCAAAATAATTCTCCTTTGGGTTCCTTTAACAACATGCCCTCTAGTCTACCAAAATATTATTTTACAGATGGTGGGGGTGTGCTACTTGCAACCCAGACAGACAATAATTCAGCTAAGCATTTTTCTTTGCAGTAAGTGAAAATCTGTTCAAAGTGCTGGAAGTTTTATCAACTGGACCATAAGACCCAAGAGGAACTAAGTGTTTCTGTTACGCTTTCTGTGTTTAATAATTCCCAGCCTTGTTAGTAGACACTCAAACACTGCATCCTAGCTGTGGAATCTTGGGTAGGTAACATAGTCTCTGAGAAATTTTGATAAATGCTAATTTTCCGTGTTTTTAGATTTTGGTGGTGAGACTGGTGGTTGCTACCTCTATGCCTGTCTTTCACAAAGGTCACTCAAATTGCTCTGGTTTCTTTTTATGTTACCAAAATGCTCTATAGCTAAACTATTGAGCTTAAATGTCAAACTTGCATTATGTTTAGAAATGGGTACTTATCTCTTTATGCACCTTTCCCTTACACCCCAACGGTGGGCCGACACAGGATATGGTAGAGGAGTTAGTATTCTGACAAATAGGTGATGTCATTCCACCCATGTATCACTTTCCATTAAATCTTCGACCCGTATATAACCTTTAGCTGCAGGTTTGTTTGCTTACATCACTGTGATCAAATGGTTAGAACTGTAGATTTTCATTTGGGAAAATGATGATTATTTTTTATTAAGGACATTATTGCTGGTTTGAATTATCCTTTTGTTCATGGTTCATGCACAACAAAGCTTTCCCTAGCCCTTCTGTGGGAGGTGGAAAGATGCTCTACACCTGCCTCCTACCCAGATCTTTTTCAGAAAGAAAATAGACAGTGCTAGCTAAGCCGTTGGATGGGAGCAATATTCAGTTCTTTGCCAAGAGAGATCCTAGACTCCGGATACGCCAATTCAGCAAACCTCAGGGAGACTATCTAAAACTGAAAAAGGGCTCAAGAATCCATCAGAATATGAGATAATTTAAATAAAATTTGAATCCTACTCGCCAACAGAGAACCAGAGGACATTAGAGAAGGAAGGAAACTTGGAGGTCATCGTGTCCGATATTTTGCTGAGCGTCACCTCTCTGGCTGATGTAAAATGAGGACAGGGAGTACATAGAAACATTTCGGTTTTTCTGATTCAGTAGTACTCTTGAAGGCCGTTATTGGTGGTGCAAAATGAGGCTTTCTCATTGACTCTAAATAGGCTTATTAGCAGCACACAGAAGGATTTCCACTGTGATCTTTTCTTTGTCCCTAGTCAGAGTGAAGGCATAGGTCTGAAGCAGGCTGATAGCTTTGGAAGTGAAAAGTACTGGCAGGCTGAGGGCACAGAACGGGCTGGCTGCCAGTGTTGGGTTCAGCACCCTGAGGAGTGTCATTTGTCGGAGCCACTTTTATGAAACAGAAGCCCTCTTTTGTGTATTTGTACCTGTGAAAGGGAGCAGTGGTATAGCTGATCCAAAGTAGCAGAAAAACAAACAATTCATATTGACTTAGGATGCTCACCTACCCCCTCTTTTGCAGGAGTGTTAGTTTGCGTGTCAGTACATGGCCAGCCTCCTTGGATTCTGGCATGATGCTTTCCATAGGGGTTTCATTAATTGGTGCAAAAGTTTATTTCAGTAGAGTCCAGGAAACTGTTAGCTTTTTGTTCTCTGCCTAATGACAGAAAATGTCCCTGTGACTGATTTCTTTGTGGGACCAGTCTGCATCATTCCTAAGACTGACACAAAGCCCCGCTCGAGCGTGTGGGATGAACGGCATGACTCACACATTCCCCTGGAGGACTGCAGGTTTGATTAAATGTTTAAATGACATTTTAGGACAGATGATTATGAGGATGGGCAAACAATTTGTTCTTTTAATTCTTAATAACTTCAGTGTGTATTTGGGCGGGGAGGTATATGTAGACAGTTTGGAGGAGTGTGAACAAGAGACTTGGGTAATCACTGGAGATAAGGGTGATGATGATGATAATTTGATATAAATAAGCAGAGAGTAAGATTTGTCAAAAAGGGGCAAACTCATTGCTGTTCTCAATATCTCCCTTCTTTCACTTCAAACACAGACACTCACAGCATGTTCTGTTTCTGATAACTTCCTAATCACACAGGAGCTCCAGGATTTCTGAAGGACCACAGCCCTGTGGCCAAAAATCTTTTTTCCTTGACTGTTCTCTGGGCAGCTCAGTAGTATCTTTAACATGGCAAATATAAAGATAGTAGATTCACTACAAGGACACTTCGAGAAAAATACTACCTGCCTTTGTAAACCATACACAGTCTTATTATTCAATTTGTCTTTATGGAAGCTATCAGTTAGCTACAGGTTTCCTTTCCTATGTCTGATGTACCTATCTCTAGTTGATTCTTTCTCTCTAACTCTAGTTCTTGAAACACTCTCTGCTGGTTTGATTTTCGGGTGCATTCATCCTCTTTTCAGATTCCAGAATGAAAACTTCCTTTTTGAGACACCCAGATAGACTACCTCTTCCTTAGTCCACCTGGCCCTTATCCACATCCCTTGAATGAGTTTTCTTTGTCTGGACACATTTCTGAAGTAATGCTTCTCTGCACTCCCAAAATATAGCTCTTCCTTCTTTCGGCCTTTTGCTGTGTTTTATTACATTATTTCATTGCCACTCAGAATAAGCACTAGACAGACGTCTAAGGTTTAACTTTACATTTTATATATTTTATTATATCAAAAACTGGTCACATATAAACTATAGTACTTGGGAATTGAGGGTATTTCTTGAGTATTACAAGAAAGTATTACTTTCTTGAGAAGATATTACTCAAAAATATATACATTTTGGATAAAGAAATTTTGATAGTATAAGATGAATTAGCAATGATGCTTTTCAGAAAACACGTATGCAGTAACTTCATTTATATGACCATGTTATTAATCGGTAGGCATTAATGGATTTATGTAGCCTGTTCAGAAATTAATGAAGCCTGTTTATTCTGTGGATTTTGTTATTAGCTCCTTCCCTCTTCTTTTGTCTTCTTGGCATCACTGTTGACATCACTGATGGGAATCCCACTACTGCAGCCATTGCAAGTGTTTTTGGTGATTATTATCCACTTAGGCACCTTTGTGCACTGGATCTCTGATCAAATTATTTTGAAATTTTAATATGAAATACATAGGAGAAAAAATTGAAAATGTGTAGAAGTAGGCAAGCTTTTCTTTGTTAAAAAAGCGTAATTTAATAGAGTAAGAGGTGTGAAATATGTCAGGAATTTTACTAACATAAAATTTCATCATTTGTCCAGTTGTGTACTTAATGGATTCATGTTAAGTATACAGTAATTCCTGGCAATAATGTGGGGCAGCTCAGATTTACTTTTCAGTGCATGTTAGTATGTAAAGTGACCCCTATCTTCAATATCTCTATGTTTTAACACCTGCTGTGTTTTTACAATAGAGGCCCTTGTTTGGAACAAAGCCACTTAAGTTAAGCTGAACATCATTGTACCTGCACAGTTACCTGGGTTATCTGTGGTTGTGATGAAAATTACACCACCATAATCACCCCAGGCTACTTACAAGCCACCTTCACAGAAATGATACTGTGCCAAGTGCCACAAAGAATATCAAAATGCAGCCCCTGCTTCAGGCACTTATGTTTCCAAGGGGAAAAAGAAACTGGCCTTTGGATTTAGATAAGAAACTTTATTGTGATTACAAATTGGATTTCCTGTCTTTATTTCAGGAAAGTTGTAGAAGATAGCTAGAATTGCCCTTTCTCTCACCCCCGGAGGGTTTGAAACCATTCTTGAATGAGTAAATGTATTCAAAAATTTAAAATTAAATCAGATTTGTTATATGGAATCATTTAAACCTAATTTCTTAATTAAAGGCATTTTAAGTTCACTTTCTGTTCCTTAGGTGTAAACACCTCAAGCTACAAAAAACAAGAATAGATTCCACTGCTGGGGTGAAAAGCCACGACTTTTCTTCCTGTGTTCTGTTTCCCAGGCCTATCAAAGATATTTAAGTACTGAGTTAGGTCTGGCCAGGGAACTCCCCTGACTTCTTTAGGGGCACAGATGATAGGGAAGAAAAGAGTAGACCGTGGGGTTAGTCTTGGATTGATTTCTATACTCCCCTTTGATGTTGATAGCTGCTTCCTGTTAGGAACTTCTGTTGGAAGCATACTTCTTACCTGAAGAAAGTTCTGAGTTGAGACAGTTCTACCTTGACTTATTTACCAAGGCTCCTAAACCATATAGCACATCACTATGAATACATTCAGGGTGGGGGCAATGGATCCTACCCAGATCCCTGTAAAGCCAGCGTGGTTCTGCAACCATCATTCACGGATAAGGACCAAGACTGAGCTGCTCTGGTTGAAGAAGCTGTTGGATGATACGGGGTTTGTGCCACAGTGTGGTGAATTCATTTTCCATGATATGCTGGGCTCACTCTCAGCAAGGCCAGCTGAAAGCTGAGTCTGCTTTGGATGCAGAGGTACGTAGTCAGTGGCTGTGCACAGGACGGGACTTTGGGATGTACAGGAGGATATATTATCCTTACAAATACTTCCTTCACCTGTTTGCCGATGAGCAAGACTCCAGGAATAGGATACAAGGCCCCTAACTTGTCTTAACTCTCTGATTAGGTCAGATCTCCCTACTGTATGCCCATAGTGCACCATACTCATTTTAGCTTTTATTACAGTTACAGTTGTACATTTATTTGTGGGGTTGTTTGATGGATATTTATCTCTTATTAAATTGTAAGCTCCATGAAGATAAGGAGCATATCTTTTTGCTTATCTTTGTGGCCACTGCGCCTGTCACATAGAAGGCACTGGATAATCCTTTGTTAAATGAATAACTAGACCTAAAAAATACTTCAAGGTAGGTGATGCAGTCATTAAGTTCACACTACAATGAAAGACAGTTCTTCCCAACAGGACATTATATGTTTTTTCTACTGTCATTTCTATTTGCTAAATTGACTTTGAGTTTGAGAAATTGGGCTATGACGCAATATGTGCATAAAATGTTCAACAAATACTGTGTTCCATTTTTTTAAAGCAAGGATAAGGATGAAAAAAATAAAACGATGAAAGAGTTTATTTAAGCTACTGATATCCAGTTGTTGGTTGAAAAAATATGTGGCTGTTTGCATTTTGTTTAGCCACAGAACTCCCATATAAACATTTCTATCTTTGACAAAGGTTTACGCAATTGATCTGGCTGCTCATTTTTCCCCCTTGATTTCCTTTTTTTAATTCACAGGTGAATGACATTTAGTTCTTGGTTGTGGAAAATGCTCTTAATGCCTCCATCTTTTAAGGAGATGTTCCTATAGCTCAGTTACTTTGAATATAGTTTTTTGTTTTCTTTTTAATTTATGGCATCAGCAAGTGATTTACACCATAGTGTTAACCAGTGCTCCTGAGGATGCTGATTTTAGCAGAATCCTAGGGAACTAACAGAAAAAAATCACAGCTAATTTTAGTATTTGTAGGGCCTTGTGACAGATATATCCGAATACTATTATTCACCCTTAATAACTTCTTGCTAAGTTATCTGTATTGTCTCCTGTCTAATTTTATTTCTTTCCTGAATACACATATTTTATACATCTGATATTTCAGAAAATGTGCTTAAAAAATGTCTATTTTTCCATTTCTCCATTGATTATCAGTTTATCTAATCTGTGTATCATCCATCTCTAAACCTAATTTTTGAATACATATACAACCAATAGACGTGGGATATACCAACAATATAATTGCATGATAGTCTTAGTTAAAAAGTTTAGTCTGTCTCTGTGAATTTGATTGTTCTGCTTTGCATGATTCTGGCTGAGTCCTTTCATCTGGTGCTGGTTTTTGAATACATATTAGGCTGCTTCCAATCCATCTGAAATGCAGTCTCATGAGAACATAGGTCTACAATCTAAAAAAATATACTTTGATTATTCTTGATACATATAACAATAGCTATTTTTATAGAGTTAGAAGGAATATTAGAGATTATTTATCTTATATCCCTTTTTTACAGATTGAAAAGCTGGAATCAATTGGAGTAAGTAACTTACAAAAGGGACAAAGAAAAGAACCAGGATGAGAAATTCCATATGTCTTCTTATCATACAATTCAATCCTGTGAATTGTTGATTATTTGCTTTACTACTCTAAATGACTTATGCATGTCATTTTATTTGTCTTTCTACCATCAAAATAGAAGAAGGCCTATTTCTTCTTCTTCTACCAGTTGCAGAGTTAAAATGAGGCTGAACATTCTCTTGTAAATTCAGGGTGTTTACCTAGCCCAGGAAAATCAGTCCTAAGCAGACAAAGGAGACTTGGAATGATTTATCTAAACACCTAAATTAGTTACATCATTATTTATCTGCGAAGCTTCTTGAGTTTTGTTATCATACTCTGGATGGAGGCCAATCAGAAATGACCCTTAAGATCTGACTCTGTCTAGCCAGTCTCCCCTTGACCAAGGAGAACATCTGGGCATGAACTGTAGTTTTCATTGTCCTCTGACCAACTCAGATTAGAAACAGCTACCTGAGGCCAGCCTTTAGTTCTATTTTGATCAAACTGTCTTATAGACACAGCCTTCAGCCTTCCCCATGACCTTTGAAAACTGCCCCAGGGTAAAGGCGAATTACAAATACTATTAAGGTTGATGAGTAATCAACTCAGTAATGAGGATACTATTTCACATTCTTAGGGGTAGATGCTTTTTCTCTGTGGGATGCCTGAGTAGGAAATTTTGATGGCTCCAAATGTGGCCACAACAAACATCAGGAGGCTCTGCTATTGTAGAGATTTCCCTGAAACTGAACTCTGGAGGATGAAACATTTGGTGTAGATACTTGACCTTCTGAAAATAAAGCTTTATGTATGTGTGTATCTATCTATTATTCTCATAGCAGCAATTAGTCTGAAATCTAATGCCTTGTCAGTGAACATAACAATTTTTGTAAATGTTCTCCTCTTAGCTTTTAAGGTTTTTTTTAGCGATGAGTCAAATTTTACTCAGATTTTTATAGGTTATCCCTAGTATTCTTGTTTCTTGTTATTGAAGATATTCAAATGTTAATATATGGTAATAAGAAGTAGCTCAAAAAGAGCAGAATGACCTCTTCCTTACCCCCTTAGTGATACAGACAAATAGAGTATTTGTTCATGTTATATTTTGGCTTTTATTTTTAAATCAAGGAGGTTGAATTAGAGACAGAGCAAAATAAGCAAAAACCTGAAGCTATAAATTTCTAGGTCAATCCAAATACATAAAGCATTAAAAAATGTCAGATGCGAAGCTAGATGCAAACTGACAGGGAAAAAAAAAAACCTCTTTGTGTACTTAAAGCCCCAAACCAAAAGCAAAATTAAAATTTGTGCTGACCCTTCTCCCTTGGGGCTGCAGATGTCACTGCTGTCCAGGGCGCCGTCTGTTACTGAGTGGAAGGAAGAGGAATGGCATCCAAGTCACTAGTGTAAAATAAATCATCTGCCTGCCAAATCCTGAAGATGTCCTGCCATATTTGTTAAGGCCAGGGGATGGAGGGTAGAGGTGAGCAACAAAGGTGACCATTAACACTCATTGATTCTTGTCTTTTATGACTCATTCTTTTATTATTACATGTTTTGTAAGAGGTTTTATACTTATACATATATAATTTTTATTTAGTCAGTCACAGCAGTAGTTACAATTTATTTAGCACTTATGGGACAAGATATTTTATACACATTTTTTCACTGGATGTCCAGGACTATTATACAAACTGAGTATTACTCTTATATTAAAGGTAAGGAAATAGCTTCTAACTAAGCAAAGTTGCTCAAAGTGGCACATAGAGTGAGGTCTGCGGCTGTTCTCTTACTCCAAATGTGGGGTATCTCAGAAATTGCCATCCTCCAGAAGGCTACAGTCTAGCTCAGACTGTGCAAATTGTTCTCCATTTGCCATGCCCCCATGCACTCAACACTATTCCATGTCTTCCGTGTGCTCTGGGAAGCTGACCCTTGTCATTTGCATGACTGGGACTCTCTGCTCTCTGTGTTTGTCTTGGGTGGGGCCTATGGAAGGCTTTAGCAGGATATTGGAGGGCAGGAAGAGAAAGAAGTCAGGGTATTTCTTCTTCAGGTCCTACTTCGGCCCTGTGCGCTGGCCGTGATCATGTCCTTTCAGGATATAACTCCCTTCGCCCTGTTCTCCTCTGTACCTCTTCTGATGCAGGGCTCCTAAGGAAACACTGCTCCTTTTCCTTGACTGTTTATCCCTAGGGGTAGTATTATATTCTCACCATTGCTATCCTTTGGGTGCCCTGCCACCTTGTTTGCTCCTTAAGTCTGTCTACAATTAATGCAAATAACTCCTTTATTAAAATCTCTTTATTTGAACACTCTGGGATGAATTCTGTTTTTTTCTGGGACCCTGACTAATACAGAGGCTGATACTACACCCATATGAAAATACATCAAAGATAATTTGCAAAGCATGTTTGAAAGCTCTACGTTAGGATCACTAGCACTGGCATGCCAAAAGGCACAGAAAAGAAAATACAGGGCATAGCAAAATATTGTTTCTTCTTAATAGAGAAACTGCCTCAGGGAGAGACTAGGCTGGTGAGAAGGGGGAAAGACTTTAAGAGTCTTATAGACCAGGCATTAGAGAATTGTGATAGGTTTTTGAGCCTGTGATAAAAGCTGTGTTTGGGGAAGATTTTTCTAGCAACCATTTGTAGGAGCAGTGGAATTAGGAAAAAAGGGTGACAGTAAGGAGAACAGTTAAAAGGCTTTTAAAATAAGCCAGTGTAAAGTGATTGGAGGCAGGTTCACAAAGTGGCAACAAGTATGAAAAATAAGGAATGAAATAAATAGTGAAAGAAACATTATTACTATTGGAATTTGCATTCTTGCTCATGTGATGCATTTGCTTCAAATTGGTGTAAGCTCTTCACATGCAGAGGGCTCATGTGCCTTGATGTAACATTAGATCAAGTGGCAGAAGCTAAATTTGGAATTAAGGCAATATTTGGTTGTAGGGAACATCATTCTCGTTTCTAGCTCTTGGACTTTATGTGGAAGCACTTTAAGTCCTAAGAGGCTAATTTTAGTTCAATCTATTTAGTTAACAATATTTCAGATCCTTAATTTTTAGTTTCCAGATGATCAGACTCCTCAGCTTGAAATGCAAGGGCATTATAGACTTCAAGCAAATTGCATGTGCATTAAGACTATCGAACTTGGGACGAGTAATCCTATAAAAGCAAAATCATTGCTGAAGCATTTTTGTAATCATGTATTCCTCCTGCATGTTCATTTGAAAATGTTCTCTTTTGGTGTGGAGGCAAATGAGCTGATTATATTGAGCTCCGTCCACCAATTTATTTATTTATCTAATAAACATTTTAATGAAGGGGTATCAGGCACGTTTATGTTTTACCCAAGAGACTTATTTAACAGTCATTCAACCATTTGGTCATTAATAGTGAAAAGGTCACAGGCTTTGGCATGAGGCAGGCCTGGGTTTGAAACAGATCTTCGCCATTTCCTAGAAGGGTTGTCTTAAGGCAAATTATTTTTTTAGACATGTTTTCAGTTTTTCTGTTAAAGGAAAAATTGTTTGTAAAGACTGCATTGTGACTGAGAAAGGGCACGCAAACTAGATGAGTTTAATCCTATCTCTCACTCCTGACTAACCTTATATGTATACACAAATACAAAATGCTCCAAGTTGGATGTGAAACAAATGGTGGTATAATACTCGCCCTTAAATATAATTGCAGATAGCCACAAAATATAAAACCATTTACGGATGTGAGAAAATTAGTATAATAAAGAAGAAAATACAGAATAACTTTTTCTTCTGTTATTTAACTGGTGTAAAATTAATTCCTTGACTCTCATATTTGTCAACAAATATGATAATGTATGTGGTGATGTACTGTTTTGCCTTGAGAAGGAAAAAATTATAGCCATAAAATATTTAAGAAAATTCTGGAAATAAGAGTAATAGAATTACTTTTTTCAGACATTTCCCAAATGTGTTTTAAATGGCTTTCCTGAAGGAGAAATAGAGAGGGAGAGAAAAAAAGAGAACATTTAGATATAATTACAGAAAAGACCTATGCATAATATTAGTGGACTTAAAAATAATCATGCATATTCATAACTGAATTGCTAATTAACATTCTCAGAATTTTGTTTAATGTAAGCAAGTTATCCTAATAGGGTTAGGGCAAAAACAATATGATAAAGATTGAAATCTGTGGCTATTTAAAAGCACTGAAAACTTGACTAAATTGCCTCTCCCCCTCCCTTAGACATAAACAATTAAGCCTCATCATGTTGTTTTTTCTTCCCCGCCGCCCCCTCCCCCCACCCCACCCCAAGACAGAGTCTCACTACTCTGTGGCCCAGGCTGGAGTGCAATGGCGCCATCTTGGCTCACTGCAACCTCCGCCTTCTGAGTTCAAGCAATTCTCCTGCCTCAGCCTCCCGAGTAGCTGAGATTACAGGGGCCCACCACTGCAATCTCAAAAAATACAAAAACTAAAAATAATTTTTGTATTTTTAGTAGAGATAGGGTTTCCCCATATTGGCCAGGCTGGTCTCGAACTCCTGACCTCAGGTGATCCACCTGTCTCCACCTCCCAAAGTGCTGGGATTACAGGCGTGAGCCACCGTGCCCGGCCTCATCATGTTTTTTAAACAATAAAAAGGGCAAGTTTTAGAAGACAGTATCTTAAGGCTGGGTGCGGTGGCTCATGCCTGTAATCCCAGCACTTTGGGAGGCCAAAATGGGTGGATAACTTGAGGTCAGGAGTTCGGGAACAGCCTGACCAACATGGTGAAACCCTATCCCATCTCTGCTAAAAGCACAAATGAATTAGCCAGGCATGATGGCGGGTGCCCATAATCCCAGCTATTCGGGAGGCTGAGGCTGGAGAATCGCTTGAACCCAGGAAATGGAGGTTGCAGTGAGCCGAGATGGCGCCACTGCACTCCCGCCTGTGCGACAGAGCAAGACTCTGTCTCAAAAAAACAACAAAAAAGACATATTAAGATACAATAACACTTTGAGCCTTTGCTGATTGTTGATGAGTTTCAAACTCACAGAGGGTTTTGAAGAAAGGCTGGCAGAACTTGAAGGCAGAACACGTGGGCTGAAGTCCTGTCTATGCCTGTTACTAAATAGCAATGTGAGCTTCTGGAGGACTCTGAACTCTCTCAGCCTCTGTGAAATGGAGATAACATTTCCTGTGGAGCTGCGTCAGAGATGTTGGGGAAATCATATGGAAATCAAGTATAGCTGTCAACAAGTTTTGTGAATTGTAAATGACCTTAAGCATACGAAGTATTAGTCATCTATTCACTCATCACACATGGAGCATGCCTAGTGTTAGGAGGCACGTGGTGGGGTTGGCGGGGGTGTGGTCATTAACATGGTGAATGAGATCTTCAGAAGCAGTGTGTTCCCCTGGGTAAGGGCATGGGCTTTGGAGTTAAACCCACCTAGAGTAATTCAGGGCTCATCACTCCGTGACCTCCTGTCCTGAGACCTTAATTTGTCCAATGTTACATCATTGTAAATCCCAGTTTCTTTAACGCGGATATGAAAAAACACCATATATTTCACAGGGGAGTTATGAGGATGTGAGAACTATGATCAAGCACTTAACTTCACATGTTCAAAGTGCTCAATGACAGTTGGCAACTATCAATCAACTCTTCACACATTATATCTCTAATCAAGGAAAGCAGGCATTTGCACCAATAATGACAGAACAAAACAACATGGGGGAGAGTAGTAGTATAAACAACTTTGAGAGTTCATAGGTGGGCTGCCATACTTTCAGCTAGAGTGATAAGTAAAGACTTTGGAGACAGGTAAATATTAAGAATAAATCTTGAAGAACGAGTCATACCTCAATAGGAAGAGATATGATTGGTGGACAGCATTTTAGGTAGACAGAGAATAGAATGAGCTAAAGTGTAGAGATGAGAAATTTGAGTACTCCAGTTGTCTAGACTAGCACTGTCCGATAGAACTTTTGTCCATGAAGGCAATGTTGTATGAACGTTCTGTCCAATATGGTAGCCACTAGTGGCTGTTGAACACTTGACATGTGGATAGTGTGACTGAGGAGTTGAAGTTTTTATTCTATTTAATTTTAATTAGTATACATTTTAAAACCACATCTGACGAGTGCCAGCTCAAATCATAGGATACACGGAGAGGAGTTTAGTGTGATAAGATCCAAACAGATTGGCAAATTTCGAAGAACTTTACTGCTAGGCCAACACGTTTAGATTCCAAAATAGAACAAACATATTTAGAAGCAGGCAAAACAAAAGAATACGTTTATGAAGGAGACCAAAAAGTTGCAGAGAGAGAAATAGGAAGGCCAGGAATCCAACAAGGAATGGGCATTGAAGAAAGACTTGCCTCGTACTGTTAGTTAGAAGCCAATGGATATGGGAAGAAAATTTGTTAGATTTGGTAATTCAGAGCTTCTTTGTGACTTTCAGAAAAAAAGTTTCCCCTGAGTGGTAGAGGTGAAGAGAGTATTGCAGGAAATTAGGAGTAAGGTATGCTGAATAGAGGCAACATGGAACAGCCTTTTTTTTTTTTTTAAATGTTTGTATTCCTAGAGTTATAGGATAAAGCATTACACACTAAGTTAGTCTCAGCAAGTACTGTATATTTGCCAAGTAAGTGGAGTTCTTGCAGGCAAACTAGGTAGTTTCAATGCCAGGTGTGAAATTATAATGGTTTAGATAAAATTTTGAAGCAATTCTACAAATAAGTACTCTGAGTCATGACATTTTTAGGCCACATTGAAAACGCTAGCTGAAAGAATACAAACAATGTTGAAATCATATTTAAGCCCCTTGCTGAGTTTATATTCTGAGCTAAGGATAGATTAGCCTCATGCCCTTATATGATGAAAAATTGTTTTGTTTTTCTTGCACAGCACAGTTAGGTATCAGATAAAGGGGGAGGAGTATCCTCATGGATACCTCAAAAACAAGTAACCCATGGACGGAGGACAGAGAAATTTCATGCAAAGACAGATTTTCCTATCTCTTATGATTAAATTCTCTCAGTTTCCTCATTATGAAAATCATTTGGGATACCTGATAAATGTACAAAATCTTCTGCCTCAATTCATACTGGTCAATATAAATCTTAGCTTGGCGATCTGAATTTTTAATTAGCACCTGAGCGATTCTTAGTATCAGGCAATTTTAGGAAATGTTTATTTATTCATCCTTTGAACAAACACCAGTGGAGTGTTTTTTCCATATTGCAGACATTCAGATACTAGGACACAAAGATAATTAAGACATGGTTTCTAGTCTTAAGAAATTGTTCTAGGAGAGGAGACAGTAAATGCCATGTAAGAAATGGCTTGGTAGCTGTTGCAAAAGGACCACAGAGAAGGGCAGCTCAGCATTGAGGAGACCATGGAAAACTGTGCTTGGGGAAGGTAAAGTTTGAGTAGGGTATTCAAGGATAAGCCAACCAGATATACAGGGAGTGTGAGAGAAAAGCACTCTTTTCAGGATAAACGTCACATTAAAGACAAGAAGAGATTGTGTTGGGTCTATGAATACTACTGAATTCAACACAGCTGGAAAACAGGTTTTCCATGAGATAATGGCCTGTGTGGCAACAGACAAAGGCATTTTTGTACCAGAGCACAAAAATAAGTGCCTAGTTATTTTCAAGGTAATGTGAAATCATTAAAGGGTAATCTGGGGTTGGTGAGATTGGAGATAGGGAGACCCATTAAAAACTTAATACATTAATTCAGGTGAGAGGTGATGGTGTCTGACCTAAGGCAATAACCACAGAGGTAGAATGGAAAGAACAGTTTTTGATAAATAGTTGGTGATTTATTGTGTATGACATAATCAGACGATAGTTCTTTTGATCCTTTTATTAATATTGTCTCAATGAAATGAACTGAATTGCTGAATAATTGATTTTGTAGATGGCTCACATATGGCTCACATGATACATTTGGCCATGATGGGGAACATATAATTGTTTGCTATTTATACCTATGGTGACTTCTTAAATTGGATTGCTATTGGACAAGATTTTCAGTATTTATCCCATTGATTTAAGGAGACACCAACACAGAGGATGGTCTCAGAGGTTTTCACAGTCGCTTCTGTGGGTATCCCAAACTCTTTGATATTATATAGGTGAGGAAGTATGTATTGCTTACTACTTTTTAAGTTCTTCCTAGTATTCTGGCCCTTTAACAGTTTATTCTGTTTGTTTGTTTTTCCTTCTTTGATTACTTACAGTTGTAATACCTTTTAAAGACATTTTATATCTCTTCCTTGACTTATTCCAAATTTAAATTAATACATAGAATATGTATATTTACAAAATATGTTAACTAAATGAATTATTTTTGAATTATTTTGAGACTTTCTAAAATAGTTTAAAGTATCTTGAGTCGTCATGAAACTAACTTTGAAAGGTGCTGATTTAAAGTGACAATATTTGTGGCCATGCAAGAAAAGAGGCACTGGACATTTTAATAAGCAGTTTAATAGAATTTAAATATATGACATCCAATTACCGACAGAATACAAAGCATCATAAAGTATGATTTGCAGACATATTTTATAAATTGGAACACCTTAAGGATTCATGGCATTTGTGTAAAATGTGTGGTCGTTAACACATTTTAATACATTGATTCTATTGTGGAAGGTCGTGTGACATGGAATGTTAAACAATTAAAATGGTCAAATGTACTTCCATGTTTATGTGATTTGCATTCACAGGAAGAAAATGGGTAATGCCGAAGGAACATTGGCCTAGAGAAGCTTACTGAAGCAAGGGAATTTGGAGTGAGACTTTCTCCCGCTGCGGCTTTCTGCCCCCACACCGCGGCTTTTGCAGCTTTTTGCCTCCGCCGCCGCGGCGTTTTGGTCCCCGCCGCCGCGGCTTTTTGTGGTTTTTTTGCCCCAGCTCCCACTGCTTTTTGTCCCCCCCGCCGCGGCTTTTTGCCCCCGCCCCGGCGGCTTTCTTCCGCCGCGGCTTTTTGCCCCGCCGCCGCGCATTTTTGCCGCCGCGGCTTTTTGCCCCCGCCGCCTAAGCTTTTTGCCTGCGCCGCCGCGGCTTTTTGCCCCCCGTCGCCGCGGCTTTTTGCCGCCGCGGCTTTCTGCTCCCGCCGCCGCGGCTCTGAGGGCGGGAGCGGCAGACTCCGCTGCCAGCTCTACTGGCGTCCTGGCAAGGGCAGCGCCGAGGGGCGCTCCCGGTCCAGCTCTCCCGGCTCGGGGGTTCCTTGCCTAGGCGCCCGAGCCCCGGGCTCCCTGCCTCGGCCGCTGTGGCCTGCATAGGGCGGCACTGCGCGCGGAGGCGATGGGAGAGAAGAAGGAGGGCGGTGGCGGGGGTGATGCAGCGGCCGCTGAGGGTGGCGCAGGGGCCCCGGCCAGCCCGGGGCTGCAGCAGTGCGGACAGCTCCAGAAGCTCATCGGCATCTCCATTGGCAGCCTGCGCGGGCTGGGCACCAAGTGCGCTGTGTCCAACGACCTCACCGAGCAGGAGATACGGACCCTGGAGGTAAGGGGTTTGGGGACCCGGGCTGGGCTCGAGGAGCGGCCCGGACACCTCCCTTGAGGCCCCAGTTCACTCCTGGCCGAGTTGCATCCTTGAGCCCGCGTCGCGCCCTTGGAGGCTTCCCCTCCCTCCTGCACTCGCTGATGCGGCAGCCGAGAGACCCGGGACCAGCCCTCACCTTGGGCAGGATTTGTGGGGCGGGTGCTTGGTGGGAACTGGGATGGAGGCGCTAGGGTCCCGTGGGGCGGGTCGGGGGGGTGGGGGTGGGCTGCGCGCGGACATCCCCTTACCCCCCGAATTTCCATCTGGTCCGGCCCTCTCATCTTGTAGGTGAGGAAACCAAAGGCCTGAGGGAGAACTGACTTGCCAGGAACCCCTGTTAAGGAGAATTACCAAAGTGTGGTTATTAAAGGAGAACTGAGTTGGGAGTCAGACCTGGAGTCCCACACCCTTGGTTAAGTCATTATACCACCTTGAGTCTGGCCTGTTGACTGAGGGTGAGCCACTCCATCCTCGTCTGATTGTGGGGTCTTGACCTCAAGGGGTTTCGTGCAGGAAGAAGCAAATGGGTTTGCTTTCCTAGCTCTGTCCAGTACCTTAGGGACCCTGAGGACTGAAGCGATTCTTGGAGAGCCATCTGGTGTATGTCATGCGTGGGCCTTTCTTGAAGGTCTGTCTGCCCAGTGGGCTGGCTCAGCCCGAATGAACTGTCTTGAATCTTTGGAGTTGTCTGTGTACTTTTAAGGGCTTCTCATCCTTGCACCAAAAGATCCCCTGGAAATTAGGTGGGAAAACCTTACCTTTTGTGGGGCCTTGTGTTTGTCTTAAAAGTTCATGCACATGGCCAGGTGTGGTGGCTCACACCTGTTATCCTGTCCTGGATCCCTTGAGTCAAAGAGTTTGAGACCAACCTGGACAATACAGTGAGACCCCGTCTCTACAAAAGATAAAATATTAGCCAGGGGTGGCTGTGCGCATCTGTAGTCCCAGCTAGTACTGTGGCTGAGGCGGGAGGAGCACTTGAGCCTGCACTGAGCTGTGATCTCACCAGTGTACTCCAGCCTGGGCCACAGAGCAAGACCTTGACTCAAAAACAACAACAACAACAACAAAAATTCTTGAAGATTTTGCATTCTGTCCCACTATGCATTGGTTTTCATGTCAAGATAATGTGAGAAATTCTTTACAATTGCTTCCAGAAGGAATAGCCTTTTGATTTAGTGCACAGGTGTCCAGTCTTTTGGCTTCTCAGGCCCACATTGGAAGAAGAATGCTCCTGGGCCACACATAAAATACACTAATGCTAACAACAGCTAATGAGCTTAAAAAAAAAAAAAAAAAAAAGGTTTGTGCAGAATTTTGATGATACCCACCACCAAAGATAGGCGGAAAAGTCCTTGTAGTCACAGGGTTGGACACGGCTGATCTAGTGTCTTGTCATCCGTTTTGGCTTTCTCCCGGTTTCCAGAATGCAGGTAGAGATGTAGAGACGTGCTCTCAGGACAGCTGTTGAGATAAAAAAATTCGTTGTCATTTATTCCCAAGGACAGCTGTTTGTCATTTGCATTGAAAAAGTCTCCATTCAAACTGCTGTCACATATAAAATCTATTTATATAAGTCTGTATTTTTCTGTTGTCTTGGCCTTTGTGGGCAGTAGTGTGTTTTAACCAAGCAAACTGTCCTTCCAAATAATGAAGCCGAAGTCAGCCTGCCTGCTTGCCATTTTTCTTCCCCTTCCATTTTTCTAACCTCAGGATAGTTGTAAGAATGAATTAAGATTTGTGTTTAAGGCCGGGCACAGTGTCTCAGGCCTGTAATCCCAGCACTTTGGGAGGCGGAGACGGATGTATCACTTGAGCTCAGGAGTCCAAGACCAGCCTGGGCAACATACTGAGACTCCGTCTTGTATAATTAAATTAAAATTTAAAAAAAGAAGAAAAAAAGACCTGTGCTTAAAATTTAAAAAAAGGGGGGAAAGTGTAATGCAAAATGTGGACTATGCCAGCCATGATTGGGAAAAATAATTTTTCATACAGCATTATCTGTAGACTTGTATTAGCAGCATACTGGTCATAAGCGTTTTGCTTTCCTCAAATATGATGAGGTAAGCTACTTTAAAGTGTGGTGGGGCTTTCTTCCATGTGGCTCCTGGAGGTGTTGAGTCCCAATTTAGCCAATTAATTTGGGTTTAGTTTTGATATGGATAAGGGAGTCCAGCTTCATTCATGGTGCACACACAGTTTTGCCAATAAGGAAAAAAAAAAAGCCACCTGAATGTTCCTACTCATTAGATGCTATCTGGAGAGCTCCTTCCCCACCCGCACCAAGGCCCGGGCCCTTAAAAAGACTCAGTGCAGCCTTTCTGTATCTCATACTGTATTCTGCAAGATGCTCCTGTGAAAGAAAGTTGTGCTGCACCAGCCATCTCCCTCCTGAAGATCCCTGCGGATGAGGATTTGTGTTTTAAAGGTTCTGAGAAGTCCTGCAACAACAGTTCTCAAACTTATTTGTCCAGGGGATCTTTTCTTCCACTGAACGTAGTTGGGGAGACACGGCCTTAAGCCTTGAGCAGAGAAAGAGACAAGAAACTGTTGGCTCACTTACAACCAAGTGTTGTGTTTTATGTTTTAGGTTTTTATGAAACTGAGGTGCTGTTTGAGGTTCTAAATCAAACTGGGTGGTTGAAGAGAGGCTGGTATCCCTGTAGACTTAGCCAGCCATGAGAGGTTGCCTTTTGTTGAAGGAGGTGTTTTACAAAGGGAAATAGGGTGTCTCCTGGGCATCACATTAGCACTTAAATACATGTATCACTGAAATGAAATGAAATGATGAAATGAAATGATCAAATGAAGAAACGAAATGATGAAATGATGAAATGAAATGAAATGATGAAATGATGAAATGATGAGATGAAATGAAATGATAAAATGATGAAATGAAATGATGAAATCGAATGATGAAATGAAATAATGAAATGATGAAACAAAATGGTGAAATGAAATGAGGAAATGAAATGAAATGATGAAATGAACTGATGAAGTGAAATAATGAAATGAAATGATGAAAAGAAAAGATGAAATGATGAAATGAAGAAATGATATGAAATGATGAAATGATGAAGTGAAACAATGAAATGAAAAGATGAAATGATGAAATGAACAAATGATATGAAATGATGAGATGAAATGTAATGAAGTGATGAAGTGAAATGATGAAATGAGGAAATAATGAAATGAAATGATGAATTGATGACATGAAATGATGAAATGAAATGACGAGATTAAAAGGTGAAACGAAATGATTAAATGAAATGAGATGAAAAGATGAAATGATGAGATGAAATGAAATCATGAGATGAAATGATGAAATCATGAGATGAAGTGAAATGATGAAATGAAATGATAAGATGAAATGAGAAATGGAATGATGATGAAATGGTGAAATGAAGTGAAATGAAATGATGAAATGATGAAGAAATGATATGAAATGATGGAATGAAATGATGAAATGAAGTGAAATAATGAAATGATGAAATAAGGAAATGAAATGAATTGACGAAATGATGAAATGAATGACGAAATGAAAAGATGAAATGAAATAAATGAGATGAAAAGATGCTATGAATTGATGAGATGAAATGAAATCATGAGATGAAATGATGAGATGAAATCATGAGATGAAATGATGAGATGAAGTGAAATGATGAAATGATGAGATGAAATGATGAAATGAAATAATGAAATGAAAGGATGAAATGATGAGATGAAATGATGAAATGGAATGATGAAATGAAATGATGAAATGGTGAAATGAAATGAGGAAATGAAATGAAGAAATGAAATGAAGTGAAATGATGAAATGAAATGAAATGATGAAATGAAAAGATCAAATGATGAAATGAAGAAATGATATGAAATGAAGAAGTGAAATGATTAATGAAATAATGAAATGATGAATTGATGAAATGAAATGATGAGATGAAAAGATGAAATGATGAAATGAGATGAAAAGATGAAATGAAATGAGATGAAATGAAATCATGAGATGAAATGAAATCATGAGATGAAATTATGAAATGATGAGATGAAGTGAAATGATGAAATGAGGAAATGCAATGATGAGATGAAATGAAATGAAATAATGAAATGAAAGGATGAAATGAGATGAAATGATGAAAGGATGAAATGAAATGATGAAGTGATGAAATGAAATGATAAGTCAAATGATGAAATGATGAAATGGAAAGATGAAATGATGAAATGATATGAAATGAAATGATGAAATGATATTAAATGATGAAATGATGAAATGAAGTCAAATGATGAAATGATGAAGTAAATGAAATGAATTGATGAAATAATGAAATGATGAGATGAAATGAAATGATGAAATGATGAAATGGAATGATGAAATGAAATGATGAAATGGTGAAATGAAATGAGGAAATGAAATGAAGAAATGAAATGATGAAGTGAAATGATGAAATGAAATGAAAAGATCAAATGATGAAATGAAGAAATGATATGAAATGATGAAATGAAGTGAAATGATTAACGAAATGATGAAATGATGAATTGATGAAATGATGAGATGAAAAGATGAAATGATGAAATGAGATGAAAAGATGAAATGAGATGAAATGAAATCATGAGATGAAATTATGAAATGAGATGAAGTGAAATGATGAAATGAGGAAATGCAATGATGAGATGAAATGATGAAATGAAATAATGAAATGAAAGGATGAAATGAGATGAAATGATGAAAGGATGCAATGAAATGAAATGATGAAATGAGGAAATGAAATGATGAAATGAAATGATAAGTCAAATGATGAAATGATGAAATGGAAAGATGAAATGATGAAATGATATGAAATGATGAAATGATATTAAATGAAATGAAGTGAAATGATGAAATGATGAAATAAGTGAAATGAAATGAATTGATGAAAAATGAATTGAGATGAAAAGATGCAATGATGAAATGAAATGACGAAAAGATGAAATAAAATGAGATGAAATGAAATGATGAGATGAAGTGAAATGATGAAATGTTGAGATGAAATGATGAAATGAAATGAAAGGATGAAATGAAATGAAAGAATGAAATGAAATGATGAGATGAAATGATGCAACAAAATGATGAAAGGATGAAATAATGAAATGAGATGAAAAGATGAAATGAGATGAAAAGATGAAATGAGATGAAATGAAATCATGAGATGAAATGATGAAATGATGAGATGAAGTGAAATGATGAAATGAAATGTTGAGATGAAATGATGAAAGAATGAAATGAAATGATGAGATGAAATGATGAAATGAAATGATGCAACGAAATGATGAAAGGATGAAATGAAATGAGGAAATTAAATGAAATGATGAAATAGATGAACCAAAAATACTTATTCATTTTTTTTCTTGGCATCCTTCTAAGAGTATTTTAGTGAGGTTAATTTCTAAAACTAAATTGCTATTCAATGGCTTTACAGTTGGCCTTTGCACCACAGGGGTTTGAACTGTGCAGGTCCACTTAGCAAAACCAACAATTCTACATCCTTCTCCACACCCTGCCCATGAAAAGGATGAGGATGAAGACCTGTTTGATCATGTACTTCCATTTAATAACTAGTAAATATATTTTCCTTATGATTTTCTTTTTCTTTTCTCTGGCATGTTTGTTAAGAATACAGTATATAAGACATATAACATATTAAATATGTGTTAATTGACTGCTTGTGTTATTTGTAAGGCTTACAGTAGGCTATTAGTAGTTAAGTTTTGGGGGAGTCAAAGTTATAGTGGATTTTCTACTGTGTAGGGGGGCCAGCACCCCAACCTCCGTGTTGCTTAAGGGTCAACTGTACATGTTATTTCCTTTCCTGTAAGAGAAAAATGATGAGAAGGTCTTTTCTCCAATAAGTGTATTCAAAATGTAGCAGACTTGAAATGTGTTGGCGCCACCATTTTGCGTCTCACTTTGAAAACTTATTATTAAAAATCGTACTAAAGCCTTACTTTTCCAACCTTAGAAAAAATGTTACAAAGAAAAGGAGTGAAACCATGCTAGTTTGCCCTGAAATTTGAAATTATCTTGTAAAAATATATTTTTACATTAATTGCTTCCAAAATAGAGATCAGTTGCATACAAATGGCAGGTCACCCTAATCCACCCTATGACTGCACTTAGATTCATGAGGAATTGTGCCATCTAGAAAGGACAGAGAAGAGGAATAGAGTGCTCTGCGTCTTGAAATATAAACATGCACATAGCCACATGCTTTGATTCTGTTATCACTGTGTACTTACTGCTAGGAAGAGGGCATGTTTGTGTATTTTTATGCTAATTATTATGCAAGTTGTTAAGGATTTAGGCTTTCAGAACCATATAAAGGTTTTTTCCTTTCAGATATAAACTATCTTGCATTGTTCTTCTGATCATATGAGGGATAAATTTGCCTAAATATTCTTCAGACCATAATGTTATGTCCATATAAATGCCAGTAGCAAGAGTAGAATCAACCACAGCTGCCTTTGTAATTATTAAAAGCATGTGTGCCTATAAGTAATTGGCATTTTATATAATCAAGAATCTTTGATATAATAATCTCTCAACTATTTGAAACATGGCTCACATATATTAATTTTATATGCAAATATATGTATAATATCATTGTATATGAAACTAAATTTTGGACTGTAGAACAGCTTCTTAGAATCTTGACTTAAATGTCCACAGTAATATTTGACTGAAAAAAATTTAGCACACTGTCACTATGATGAAAAAATTACTATAAAATTATTTTAAAAATTTTCCACCCTAACGTTTAGAACATTCTCACATTTGTGGTTAAAACCTATTGTGATTGTTCCTAGAATTTAGATAAAAAATGTTCCAGAAAGTTTGAAGAGAAGCACTTTAGTCAATTTGTATTTGTTCAAGCATGAAGAAATGGCATTTCATTGACATTTTAAAAACTATTCAGATTCCCTCTTTGAATTCAAGTGTTTCAAAGATATCTTATTTTTAAATACCAAAATAGGAATAGAATATGAAGGGCTGGTTATGAGTAATATGATACACTTTTATGAGAGGATGAGATTACAATAACAATACCTCCTCTCATAGAATAACCAGCAAGTCTCCACTAAATAACAGTGCCTTGATTTTATAGATGTTTAATCTTGGATATTGAGTTAATGTGAACCATTTGTAGACACAGGAGTTTATTAAAGAGTTATATAATATCTTTCAAGTATTTAGAATAGTGTTGAAATTAAGCCTGCATCCCCACGATTTTCAGCGGTGCTGATGCCTAATAAACTCAACCCCTTGCATGCCAAAATTGGCTTAAAGCCCACCCGTTACCCAAGCTACACTTCAAGCATCAAGGCTCAAAAATGTAATTTTAAATATGCAAGAGTTTGAGGAATTCACTACTCACACTTTCTTGAACAGTCTATCCAAGTGCATCAAGCAAAATGTGAGTAAAGAAATTTTGACCAAAGGATTGATAGTAATGTTGAATACTTTTAATAGTAGATCTAAGATTAAAAGGTGAGAGTGAGGGTGAGAAGAGTGTATGAATGCTTTGTGTTCTGACAAAGAGAATGTAGCACCCATGTCCTACGTGCTCGGTTGCATTGCCAGTGCCCACGGTAGGCTATTTTATCCCAGTTTTTAGTTTTTTTTGTTTTGTTTTGTTTTTTTCTTTTCAGGAGAATTAGTCCAAGACCAATAACTCCATAACTGGTAGAATTGGAAGACTTCAATAGTGCTTAACATTTTGTACATAGCTTTATAACAGTTTTCTTTTTCTTTTTTTCTGAGAGATTCTTTTCAATATACCCAATCATGGTCGAACTCAAAGTCATTGCTTATTTAAAATCTACAACTGCTGACGTTTTGTATCCTTCACATTCCAGGTAATTGGTTTTTTTGTGCATTTTCTGTATTTTTCTCCATCAATCTGCCTAGATATTTGTTAGATTTAATATTTTAATATTTTTCTGAAAAAGTGACCTTTTGCAGTTTTAAACATATACTCAGTTGTTTTAATTCTGCTTTTTCATGTACTATTTCCTCGTTTTTTTTTTTTGGTTTTTTTTTTGATACTATGTGGGAAGCCAAGTAATTTAAAGGAAACTTGGATAGTAAGGACTCAGAGGAACGGAAGTTAGTTGGCTGATTCAGATGTTTGGTGGCATAAGACTCTGTTAGTAATCTAGGCAAGCAGTAATGACAGCATCAAGGGAGTGAGGATGGACTGATAGTGTAGAATTTAAGATATAAGGTAGAATTTGCTTCCTTAATGAGTTCAGGTTTGCGTGTGTTGGGTACAAAAGTTTGATGGGACATCCGTGAAGAGAATTCCAGCCATAAGTAGTTATAAAGGTCTGGAGATCAGGAGAAATCAGAGCTAAGGGTAGGTATTCGGAGCCATCAGTATTTAGGGAGTATGGGGCTACCCAGAAAGAGTGAGTGGATTGAAACAGAGGCCAATGATTTCAGACCAAGGTAAACAGAAGTGTGCGCTTTGATTTTTACAGGGGGAGGAAAAACCCATAATTGGTGTTTGAGCCTGTGAGAACAGTACTGTGGGCTCCCAGCATGCTTTGCTGGGTTTGATCTGTTCTAGATGTTTTTATGCCGTCAGTCTGTGATTCTCCTTCCAGATGTGGGGTAGAGTGCATAGTCAGAATATAGCCAGAGCAGCTGACAGAGGTCAAGATTCATTTTTAAGCAAAGATTCAAGAAGTTAAAACCACACACAAGTGTTTTACTGGGCATCCTTATCCAACTACCCTATATCTTCACTTTGAAAATAGTTTAAACATTGCCTGAGAGGACACAGAACTAATAGACTTTTGGAATTCTTCTTTGCAGGCCTGTAAATTACTCTCTGATGACTATGAACAAGTGCGCAGTGCTGCAGTCTAGCTTATCTGGGTTGTCAGTCAGCTCTATCCTGAAAGGTCAGTGCGGGTGTAAGCTGGCTTTTGTTGATTGTGAAGCCGTTTTCCTCTCCTCTCACCATGCAAAAAGCCCACTTCTAGAAAAGAAATGTTGGTTAGATTTTTGGAAGGCAATGGGGAGTAAGGGAAAAGCACAGGCCCTGAAAATCAGATTGCCTGGTCCTCATTTTTCATCTCTGATAGGAACTTTCTGTACACCTTCGGAAAGACACTTCTTTTGTCCTAATCTTCTCATCCATAAGTGAAGAAATTGGAATATCTTTCTTAAATGGTTTTCAGTACTTTACAAAAAAATCTTTAAAATTGTTTGGGACCCATTTTAGTTTGGCTTGCGCCAAATGCCAGACAAAGATACCAGATGAGTTTGAGAATAATGATCTCTTATGTAGTTTTCCTGGTTAAAAATATTTTCACAGCAATTAAGTTAACCACAGTGATTCTTTGAGGAGGTAGGCAATATTATTTATTATATTTTGTAAGATAGAATATTACATTTATAAATATTTATCTTTTATTTATAAATATTTATAGAATATTTTATTTTTCCTTGTATAGGAAAAAGAGGTGTTTTTTCCTCTTCATTAAACTGCCAAAATTTGAAAACCAGAATGGATTAATAAACCTGTAGGAGTAGGCTCCATTTGTAGTAGACTCCATTTTAGGACTTAGACACATACAAAGAAAAGGGCTAAGTGGAAATTGTCTCTTCTTTTAGGACTGGATTGATAAGTAAGTTTTATATTGATTTATTCTGAGATTTAATGTATTTATAGAAGTTCAGTCTGGACACGGTGGTGCCTGTAATCCCAGCACTTTTGGAGGCCGAGGTGGGCGGATCACCTCGGGTCAGGAGTTCAAGACCAGCCTGGCCAGCATGGTGAAACCTCATCTCTACTGAAAATACAAAAATTAGCCGGGCATGGTGGCACACGCCTGTAATCCCAGCTACTAGGGAGGCTAAGGCAGGAGAATCGCTTGAACCCGGGAAGTGGAGATTGCAGTGAGCTGAGATCGCACCACTGCACTCCAGCCTGGGTCACAGAGCAAGACACTTTCTCTCAAAAAAAAAAAGAAGAAGAAGAAGAATTTCAGTTACAGAAGATAATAAACTTAAGGATATGAAATATTCGGTGGAAGCTAGTTTTTGATAATTTCATAAATCTTTGAACCTTTGGTGGGTTACGTACTTTTTTTTTTTAAGGCAGGGTCTTGCTCTGTGGCCCAGGCTGCAGTGCAGTGATGTGATCTCGGCTTACTGCAACCTCCAACTCCTGGGTTGAAGCAATTCTCATGCCTGAGCCTCCCAAATAGCCGGAATTACAGTTGTGCCCCACCACACCCAGCTCATTTTTTGTATTTTTAGTAGAGATGAGGTTTTGCCATGTTGGGTAGGCTAGTCTTGAACCCCTGGCTTCAGGTAATCTGCCCACCTCAGTATCTCAGTGTGCTGGGATTACACGCCTGGCTGAACCTTTGGTGAGTTACACACTTTTATTCAATACATTGAAAATTTGCACCTGATTGCAGTGGCTCAGCCCTGTAATCCTAGCACTTTGGGAGGCTGAGGCGGGCGGATTGCTTGATCTCAGGAGTTTGAGATCAACCTGGGCAACATGGTGAACCGTCTCTACTAAAAATATAAAAAATTAGCTGGGTGTGGTGGCATGCTTTTGTAGTCCCAGCTACTCAGAAGAGTGAACTGGGAGGATCACCTGAGCCCAGGAAGTTGACACTGCGGTGAGCAGTGCTCATGCCACTGCACTCCAGCCTGGGTGACAGAAGTGAGACCCTGTCTCAAAAAAAAAGCATAATTTGCAATGCAACTGAAAGAGTTGGTTTGTACTCCTAGAGTGATTTGTTTATTTCAAACTGTATTTAATCATTCTAGGATTTGAACTATTCAATTATCATTTTTGTGTGTGTCAGTCTTCATTGACTGTTCTCAGTTTATTGAGCCTGCAGCCTTACTTACTTATGTATTTATTTGTTTATTATTATTATTATTATTATTTGAGATGGAGTCTCGCTCTGTTGCCCAGGCTGGAGTGTAGTGGCACTATCTCGGATCACTGCAACCTCCACCTTCCAGGTTCAAGCGATTCTCCTGCCTCAGCCTCCTGAGTAGCTGGGATTGCAGACATGTGTCACTGTGCCCAGCTAATTTTTATATTTTCAGTAGAGAGGAGGTTTCACCATGTTGGCCAGGCTGGTCTCGAACTCTTGACCTCAAGTTATCCACCTGCCTCAGCCTCCCAAAGTGCTGGGATTACAGGCGTGAGCCATTGCACCCAGACTGTATTTATTTTTTGAGACAGGGTCTTGCTCTGTCATCCAGGCTGGAGTGCCGGGGTGTGATCTCAGCTCACTGCAACCTTCACCTCCAGAGCTAAAGTTATGTTCCCACTTCAGCCTCCCAAGTAGCTGGGACTATCAGCGCATGCCACCATGCCTAGCTAATTTTTGTATTTTTTTTGTAGAGATGAGGTTTTGCCATATTGCTCAGGTTGGTCTTGAACTCTTGGGCTCAAGCAATCTACCTGCCTGGGCCTCCCAAAGTGTTGGGATTATAGATGTGAGCCACTGTGCATGGCCTGAATCTGCAGACTTAGGTTCATGTTTTGTTCTAAGTGATTTCATTTCTTTTCTTTTAATTTAGCATTGTCCCAATTCCTTCTTCTAATGAAGAAATACGCTTAGTTGATGATGCGTTTGGAAAAATTTGTCACATGGTCAGTGATGGCTCTTGGGTGGTTCATGTTCAGGCAGCAAAACTGTTGGTAAGTTATACTTTTTATGTATGTATGAATGCATGTATATATTTATTTGTTTTCTTTTCTGTAGAAATGAGGCCTGTGTGGCCCAGGTTGGTCTCAAACTCTTGGCCTCAAGCAGTCCTCCTGCCTCAGCCTCCCAAAAGACTGGGATTATAGGCTGGGTGTAATTCCAGCACTTTGGGAGGCGAAGGCGGGTGGATCACGAGGTCAGGAGATTGAGACCATCCTGGCCAACATGGTAAAACCCCGTCTCTACTAAAAATACAAAAATTAGCTGGGGCATGGTGGCGCACGCCTGTAATCCCAGCTACTTGGGAGGCTGAGGCAGGAGAATCGCTTGAACCCGGAGGTGGAAGTTGCAGCGAGCCAAGATCACGCTGCTGGACTCCGGCCTGGTGACAAGGAGGAGACTCTCATCTTAAAAAAAAAAAAAAAAGGCTGGGATTATAGATGTGAGCCACTACACCCAGCCAATAATCCTTTTTTTAAATGAACACATTGCTTGTTAAGTTTTTACAAACATTTTGAGAAACTACAGATGGGGCAGTGTGACCTGAATTTAAAACCCCAGAATTTCTTTTTCTTTTTCTTTTCTTGAGACAGGGTCTTCCTCTGTTGCTCAGGCAGGAGTGCAATGGTGCAGTCACGGCTCACTGCAGCCTCGACCTGCCAGGCTCAAGCGATCCTTCCACCTCAGCCTCCTGAGTAGCTGGGACTACAGGCATGTGCCACCCTGCCTAGCTAATTTGTATTTTTTGTAGAGATGGGGTCTTGCTTTGTGCCCAGGCTGGTCTTGAATTCCTAGGCTCAAGTGATCCTTCTGCCTTGGCCTCCCAAATTGTTGGGATTACAGGTTTAAGCCACTACTCCCAGCCCCAGAATTTCTTAATATAGAAAGAAATAGTTCACTCTCCTGTTCACTTTTAGAACTAGAAAGAATCTTAAAACATAATTCTATTAACCCTACTAGGAATTAAGATAGCCGGAGCCTAGAGAAAAAGGAAAACAATAAAAAAAAAGTTTTTCCCATTTATTAAGCACTTGTTATGTCCTAGTTCAGGAGGCTCAAACCCCCAGGCTGTGGACCAGTCCTGGTCCATGGCTTGTTAGGAACCAGGCCACACAACAGGAGGTGAGTGGTAGATGAGCAAGTATTACTGCCTGAGTGCTGCCTGCTGTCAGATCAGCAGCTGCATTAGATTATCATAGGAGTGTGAACCCTATTGTGAACTGAGCATGTGTGGGATCTAGGTTTCATGCTCCTTGTGAGAGTCTAATTCCTGATGATCTGAGGTGGAACAGTTTCATCCTAAAACCACCCTGCTTCACTACCCTCTCTGGTTTCTTCCATGAAACTGAACCCAGATGCCAAAAAGGTGGGGGACCACTATCTTAGATAATTTGAAGGAGGCCCCTTACATATATTTTCTCATTTTCTCTTTACAGTAATCCTGCAAGATAGATGCCATTATCCAGTTGGGGCATGGTGGCTCATGCCCATAATCCTAGCACTTTAGGAGGCCGAGGTGGGTGGGTCACTTGAGCCCAGGAGTTCAAGACCAGCCTGGGCAACACACCAAGATCCCATCTCTATTTTTCAAAAAATAAAATTTAAAAAAATTTTTTTTAAATGCTGTTATCATTTTCTAGATGAGAAAACTAAGGCTCTGAGGAGTTAAGTAAGTTATCCAGCTTATACAGACAGAAAATTGTAGAGTGAGGTCAGATCCTGATCTTGCATCTTTTAGCCTGGTACTTTTCTGTTTTCTTTTTGAGGACTCAGCACATTTATTGAAAATTTTTAACTTTTGTGGCTCACGCCTGTAATCCCAGTACTTTGGGAGGCCAAGGTGGGCGGATCACGAGGTCAAGAGATTGAGACCATCCTGGCCGACATGGTGAAACCCCGTCTCTACTAAAAATACAAAAATTAGCTGGGCGTGGTGGTGCACGCCTCTAGTCCTAGCTACTTGGGAAGCTGAGACAGGAGAATCGCTTGAACCCGGGAGGCAGAGGTTACCCGGGAGGCAGAGGTTACCCGGGAGGCAGAGGCGCAGTGGCTCACACCTATAATCCCAGCACTTTGGGAGGCCGAAGCGGGCAAATCACTTGAGGTCAGGAGTTCGAGACCAGCCTGGCCAACATGGTGAAACCCCATCTCTACTAAAAATACAAAAACTAGCCTGGTGTGATGACACACACCTGTAGTTCCAGCTATTCTGGAGGCTGAGGTGGGAGAATCACTTGAACCTGGGAGGCAGGGGTTGCAGTGAGCTGAGATTGTGCCATTGCACTCCAGCCTGTGCAAAAGAGCGAGACCCTGTCTCAAAAAAAAAATTGTTTAACTTTTAAGGGATAAAATTGTTTTGTAATAGAGTGTTGGCCTAATAGCCTTATTTTATATCTGTGTTACCTTGTATATGTCACTTGATATTAGTCTCAGTTTCCTCATCTGTTAAGTGGGGTTCTAATATCTCTCATATTTACCTGACAGTGTTGTCATGATGCTCAAATGAGATACAGTCTATGAAAATGTTTATAAACTAAAAAGTACTATACTATGTAGGGTGGATGGGGGCATAGTATATAACTATATGTGTGTGTAAGTATCTATAAAAATTTGTATACGTGTCACAGCAGGAAAATCTGTGATTCTTTTTGGACACTTCCCCTTTGAGTGCCCCCAGCCCTGCCACTCTTGGTGAGACTGTTGGCTGAATGCTTTGTTTCTGACTGTACTGGACACTGATCCAGTGATAGCTTTAGTCCTGTGACCAGTATTTATGGGAGTACTTGCTGAAACCTGTGTGAAGCATTTTCATGAGATATAGTAATGGATGATTGGAGTATTTCCACTCTTGTGCATATTAGAGTTAAACAAGCCAGCTGTTACTGATTTTATTTCTGAATTCATATTTTAAAACTTTCTTTTGGGTTATGAATGTTTTAAAATTCAGAACAGTCTAATCATTCATCAGATCCTTTCATTTGGCATTTACAGAGGATCTACAACGAACTCTAGGTGGGAGTGGGGAAGAGAAAGATGTTTTAGAGGAGTAAATTAATGATATATCTTTACCTGAATAGGCAGTTTTAAAAAGTAATCCTTAAAGTAAGAATCATTCAAAATTTTCAATTTTGTACTCTATAGGATCTGAAATTTATTTGCATAAAGTTGTATGTATAACATATGGTACATTGAAAGGATTTCTACTTGAATGACTCTAACTTGAGTCACATGCCTTGTGTTATAATTCCATGTTAAATCCAAACAGCTTCAAATTATATAAGTAATTATGTTTGTATTCAGAAATAATAATCATTCTTACCTTGCTGATAATAATAATTACTACTATGTATAGAGTTCCTGGCCTACTAAGTGAGGCATTTTTAGTCATACATACACACATAAATACACACATATTCACACATAAATATTAACCCACTTCTTTATATACAAGCACACATGCCTAACTCATTTGCATACTTTTGCAAGTAACTTTTAATCTTTTTAAACTCTCTGAGGTAAATGTATTACTTATAAATAGCAAAATTAAAATTTAGGAATGTGGTATAATTTTTCTGAGACCGCACAGATAGTAAATGATAGATGAGGACTTCAAACTTCATAATCTAAAGCCCATGTATAATCCTTTCCTGGTGAGTATCCAGTTACACATTGGGATTGGCCAGTTAAGGCCCTGCTGGTTTATTAGTATCTCTGTGCAAGCTAAGAGGTAAAGCTGCCCTACTCCAGCTCTCCAGTAGATAAACCTGGGATCAAGTGATTTGTGTATAATCTTTCATTAAAAATTAATTAATTTTTAAAAATTGACACATTGGTTGAACTAGTTTACAGTCCCACCAACAGTGTAAAAGTGTTCCTATTTCTCCACATCCTCTCCAGCACCTGTTGTTTCCTGACTTTTTAATGATCACCATTCTAACTGGTGTGAGATGGTATCTCATTATGGTTTTGATTTGCATTTCTCTGATGGCCAGTGATGAATGAGCATTTTTTCCTGTGTCTTTTGGCTGCATAAATGTCTTCTTTTGAGAAGTGTCTGTTCATATCCTTCACCCACTTTTTCATGGGGCTGTTTGTTTTCTTCTTGTAGATTTGTTTGAGTTCATTGTAGATTCTGGATATTAGCCCTTTGTCAGATGAGTAGATTGCAACAATTTTCTCCCATTCTGTAGGTTGCCTGTTCACTCTGATGGTAGTTTCTTTTGCTGTGCAGAAGCTCTTTAGTTTAATTAGATCCCATTTGTCAATTTTGGCTTTTGTTGCCATTGCTTTTGGTGTTTTAGACATGAAGTCCTTGCCCATGCCTGGGTCCTGAATGGTATTGCCTAGGTTTTCTTCTAGGGTTTTTATGGTTTTAGTTCTAACATGTAAGTCTTTCATCCATCTTGAATTAATTTTTGTCTAAGGTGTAAGGAAGGGATCCAGTTTCAGCTTTCTACATATGGCTAGCCAGTTTTCCCGTCACCATTTATTAAATAGGGAATCCTTTCCCCATTTCTTGTTTTTGTCAGATTTGTCAAAGATCAGATGGTTGTAGATATGCGGCATTATTTCTGAGGGCTCTGTTCTGTTCCATTGATCTATATCTCTGTTTTGGTACCTGTGGCGATTCCTCAGGGATCTTGAACTAGAAATACCATTTGACCCAGCAATCCCATTACTGGGTATATACCCAAAGGATTATAAATCACGCTGCTATAAAGACACAAGCACACGTATGTTTATTGTGGCACTATTCACAATAGCAAAGACTTGGAACCAAGCCAAATGTCCAACAATGACAGACTGGATCAAGAAAATGTGGCACATATACACCATAGAATACTATGCAGCCATAAAAAAGGATGAGTTCATTTCCTTTGTAGGGACATGGATGAAGCTGGAAACCATCATTCTCAGCAAACTATCGCAAGGACAAAAAACCAAACACCGCATATTCTCGCTCATAGGTGGGAATTGAACAATGAGAACACATGGACACAGGAGGGGGAACATCACACACCAGCGCCTGTTGTGGGGTGGGGGGAGGGGGAAGGTATAGCACTAGGAGATATACCTAATGTTAAATGACGAGTTGATGGGTGCAGCACACCAACATGGCATATGTATACATATGTAACTAACCTGCACATTGTGCACATGTACCCTAAAACTTAAAGTATAATAAAACAAACAAACAAAAATTGACACATTGTATATATGGGGCACAAGTTGATGTTTTGATACACATCTATGTTGAATATTAATCCAATCAGGATAGTTAGTATAGTTATCACATCATATATTTATCATTTCTTTGTCATGAACTTTCAACAGCCTCTCTTACAGCTATAATATTGTATATTTTGTAATATACAATATTTTCCTGTTAATCATAGTCACCTTTATGTGCAGTTGAACACCAGAATTTATTTCTCTTAATTGTGACTTTGTATCTGTTGTCCAGTCTCTTCCCATTCTCTCCTACTCCCTCCCCTCCCCAGTGTCTGCTAACCACTGTTATACTCTCTGCCTCTATGATATCAATTTTTTTCTGAATACTTTAAGTTCTGGGATACATGTGCAGAACGTGCAGGTTTGTGACATAGGTATACATGTGCCATGGTAGTTTGCTGCACCCGTCTACCTATCATCTACATTAGGTATTTCTCCTAATGCTGTCCCTCTCCGAGCCCCCCACCCTCTGACAGTCCCTGGTGTGTGATGTTTCCCTCCTTGTGTCCATGTGTTCACATTGTTCAACTCTCACTTATAAGTGAGAACATATGGTATTTGGCTTTCTGTTCTTGTGTTAGTTTGCTGAGAGTGATGGTTTCCAGCTTCATCCATGTCCCTGCACAGAACATGAACTCATCCTTTTTTATGGCTGCATGGTATTCCATGCTGTATATGCGCCACATTTTCTTTGTCCAGTCTATCATTGATGGGCCTTTGGGTTGGTTCCAAGTCTTTGCTGTTGTGAACAGTGCTGCAATAAACATACGTGTGCATGTGTTTTTATAGTAGAATGATTTATAATCCTTTGGGTATATACCCAGTAATGGGATTCCTGGGTCAAATGGTATTTCTGGTTCTAGATCCTTGAGGAATCGCCATGCTGTCTTCCACAATGGCTGAACTAATTTACACTCCCACCAACAGTGTAAAAGTGTTCCTATTTCTCCACATCCTCTCCAGCACCTGTGGTTTTCTGTCTTTTTAATGATTGCCATTCTAACTGGTGTGAGATGGTATCTCATTGTGGTTTTGATTTGCATTTCTCTAATGACCAGTGATGATGAGCTTTCTTTCATATGTTTGTCGGTCGCATAAATGTCTTCTTTTAAGAAGTGTCTGTTCATATCCTTCACCCACTTTTTGATGGGGTTTTGTTGTTTTTTTTTTTTTTGTAAATTTGTTTAAGTTCTTTTTAGATTCTGGATATTAGCTCTTTGTCAGATGGATAGATTGCAAAAACTTTCTCCCATTCTGTAGGTTGCCTGTTCACTCTGATGATAGTTTCTTTTGCTGTGCAGAAGCTCTTTAGTTTAATTAGAACCTATTTCTCAATTTTGGCTTCGTTGCCATTGCTTTTGGTGTTTTAGTCATGAAGTCTTTGCCCATGCCTATGTCCTGAATGGTATTGCCTAGGTTTTCTTCTAGGGTTTTTATGGTTTTAGGTCTTATGTTTAAGTCTTAGATCATGCAGTATTTGTCTTTCCATGTCTGGCTTATTTCACTTTACATGATGTCCTCCAGGTTAATCGATGTGGCAAATTACAAGATTTTATTCTTTTTTTATTTTCTTTAAGTCAGGGTCTTGCTCTGTTGCCTAGGCTGGAGTGCGGTTCCACGATTGCACAGTCATAGCTCACAGCAACCTCAAACTCCTGGGGACTCCAGCCTGGACAACAGCGAAACTGTCCCTAAAAAAAATTAAAAACCAGATTGTTCTTCTTTTTTGATGTAGCCATTTATTGCTGTATACTTATCTCTTAGAACTGCTTTTGTTGCATACCATAGGTTTTGGTATATGTTTTGATTCTTGCTTGTGAAGCGTGTTTCTTCTAGGCAATGTATACTTAGATTTTGTGTTTTAATCTATTCAACCAATGTATACCTTTTTTTTCTTTCTTTCTTTGAGACAGGGTGTCTCTCTGTTGCCCAGGCTGTAGTGTACCTTTTAATTGAAGAACTTAATCCATTTATATTCAAGATTTTTTTCTACTTCTTCTTCTTCTTCTTCTTTTTTTTTTTTTTTTGTTTCTTTGAGACAGGGTCTCACTCCGTCACCTAGGCTGGAATGCACTGGTGTGATCTCAACTCACTGCAACCTTCACCTCCTGGGTTCAAGTGATTCTCGTGCCCCAGCCTCCCCAGTACCGGGATTACAGGCATGTGCCACCATGCCCAACTAATTTTTTTGCATTTTTATTAGAGACGGGTTTTGCCATGTCGGCCATGCTGGTCTCAAACTCCTGGCCTCAAGTGATTCGCTTGCCTTGGCCTCCCAAGGTGCTGGGATTACAGGCATGAGCCACCGTGTCCAGCTATATTCAGGATTGTTATTGATAGATAAGGTCTTATTCCTGCCATTTTGTTAATTACTTTTTGGTGGTTTTGGAGATCCTTTGTTCTTGTCTTCCTTTCTTGTTGTTTACCTCTGATTTAGTGGTTTTCTGTGGGGCCAAGCTTTGTTTTCATTCTCTTTCTTGTTTGTGTATCTGCTGTAACTTTTTTCTACATAGAGTCTTCAGTTAGGCTGGTGTGGTGGCTCTTGCCTATTATCCCAGCACTTTGGGAGGCTGAGGCAGGCAGATCGCTTGAGCTCATGAGTTTGAGACCAGCCTGGGCAACATAGTGAGACCTCGTTTCTACTAAATAAAGAAAAAAGAAATCAGCCGGGCATGGTGGCACACACCTGTAGTCTCAGCTACCCAGGAGGCTGAGGTGGGAGGACCACTTGAGCCTGGAAGATTGAGGCTGCAGTGAGCCATGATCAGGCCACTATGCTCTAGCGTGGGCATCAGAGTAAGACTGTCTCAAAGGGGAAAAAAAAAGTCTTGCAGTTACAATAGAATGTTTTAAGCTGATAGCAACTCAACTTTGGTTACATAAAAGGACCCTAGGTTTTTTCCCTCCCCCTTCAATTTATATTTTTGTTGCCTTAATTTTCTTCTTCATCTGTTATGTGTTCCTTAGCTACTATTTGTAGCTGTTGTAGTTTTTGACCATTTTAAATTTAACCTTCATACTAGCAGATTGAATATTTTATATGACATATTGTATCACTGGGGTTTGATCTGTTTGATTTATGAGTTTACCTTTACTGGTGAGTTTTATACTTTTGTGTGTTGTTATGATAGTGATTATTGTCCTTTTGTTTCTAGTTGTAGCATTCAATACCTTGAATATATTAATTCTATCCCATTCTCTGCTGGTCTACAAGGTTTCTACTGAGAAATCTATTGATAGTAATGGAGATTCTCTTGACAATTTTCTCTTGCAGCTTTGAAAGTCTTACTCTTTGACTTTCGATAGTTTGATTATAATGCACCTTGGAGAGGATCTTTTTGGGTTGAATGTAATTGCGAACCTTTGAACTTCCTGAATCTGGATGTCCGTATTTCTCCCACTACTTGGCAAGTTTTCAGCTATCATTTCATCAAATAGGTTTTCTGCGCCTTTCTCTATCTCTTCTCCATCAGGCAATCTTCAATGCAAGTATTTGTTTGCCTATTGATGTCCCATATGTTCCAAGGCTTTCTTTTTTATTCTTATTTGTTTTTTTTTCCCTCTTAATGGGTTATTTCAAAAGACCTGTCTTCAAGGTCAGAAATTCTTTCTTCTGCTTGATCCTAGTCTATTGTTGAAGCTCTCAATTGTATACTATTTTTATTTTTTTCATTGAATTCTTCAGTTCCAAGATTTCTGTTTGGTTCTTTTTTATGATATTGATTTCTGTTGAATTGCTCATTCGGATCATGAATTGTTTTCCTGATTTCATTTAATTGTTTGTCTGTATTCTCTTGTATCTTACTGAGTTTCCTTTAGATCACTATTTTGAATTCCTTTTCAGGCATTTTGTAAGTGTCCTTTTCTTTGGGGTCTGTCATTGGAGACTTTTTTCCTTTTTTTTTTTTTGAGACAGGGTCTTGCTCTGTCACCCAGGCTGAAGGGCAGTGGCATGATCTCAGCTCATTGCAACCTTCTCCTCCTGGGTTTAAGTGATCCTCCCACCTCAGCCTGCTGAGTAGCTAGGACTACAGGCGCATGCCACCACACCCGACTAATTTTTTTATATTTTGTAGAGACGGGTTTTGCCATGTTGCCCAGAATGGTCTTGAACTCCTGAGCTCATGCTATCTGGCTGTCTTGGCCTCCCAAAGTGCTGGGATTACAGATGTGAGCCACTGCGCCCAGCCAGGAGACTTAACCGTATTCCTTTGAGGGTGTCATGTTTCCTTGATTTTCATTTATCGTGTGCAAGATACTGGATGTTGATATGTGTGCATTTAGTAGCGTAGTTGCTCTTTTCAATTTTATTGAGTAGCTAGTATATAGTAACAGTCTTTTTCTGTAGATGGTTTTAGGGTATTAGCTGGGTATGGTGTGTTGCCTTTGGTTCTGGGTGGACTCAATGGGTGGTGTAATAATCCTTGTCAGCTTCAGCTGTAATCTTCAGCTATAATCCTAGTCATTGATGTTTGCAATTGCCTCAGTTGCCTAGGCTGTGGGAGTTTGTGATGGCAATGCTATAAGATGAGGGTACCGAGCTGATTTTTGGCCAAGACATGTACAGGCTAAAATGGCTGCCAGGCTGTCTATCTGGTTTTCCAGGGAGGCGGTAGTTACTGCTGTGGTGGCTGTCGTGCTGGGCTCAGGCCTTTGCTGCAGCGGCCTGCTGGGCAGCTCTGTGGCTACGTAGGGAGATGGGGCTACTGCCTGGTTGGCTGTTGCTTTGGGCTAGGCTCAAATGCTTTTGTGCAGTGGGGCTGGGCAGTTTGGCAGCAGTCTATGGTAGGGGGCCAGGGCTACCACAGGACCAGTTGGACTGTGTGCTGTGGGACTGTGGGACTCTATTGTGGCCTGTTTTAGGGGACAGGACCACTGAATTGCCAGCTATCAGGCAGGGCGTGGGCAGGTGGTTCTGTGATGGGTTGTGAGGAAGTAGGGCTGCCGCAGGATTGGCTTTTTGGCTGAGTACTGGCGCATGCATACTTGGCAGCCCAGATGGTTGTATGGAACAGGGGTGTTGGGTAAAGCGCTGCCAGCTATCTATTTGATGGCTTCCTTGCTGTGCAGGTCTGCCTGTTTTCTGGGTGGTTGGTAGCGCTGTGTGGGGTCTGATGCTGAAATCATCGTCACTCTGTTTGACCTAGACTCTATGTGGATGGGGTTATGGTGCTGCAGGCCATCGTGTGATCACGGTAGAATGATGGCTGGTTCTCAGGGATGAAGAGAGTCAGTTGCTACTGGTCCCCAGGGCAGGATGCACACTAGTAGTGAGTCTAGCTTCAACTTGGTGCCATGCTACAGCAGCTTAGGACAAGGTGGGCTCCCACTCTGAGGCAATACAGCTGAATGATCTCTTGGCTACTCTCCAGACTGGATTTGTGGCCACTGAGGACTTAAGGACTGTCCTTTATCAAGAATTGCTGGTGCCTGTGGCAGCAGTGGGGACCACTGATAGGTATCTCCAGCTTACTCTTTCCCTGTAAGAAGTTCCTCTGATTTTAAGCTGATTTTGGCAAGGGAGACAATGTGGCAGGTAGGAAGCCTCACCCTGTGGTGCTATCCTGAGGCTTCCATGTTCCACAGGGATTTTGCCCTTTCTCTGGTGCTCTGCAGCATATATCTACAGTCATTTTAGTTGAAATATAGTTATTTGTTATTTTGGTCTCTTTTTGTTGTGGGTGATGTGTGCCAGGTAACTCTGGTGAGCCATTTTTTTTAAACAAATCTGCATACAGATTGAGTATCCCCTATCCAAAATGCTTGAGACCAGAAGTGTTTTGGATTTTGTTTTGTTTTGTTTTGTTTTTGGATTTTGGAATATTTTATTTGTATTAGACTTACTTGTTGGGCATCCCAAATCTGAAATATGCTCCAAAATCCAAAATCTGAAGTGCTCCAGTGAACATTTCCTTTGAGCATCATGTTGGTACTCAAAAAGTTTTGGATTTTGGAGCATTTTGGATTTCAGATTTTTGGAATTGGGATGTTCAACCTGTATAATCTTTAGATCACCTGTTCAGCAAATCGACAAACACCGAGGACAGTTTCTGTCTGCAACGAAGTTGACAGTCAGGTAGCCAGGGATAGCTAATCAGTGAATAACAATACCTGGTACTGGTAGGAAAGAGCACCAACCACAACCACAGAAGCCTTCTTGGAGGAGCTGATCTCTGAACTGAGTTTTGAAGGATGAGTAACTAGGTAGCAATGCAGAGAAAGAGAAAATATGAGCAGGGATATAAAAGCAGTACATTATCATGCATAGCAATATACTAAGCTGCAATATCATACTAAACTACAAGCAGTCTAGTGCTTTCTAGTTGGGGGGTAATGTTCAATATAGGGGATCTGTAATGAGGTAAGTTGGAGAGGAAAACAGAAGCCAGGTTCTGCAACAACTTAGCTTTGTAGCCTCGAGTCTATCTTGCTTAAAAAGTGAATAGTTTCCAATCCCTTTGGCTTATAGCGTATGAAAAATTTTCTGATATGTGTTATATCAGAAAATTCAAAACCATGTAAAAGAGGTTAGCTTTTACTTATTTATAACTGCCCTCTTTGTGGGGCAAAGAAACTTGAGGTCCCAGTAAGCAGATTCATGGGACTATTTAGAATACAATCACTACTTTTATAAGCCTTAAGAAGTCATTGACCTTGAAAATTACAACATTTTCAGACTGTTAGGTTATAGACTTTTATGCCTGTAAGTCTGCCCATGACTGGTCTTTCCCAGGGTAAATGCAGATATTCCTAGTTAGTGGCAGTTTTATGTCTGATGTACTTATCACCCAGTTGCATAGACTTATGTTATTTATACCAGTTGAGCAGTTTTTGCTCTTCAAGCAGGTGTGATAATTGTTAAATATCTTGTATCTAAATTTCACATACATTTAATAAGGCTCTCAAGTGAAATGGTTTTCTCAGTGTTAAGTAAGGTTTTCATAGCATTAACTACCTAAATTTAGGTTGTTAAGTAGTGCTAGTAGTACAGTTGGAGAGATTCCATCTTAATCTAAACATATTTGTCTTGGTTAAAGTATACCAGAATGTAGCTTTTTTTCTCATTGGTGAGGTGCACTTTATAATGAACTCATTATCTTTTTGGTCCAAATCTGTTTCTCTATGTTTTCGTAAGTGATACTATCATCTGCTAAGTCATGAACCAGAGGAATTTAGGAATAGTTTTTCTATGTCTTACATCCATTGAGTCACAACTCATATCAGTTCTTCCTTCTTGACATCCCCTAAATCCATCCCTTCTCCATTTCCACTGGTCCTGCAGTAATAGACATCTCACCATTTTTCAAGTGGATTACTATGCTATAGGACTCTGTGTCTGTGGACTTAAAATGGAAAGCTTCACCTATTCTTAGGTGACATTGAAAATTTATTTCAAGTAATGATATTTAATTTTGGGGGGCACAAATTTGCATAGTACTCCCTCTGTGCTGCTGTGTTGGTTGAGCGTGCAGCTGAGGGCATTGGAGGAGGGCACTGGGAATTATGGATGAAGCAACTTACTGTGAAGTCATGAAAACTTTTATTCTAGTAGAAAAAAGCCAACAGCTAATGCTGGTGGTAAAAGTAGAGAGAGATTTAGGAGGTCTTAAGCGTTTATAGTTCTTATTTATAAAATTGTTGTTGGGATTTAAAAAATGGATGTTAGATATGACATTGACTCAGATCTGTGTAACAAAAGAAAAAGTGGTTTTGAAACTACTTTAGTCAAAATAGTACAGCAGTTGTTTTTGTGGAATCATAGGAAAGGTGTTAACTTGAGTAAGGACATTCCCCAGGAACATGTAATTTTCTATGAAAAATTTGGTTAGAGAAAAGATCTGAGCCTGTATAAGCATTTCCGCATTTATTAACTTAGGAATTAGAGAAGATCTCAGATAAATTTCTTAACGTCTAGGACCTGCTCCAACAGCCTCTGAAACTAGTCTTTTTGCTTTCATTTTGATTCCTTATGGTCCATTAGTCATACTGTTGCAAGATGGGCTTTATGAAATATAAATCTATGTTCTCCCTTACTTAAAATGAGTAAGTTGCCTAATCTCAGCCTCGTTTGTCATCTAGAAAATGGGGATAAGAGGTATATGGGATTATTGGGAAGAATAAATTGGAAAAATATAAGTAAAATATTTTATACATTGTTAAGCTCATTAGATGTTTAACAGGGATTATGTAATAATTATTTATAAGGCAAACCCCTTACTATGGCAAATAAGGCTCTTTATTATCCTATCTCTACTGCCTCATTTTCAGGAGCCCTATCTTACGTTCCATTCGTAAAACCACTTAATATTTCCCACTTGGCATTTGCACTGTGATTTTCATTTCTCCAAGTATACCTCTCCCTGCCTGTACCTTAATACTGCTTGTTCTCTCCATTCCCGTGTCATCATTCATAGATGTGTATTACAGCATTGCATACCTTGTCAGTTTCCCTTACTAGTCTGTGAGATTGTTGAGTGTACAGCTGTTGTCTTTTTATTTTTGTATTCTTGTTCCTGGTAACTGTAGACATATAATTGAATGGTTGCTAAATATTTGTTTAATTGAATGCATGAATGAATGAACAGATGAATGGAAAGAAGAATGAAAAGGAGTGGAGAGTAGTCGTTAAGGGAAAGGATTTTGGAGGCTGGATTTATCTCCTAGCTCTGGAATTTATTCTTTGTGACCGTCAATATGTTATTTAATCTTTTTGTGTCTTTTCTCCATATATAAAATGGGACTAATATAGTATTTACTTCTCAGGGTTATAGTGAGGATTTAAATGAGTTAATATACGTCTAAAGCCCTTAGAATAGTACATGACACATAGTGGCCGGGCGTGGTGGCTCACGCCTGTAATCCCAGCACTTTGGGAGGCCGAGGCAGGCAGATCACCTGAGGTCAGGAGTTTGAGACTAGCCTGCTCAACGTGGTGAAACCCCGTCTCTACTAAAAATACAAAAAAATTAGCTGGACATGGTGGCGGGCACCTGTAATCCAGCTACTCAGGAGGCTGAGGCAGGAGAATTGCTTGAACCTGGGTGGCGGAGGTTGCAATGAGCTGAGATCATGCCACTGCACTCCAGCCTGGGTGACAAGAGCAAAACTCCATCTCAGGAAGAAAAAAAAAAAGAAAGAAAGCACAGTAGGTGACACATAGTAAGCTCTATTTAGGTGTTAGCTGCTGCTAATATTTTTATTTTCCTGCTGATTCAGAACCCATAGCATCTTTACTGTCATGAATAATATTATCTTTATGCACTTAAATTGGCTATAGACTGAATTTTAAGATAATGTTCAAATCATAAAAGTTGTTTTATATGCTCTGGATTTTTCTTTTTATAGGGCTCTATGGAGCAAGTCAGTTCTCATTTCTTGGAGCAGACCCTTGACAAGAAGCTGATGTCAGATCTGAGGGTACCTTTTATTCTTCGTTGTTTAAACTGGGTTTCTGTAACCAATGTAGGGGGGCAGTATTGTGAGTTGTGTTGATTTAACTTAGCAGCATTTGTTAAATTAACGTATGAGAACTGTATTACATTTTAATTTAAAATCTTAGTAAATTGAAGCAAATAACAAGTGACTTCATTAAATTTCGTATTATTGTAATGAAATACTTTGCACAGGTTATGCTTTACAAAAAAGAGGCAAGATTAATTTTCTAAGCCAGGTGCAGTGGCTCACACCTGTAATCCCAGCACTTTGGGAGGCTGAGGCAGGTAGATCACTTGCGGCCGGGAGTTTGAGACCAGTCCGGCCAACATGATGAACTCCGTCTCAACTAAAAAACAAAAATTAGCTAGGTGTGGTGGCATGTGCCTGTAGTCCCAGCTACTTGGGTGACTGAGGCAGAGAATCACTTGAACCCTGGAGACCAGAGGTTGCAGTGAGCCGAGATCGCACCACTGCACTCCAGCCTAGGCAACAGAGTGGGACTCTGTCTCAAAAAACAAAACCCAAAAAACAACAACAAAAAACCCCCAGAAAACCCCAAAAGATTAATTTTCTATTTGTTAGGAACTACAAAGGCCCATTCTCATTTTGTGAGATGGTATGACATTTTAGGACTCCTTTTCAGCAGCAGTTACCATGGAAGACTGAGTAAAGCCTTTCTCCAAACAGTAACAAAATACCCCCCACCCCACGCCATTTTTTCTTCTTTTTTTTTTGAAACTGGGTCTCACTCTGTTGCCCAGGCTGGAACGCAGTGGCACAATCATTACTCAATGCAACTTTGATCTCCTGGGCTCAAGCATTCCTCCCACCTCACCCTCCTGAGTAGCTGGGACTACAAGCATACCTCACCATGCCCAGCTAATTTTTTTTATCTTTAGTAGAGATGAGGTCTTGCTCTGTTCCTCATGTTGGTCTTGAACTCCTGAGCCCAGGCAGTCTTCTTGCCTCTGCCTCCCAAAGTGCTGGGATTACAGATGTGAGCCATTGTGCCCGGCCCCAAATGCCTCTTATGAAATGCCCTTAAGCTTTGATTGTGATGGTTCACTAACGTGGTTTGCAGAACCAAATTTGAGTCTGAGAAAATAATATGTACATTCATTGTTAGTACCTCAATTTTGAAATTATAAAAGTGATATTATAGAGTTGTAGAATTTTTGATAAGGGAAAGGAAAACAATTTACCCATATGCCTGCTACCCTAATATAATGACTTTGGTCATTTTGGTATATGTCTCTCAGCTCTTTTTCTGGTGCGTGGTTTTTTTGTTTGTTTGTTTGTTTTGTTTTGTTTTGTTTTGTTTTGTTTGAGACAGGGTCTCGCTCTGTCGCCCAGGCTGGAGTGCAGTGGTGCGATCTTGGTTCACTGCAACCTCTGCCTCCTGGGCTCAAGTGATCCTCTCACGTCGGCCTCCTGAGTAGCTGGGACTACAGGTGTGTACCACCACACCCGGCTAATTTTTTGTAGTTTTTTAGAGATGGGGTTTCATGAGAGGCTGATGTATAAAGCAGAGTGCCAGGTCATTCATTTGTGATGAGAACCATAACTGTCAAGTGGACTGGATACACTAACCGGTATATTCCACCTTAGGCAATCTCTGTGTAAAGTGAGTTTACTAGATTATTTAGTGACTGTACTGTAGCTGAAATAGAACGCAATGTTGCCAAATAGAAAAATACTTTTACTGGGACTGAAGATAATTTTTTTTTTTGAGGCAGAGTCTCACTCTGTCGCCAGGCTGGAGTGCAGTGGCATGATCTCGGCTCACTGCAACCTCCACCTCCTGAGTAGCTGGGACTACAGGCACGTGCCACCACGCCCAGCTAATTTTTGTACTTAGAGTAAAGATGGAGTTTCAACATGTTGGCCAGGATGGTCTCAATCTCCTGACCTCATGATCAGCCTGCCTTGGCCTCCCAAAGTGCTGGGATTACAGGTGTGAGCCACCTGCTCCCTGCCCGATAATTGTTGTATTGTCTACCCAAGATGGTTTTTTGGAGGGGCACTGCCATTATTTGCCTCTCTGGCTCTCTCTTTTCCTATGTTGCTGCCACAGCAAACATAACCAACTTTCTTAACACATTCTTCAGCTATCTTTATCCTCTTTAATTAGGTACTTTCAGCTATTATAGACCAGCAAGGCTTTGGTTTCATTTTAAGTTGAATTTGCATTTCTCTTGTATGAACTACTGATAATTTTTACAAACGTAACTCTCAAAGAGCAGTTTTATTTTCTGCCTTCCCATGTTCTCAGGGTTCATCTTAGTGTTCCTTCATGAACCTCCTACAATTGGTAATTGTTGTTGTCCTCTGCAGAGGAAACGTACTGCACATGAGCGTGCCAAGGAACTTTACAGTTCAGGGGAGTTTTCCAGTGGCAGAAAGTGGGAAGATGATGCTCCCAAGGAAGAAGTAGATACCGGGGCTGTGAACTTGATTGAGTCAGGAGCTTGTGGAGCTTTTGTTCATGGGTTGGAAGATGAGATGTATGGTAAGTATGACTGTATAATAGCAATAGCACTCTTTAAGTGACTGCTGTGTGTCAGGCATTGTACTGGGTGATACACATGTATCGTTTCATTTAGTCCTCACAGTAACTCTGGGAAGTACTTACTATGCTTTTTATTTTACACACAGAAGAGACTGAGGCCCCAGTAGTATGAGACAATGGTAAAGAGCAAGAGATTTGGGTTCAGTCAATCTATATTTAAATTCCAGCATTTTTATAAAACAGGGATAATAATAACTATCTTTCTGAGTTGTGAGAATTAAATGAGGTTCTGTATACATAAAGCACTTGGCATAATACATGTGCCTATTTATAATAAGCACTTAATAATTGGTAATTAAAATTGATATTAATAAAAATAATAACTTGATATTACTTACCCAGCTAGTAAGAGACAGAGCAAGATTTAAACCTAGGTATGTCTGACTGCCAAACCTTTATATGACTGATGAATATTTTATTTCACCTTCATTTTTGAAAGATATTTTTGGGCCAGGCGTGGTGGCTCACACCTGTAATCCCAGCACTTTGGGAGGCTGAGGCTGGAGGATCACTTGAGGCCAGGAGTTCAAGACCAGCCTGGTTAACATGGTGAAACCCTGGATCTACTAAAAATACAAAAAATAGCTGGTATGGTGGCATGCACCTGTAATCTCAACTGCTAGAGAGGCTCAGACACAAGAATCACTTGAACTCAGGAGGCAGAGGTTGCAGTGAGCTGAGATCGTGCCACAGCACTCCAGCCTGGGCAAGCAACAGAGCAAAACTCTGTCTCAAAAAATAAATAAATAAATAAATAAATATAGAAAGATATTTTTGTGGGAATCCAATTCTAGATTAATAAGTTTTTTTTTTTCCAAGAGACTTTTTTGTTTTTTGAGACAGGGTCTCACTGTGTCACCCAGGCTAGAGTGTAGTGGTGTGATCACAGCTCACTGAAGCCTTGACTTCCTGGACCCAAGCAATCCTCCCACCTCAGCCTCTCGAGTAGCTGGGACCAGAAGCACATGTCACCATGCCCGGCTAATTTTTTAATTTTTTGCAGAGACAGGGCCTCCCTATATTGTCCAAGCCAGTCTTGAACTCCTGGGCTCAAGTGATCCTTTTGCCTTGGCCTCCTAAAGTGTTGAGATTGCGGGCGTGAGCCACTGTGCGTGGCCTCTACCAGTCTTTTAATGATATTGCTCCATAGTTTTCTGTTGAGAAATCTGCTGTCGTTTTTATCTTCCTCTGTATATAATGTGTCTTTTTATCTCAAGCTGCTTTTAAGATTTCTCTTTATCACTGGTTTTAAACAATTTGATTATGATATGCCTAGGTATAGTATAGTTCATGTCATGTTTCTTTTGTTTGGAGTTTGTTGAGCTTCTTGAATCAAATAGTTTTCATCACAGTTGGAAATTTTTTTTTGCTATTATTTCTTTCTCTCTCTTTTTTTTTCGGGGGGTGTGGCGGGGACAGAGTTTTGCCCAGGCTGAAGTGCAGTGGTGTGATCTTGGCTCACTGCAATCTCTGCATCCTGAGTTCAGGCAATTCTCGTGCTTCAGCCTCCCCAGTAGTTGGGACTGCAGGTGCCCGCCACCACTCTCGGCTAATTTCTGTATTTTTAGTAGAGACGGGGTTTTGCCATGTTGCCGAGGCTGGTCTCAAACCCCTGAGCTCAACTTATCTGCGCGCTTCAGCCTCCCAAAGTGCCGGGATTACAGGTGTGAGCCACCATACCCAGCCACTATTATTTTTTTAAATTTCTCTGACTCTACAGGCCCTTTGGCGACTTTCATTACACATGCATTAGGATACTGACATTGTTTTGCAGCTCACTGATGCTCTATTCTTCCTTCCTTCCTTCCTTCCTTCCTTTCTTTCTCCAGTTTTTATTTTCTCTTTGTGTTTGATTTTGGATAGTATCTATTGCTTTGTCTTTGAGTGTTGCAAGATATAATCTGATGTTAATCCCACCCAGTATATTTTTCATCTCGGACATGTAGTTTCTGTCTCTAGAAGTTTGATTAGAATTTGGGTTTTTTCCACCCTGGACCACATAAGGAGACCCTATCTCTACAAAAAATTTAAAATTAGCCAGACATGGTTGTGCATTGCCTTTAGTCCCAGCTACTTGGGAGGCTGAGGCAGGAGGATTGCTTGAGCCCAGGAGTTAGAGGTTGCAAGGAGCCATGATCACACAAGTGCACTCCAGTCTGGGTGACAGAGCAAGACCCTGTCTCAAAAAAAAAGAAGAAAGAGTTTGGGTCTTTTTAGTATCTACCATGTCTTTCTTAACATACTTAATCTTTCCTCTAGCTTTGTCAACAGATAATATGTTTATATTGTCTTACTATCCTTGTTTACTAGGACTATTATTTCTGTGATTCCTAGGTTGGTTTTGATTGATTTTTTTTCTTCCAGTATTATATATTCATCCTGTGTATATTCCATCCTGTGTCTTTTCATGTCTGATAATTTTTAATTGGATGCCAGACATTATAGATTTCACTTTATTGGATACTGAACATTATTTTATTCCTATAAATATTTTTGAGCTTTGTTCTGGGATCCATTTTTTCAGGTCTTATACTTTGTTAGGCAGGATTAGAGTAGCATTTAGCCTACAGCTTACTTTTCTCCACTAGTGAAGCAAAAAACTCTTCTTTTTCACTACTTGAAGCACAAAACCTCTTCTTTTCTTTTTTCTCTCTCTCTTTTTTTTTTTTTTTTTTTGAGACAGGATCTTGCTCTGTTGCCCAGGCTGGAGTGCCAAGGTACAGTCACGGCTCGCTGCAGCCTTGACCTCCTGGGCTCAAACAACCTTCCCACCTCAGCCTCCTGAGTAACTAGGACCACAGGTGGGCACCACCACACCTGGCTAATTTTTGTATTTTTTGTAGAGATGGGTTTTGCCATGTTGCCCAGGCCAGGCTTGAAGTCCTGGCCTCAAGCAATCCGGCCACCTCAGCCTCCCAGAGTTTTAGGATGACAGACATAAGCCACCACACCTGGCTGCAAAATTCTTCTAAGTTAACTGTGGTTTTATAGGCCCTGTGTGACCTCTGGAGATTGTTTCCTCTCATTGTTTTGAGTGGTTCTTTTCCAGGCCTCAGATGGTCTCTGTCGCACAGATCAGAATTCAGCTGAAGACTTGAGGCGACCATCTGCAGATCTCCCAAGCTCTCTGTCTCTCTGTGTAGTTCTCTCCTTTCCAGAAATTTGCTCTATGAACTCTAGCCACATTGGACTTCCCAAACTCCTAGCTCAATCTTCTCAACTCAGGGAGAGAAGACCTAGTGCCTGGAGTCTCTCTAAACGGAATTGTAATCATTGAGATCACCTCATTTATTTCCCATCTCTCAGGGATTGCAGTCCTTTATTGCCAGATGCCCAGTGTCTGGAATGCTGTTGTTTCATATATTTTGTCTCTGTCTCATCCTTGGAGGAAAAAGCCGGTCCTCATTACTCCATCTTGTAATAGACATCCTATAAAGCCCATGTGATTTCCGTATGCTGTCTGTCTCACGTACATCTCAGAATTTCAGTGCTTTGAGATGATTGACTCCAGCCTCTTCATTATCAGCAAGGGTAACAGACCTGGTGAGGTAATGTTGATTGTCCACGTTTTACAGTAAATTTGTGCCAGAGACCTGTGCCAGGTCTTAAAAATGCCTATACAATCATACCTCAGGATAGAACTGCTTCTTAGAAGGGCAAGAATATTATTTTTGAAAGAAAGTTTTTCATCAGTAGATGTAAGAATTGGGTTATCCTATCATTTGTTCTAAAATGTTCCATATGTATAGAAAGTAAATCTACCTCTGCTTTTTGATTCTCTATGAACTTAAAATATGAATTACAATTTAAATAATATTGGATAATAAGGAAGTCCAGTTATTAAAACCTATTTTACTCTAAAATGAGTAACTGAAACCTATTTTGTTTCTATTAGCATTTTTGCTTTGTTGCGTTTCTACAACTGAATTTCATCACTTTTAACATTTATATGATTTAGTTATACAGTTTTCAGTTTGCCATTAAGATTTTTTAAATACTTTTTTTTATACTTTTAAGTTCTGGGGTACATGTGCAGAACGTGCAGGTTTGTTACATAGGTATACATGTGCCATGGTGGTTTGCTGCACCCGTCAACCCGTCATCTACGTTAGGTATTTCTCCTAATGCTATCCCTCCCCCAGCCCCCCACCCCCTAACAGGCCCCAGTGTGTGATGCCCCCCCACCTGCAGTGTCCATGTGTTCTCATTGTTCACCTCCCACTTATGAGTGAGAACATGCGGTGTTTGGTCTTCTGTTCTTGTGCTAGTTTGCTGAGAATGATGGTTTCCAGCTTCATCCATGTCCTTGCAAATAACATGAACTCATCCTTTTTTATGGCTGCGTGGTATTCCATGGTGTATATGTGCCACGTTTTCTTTATCCAGTCTATCACTGATGGGCCTTTGGGTTGGTTCCAAGTCTTTACTATTGTGAATAGTGCTGCAATAAACATATGTGTGCATGTGTTTTTATAGTAGAATGATTTATAAGGCTTTGGGTATATGCCCAGTAATGGGATTGCTGGGTCAAATGGTATTTCTGGTTCTAGATCCTTGAGGAATCGCTACACTGTCTTCCACAATGGCTGAACTAATTTACACTCCCACCAACAGTGTAAAAGTGTTCCTGTTTCTCCACATCTTCTCCAGCATCTGTTGTTTCCTGACTTTTTAATGATCGCCATTCTAACTGGTGTGAGATGGTATCTCACTGTGGTTTTGATTTGCATTTCTCTAATGACCAGTGATGATGAGCTTTTTTTAATATGTTTGTTGGTTGCATAAATGTCTTCTTTTGAGAAGTGTCTGTTCGTATCATTTGCCCACTTTTTGATGGGGTCATGGTTTTTTTCTTTTTTGTGTGTGTGAATTTAAGTTCCTTGTAGATTCTGGATATTAGCTCTTTGTCAGATGGATAGGTTACAAAAATTTTCTCCCATTGTGTAGGTTGCCTGTTCACTCTGATGATAGTTTCTTTTGCTGTGCAGAAGCTCTTTAGTTTAATTAGATCCCAGTTGTCAATTTTGGCTTCGTTGCCGTTGCTTTTGGTGTTTTAGTCATGAAGTCTTTGCCAATGCCCGTGTCCTGAATGGTATTGCCTAGATTTTCTTCTAGGGTTTTTATGGTTTTAGGTCTTACATTTAAGCCTTTAATCCATCTTGAGTTAATTTTTGTATAAAGTATAAGGAAGGGATCCAGTTTCAGTTTTCTGCGTATGGCTAGCCAGTTTTCCTAACACCATTTATTAAATAGAGAATCCTTTCCCTGTTGGTTGTTTTTGTCAGGTTTGTCAAAGATCAGATGGTTGTAGATGTGTGGTGTTATTTCTGAGGGCTCTGTTCTGTTCCATTGGTCTATATATCTGTTTTGGTACCAGTACTATGCTGTTTTGGTTACTGTAGCCTTGTAGTATAGTTTGAAGTCAGGTAGCGTGAGGCCTCCAGCTTTGTTCTTTTTGCTTAGAATTGTCTTGGCTATGTGGGCCCTTTTTTGGTTCCATACTAGTATATATATTTAAGGGGTACATGAGATGTTTTGATACAGGCATGAAATATGAAATAATCACATCATATAGATAGGTATCCATCTCCTCAAGGATTTATCCTTCGTGTTGCAAATGTTATTAAGATGTAATCAAATTAACTTAAGTTTAAAAAGTGAGTATACCATAACCAGGTATCAGGTATGACAGCTTTCTAATTTTATCACATTTATACAATTCTGGGAAAATTTGGGTTTTAGGGGTGCATTGCTGGGAATGAAATGGAGCCTTATTTCGCTGGCTGTTCACTCTAGTGTAGTGCCTCACATACTTCTAGTCTTCTAATTTATCCATCTTCTCTCTCCTTTTTGGGACTTTGTGCATGCAGCTTTTCTTCTAGAAAGGCCTTTTTCTTTCTTTTGGCTTAGCAGCTCTTTTAGTTATTGTTTTTAGGGATCACGTATTACAGAAAGCCACCTCTGATCCCATTGATTGGGCTATATTTCTTCATATGCATTTTCTTACATTCCCTGTGCTTTTCCATGGCAACAGTCATCACTCTGTAATGCAATTAACTGTTCTTATTTGTAAGCCTGGGGGATAGTCTTGCTTTTGTTCATCTTTGTGTCTTTAGTACTAAGTACAAACCTAATAGGTAGCTAAGTCTGGACCCAATTATACATGTGCAGATGCTGACGATCAGTCTTTTTTAAAATATAGTATAGTAGATTCCTTTTCTCTGCTCTGTACCCATGGGGAATCTGTGACATATTATTTATTTATTTTTAATTAACTTTTTTTATAGAGATGGGGTCTCACTATGTTGCCCAGGCTGGTGTTGAACTCCTGGGCTCAAGTGATCCTCCTGCCTTGGCCTCTCAAAGTGCTGGGATTATAGGCGTGACATGCCTGGCCGACGTATCTTCAACGTTCCAAAAAGTTCAGTGGAAAATATCAATTTTCTTGCTTATAGTCTGGCCGTTCAGGCAAAGTAAAATACCACATTTCTTTGCTTCTGCTTGGAACTGTATCAGCTGAGGTCACACTGATTATCTCTTTCTGATCAGAAATTCCTTCCTGATTGCCTTGGTGGACTTGCAAACGTTACATATGAGTCAGTGTGGTGTAATGGTTAAAATTCTAGGAGGAAGAGCCAGCACTTAACATGTTTGGGTTTATCTCTAGCTTGCCTTATAATTAGCAATTTCATGTTTAAATTATATTATTGTGAAATGAAGAAAATTGTTCTCTTCTGATGAAAAGGAGGAATTCATAACTACCAAGAAAAACCTGAATCATCTGTCTTTAATGTAGTAACTCTACTTTTAACATGTCTATAAAACCTTTCTTTATACAAAGAGGAAATTGTGTTTGTGAGTTTTAACCACAACTTTAGGTACTTTTTGTTTTGTTTGTTTTGGAATAGTCCATTTTGTTACAGAAGCATATGGGAATCACTAGAAAAAAACAACCATGTATAGAAGTCTTGTGAGCATTTTCTGTGTCTTACTCATTTCTCATCTTTGTATCCTAGCCCTTAGTACTGCACCTAGCATATAGTACGTGTTCAGGACCCATTTATTAGTGAATGAAGAAAGGGCTTCCTCGGATCAGTGGCTTTATTGTTTACATGTTCTGAGCATGCCAAGGGGTGGAAAACATGCCTCTGTTTTCAGGGTGCTTACAGAACCCAAACCTATACCCTAGGTGATACTTATTGAGCCCTTAAAATATGCCAGGCAGAGTCCCTATGTGCTTTACCTGTATTATCTCATTTAGTCCTAACAACTCTGTAAGGAAATGAGTATTATGTCCATTTACCAGGTGAGAAATTTGAGGTGCCAGGAAGTTGAGTTACTTATTCAAGATCACCCTCCAACTTAGTGGAGGGATCATTCACTACAGTGTGCTCTGAGACCTCTATCATTCCAAGCATGTATCCTTAACCACTATATGATTTTAGCCTACAATCAACAGACCTGAGTATTGGTCCTAGTCCTGCCCTCATTCACTTTGAGGCAAGTTAATCCACGTTGCTGAATCTTACCTGTAAAATTCGAACAATGATATTTAGTCTACTTTAATCTTAATAATAATGATAACATTATTTACTAACTGACTTTTTAAAAAGTACTGTGGTCGGAATACTGAGATAAGTAAGACAATTTAATTTTCAAGAAGTTAATGTAGACAGACATGTAGACAGACTCATCACATATATGTGGAGTCAGATTTAAGCCATAGTCCTTGTGATACTAAAGTCCATGTTCTTAGATCGATGTTAAGGTGGGTGGTATGTGAAACTGTGGGCATAGAGATCTCCCAGGGAGAGTTTATAGAATGAGAGGAGTAGAGAATAGAAGACAGCCTGAAGGAGAATGAATCCATCTTGGACTTTTCCCATGGCTCTTAATTTGATATGAGTTACTTTATATATATATAAAATATGGGGCTTCAGTGTGTTGCTCAGGCCAGCCTTGAACTCCTGAGCTCAAATGATCCTCCCACCTCAGCTTCCTGAGTAGCTGGGACTTTGGTGTATGGCATTGCACCTGGCTGATGTGCAGTTTTTGTTTTTTTGTTTTTGGAGTTTTTTTTTTTTTTGAGACAGGGGCCCAGTCTGTCACCAGGACGGAGTGTAGTGGCACAATCATGGCTCACTGCAGCCTCAAACTCCTGGGCACAAGTGATCTTCCTCCCTCAGCCTCCCAAGTAGATGGGACTATAGGCGTGCGCCACCACACTTGGCTAATTTGTTTTTTGTGTGTTTTGTTTTGAGATAGGGTCTCGTTCTGTCACCAGGCTGGAGTGCAGTGGCACGACCTTGGCTAACTGTAATTTCTGCCTCCCAGGTTCAAGTGATCCTCCCATCTCAGCCTCCCAAGTAGCTGAGAGAACAGGCGCACACTACCACAGCCAGCTAATTTTTTAATATTTTTGGTAGAAACAGAGTTTTACCACATTGCATAGGCGGGCTCAAGTGGTCTGCCTACCTTGGCCTCCCAAAGTGTTGGGATTACAGGCATGAGCCACTGTGCCCAGCCTGATGTGCAATTTCATTTGTTCTTTTTTCTAGAGGTTCGTATTGCTGCTGTGGAGGCCCTCTGCATGTTGGCCCAGTCTTCACCCTCTTTTGCTGAGAAGTGCCTTGATTTCCTAGTTGACATGTTCAACGATGAAATTGAGGAAGTACGTCTGCAGTCCATACATACCATGAGAAAAATCTCTAACAACATCACCCTCCGAGAAGATCAGCTTGACACTGTCCTGGCTGTGCTAGAGGTGAGTGTTCCTAATTTGTTACTCATTTCTTCATCCCTCACCCCCCCCCGCCCGTTAAAATCAGGTATTGGTGACAGAACAGTATATCGGGCAGCACAGTTCTGTTTTCTCACCATATCCCTCCCCTAAGATGGAAGAAATTGACTGTGAAACAGGAAATTTGAATAAGCTTGGTCTTTCTGTGATCAAGAAAGGATAGGATGCCTAGGGAATACATAGTGTCTAACCTGAATTGGCTGAGGTGAGGTTGGGAAGAAGGAGGAAGTGCTGTAGTGGACACTTGAAGGAGGAATAGGACTTAACTGGGCTTTTTTTTTTCCTTCTTCTTTTGAGACAGGGTCTCACTCTGTCACTCAAGCTGAAGTGCATCTTTTTTAAAGGAGAAGTGACACTGGTGGTAGGATGAAAGGGTACCAGACAGAGGGAGCAATGTCTAAAGATGCAGAGATAAGACAGAATATGATATATTCAAGGAACTAAAAAGAGTTTATTATAATGATAGCGTAGAGTTGAAGAGATGGAAGAGTGGAGGAAGTGGCTATAGATAAGGTAGGGGCTAAATAATGAAGAGTTCTTTTCAACCTTTAATTTGATTTTATTCTTGTAGTGAATCATAGGCTGTTATAGCAGCAAGTGCTCTTAGGGATTGATTCATTCTACCCTGAGAATTTTATAGAGAAAAAAATAAGTTGTCTGAGTTAGTGGCTGAACCAAAATGTAAACACAGAGTTGCTTCCCAGGCCGTACAGCTCTAGGTAGTTCTTGTATTATTTTTCTAAAATGTCTGGATTTTAATTGCAACTACTCAAGTTCTTCAGAGTATTCATAAATGGGGTTTGTCCTCTGGTTTCCTTTTTGGGGAAGATGGGGTTCAGATGTGAAAGGGATAGTAATTAGGTGCTTAGTTTTTAGAACACTTGTAACAGATTTCTACTGCATACTTTAAAGAATAGCTGGTGCTTTGGTTTTGAAGGTCCCTACCATTCTCTCAGCTGCTTAGCACTTCTACTAAGATTTTTCCTGAATTATAAATCTTTATAATTTTTTCATGTATTTTTTCCTAAAAATAAGTTTACATTCTATGTGTGGTTCTTCATGGGTGGCCTCATACATAGCCTAGCCACTCCTTTCCTTTTTAGCTTTCTTCTCCACCATTCCTCACCTTGAACTTTATGCTGAAGTCACTTTCCTACACATATGGCTTTTCCTCACAATTTTACCTTCAATGTAATTTCCCCCTCAGTTTGCAAAACTGCCACTTTAACCCAGGAGACGTCCACTTATTCCCACAGCCTATATTAGGTAACATATCCAGGAAGCCTTCCCTAACTGTTACTCCCAGCCCTGGATGGGCTAAATGCCACCACTCTATTCCCATAGCACTCTGTGTATACTGCTCTAGCATTTTTCAGTAATTCTCTGTTTCATAAGACTGTGAGCTCCTCAAGGTGTCTTGGCTTTTCTTTTCTCTTTTGTTTTCCTTTCCTTTCCTTTTTCTTTTCCTTTTTCCTTTCCTTTCCTTTTTTTTTTTTTTTTTTTTGTTTTTTGTTTTTTGTTTGTTTGTTTGTTTGTTTTTTGCTTTTTGAGGCTGAGTCTCGCTCTGTTCCCCAGGCTGGAATGCAGTGGTGCGATCTTGGCTTACTGCAACCTTCACCTCCTGGGTTCAAGCAATTCTCCTGCCTCAGTCTCCTGAGTAGCTGGGATTACAGGCACGCACTACAATACTAATTTTTATATATATTTTTTTAGTAGAGATGATGTTTCACCATATTGGCCAGGCTGGTCTCGAACTCCTGACCTCAAGTGATCCACCCACCTTGGCCTCCCAAAGTGCTGGGATTATGGTGTGAGCCACCATGCCCAGCTGACTCTTCATTTTTTTATTACCAATGTCTTGCAGCAGTGTCTGGCACAATTAGGTGCTCGGCAAGTGTTTGCTGAGTAGCTGAGCTATGTTCCAAGCTATGTTTTGATGTACAGAATTGTTCACAGGTATGCTTATTTGTGAGTACTTATGTATATAACTCACAAAGAATCCTTGCTTTTTAATTCTTTTCAGGAGTTCAGACCCATATAAACTTACAGTAGACTATTCTTCCACCCTGCTGTGCACTGCTCCCTTATATTTTCTGTGTCACTGTGCTTCATTGCTTTGAGCCTTACCTTGCTGACCCTTCCAGGTGGAATTTGCCTTTTTTTTTTTTCCTGCTATGTCAAGATCCTACCCTGCCTAGAAAAACTCACTTCTTTATTCAACAAGCACTGTCTATGTATTAGAAATATAGGGATATCAAAACAGACAGGATCCCTGCTGTCATAAAACTTATATTCTAAAGAGAGGTGGAGTAAACAAACAAAATGATTTCAGATGGTGATAAATGTTTTGCAGAAGATAAACAGTATGATGGAGGAATGGGGAATTTCTCTGTAATTTGAGTGGTTAGTAAAGACTTTCTGAGGAGATGATGTTCAAGTTGAGTCTTGAATGGTAAACAGAAGCTAGCTATGTGAAGACCGGGAGAATAAATTCAGGTAGAGGCAACAGCTAGTGGGAAGGCTCTAAAACACAAGTGAGCTTTGTTGTGTTTGCAGAATAGAGAGAAAGCCAGTAGGAGTGAACCACAGTGAGAAAGTAGAAATGTGGCATGAAATGAAGTCTGAGAGGGGATTAGGGAGAGGTGGAGAGCCTTGTAGGCCATTTTAAGATGTCTGGATTTTATTCTAACATTATGGAAAACTGTTGCAGAATTTTATGGATAGGAGTGACATTTCGATTTGCCTCTCTTTTAACATTTCTCATTCTTGAAATCTTGAAATTCACTTCAGATAGATCGACTCTTTCCCTCACTCCTCCATTTAGCACATACAGGTATACCTCTCTTTATTGGGCTTTGCAGATATTGTATTTTTTTAATAAATTGAGAGATTGCGGCAACCATGCATTGAGCAAGTCTATCAGTGCCATTTTTCCAATAGCATGTGCTCACTTTATGTCTGTGTCACATTTTGGTAATTCTTGCAATATTTCAAACTTTTTCATTATTACATCTGTTACAGTGATCTGTGATCAGTGATCTTTGATGTTACTGTTGTAATTGCTTTGGGATGCCACAAACTGTGCCTGTATAAGATGGCAAACTTAGTAAGTGTGTGTGTTCTGAGTGTTCTGCTAACTGGCCATTCCCAGCCTCTCTCTTAGCCTTTCTTCTTAGCCTGTCCTTTTTCCTAGTTGCAAAAAGGCTCTTGTACCTTCAGCATCATGATTGAGTCCCAGATAGGATGGAAAAGGAAGGTTAAAGAAGAAAGGGGATAAAGCTACTGCCTCTGGTCCTTTATCAATAAAATGAAAGATATTTCAGGAATTTCATCCAAAAAACTTCCACATACTTTGTTACATGGCCACCCTAGATGGGAAGGTGGCTGGGGAGAAGGGGATGGTAGATAGAGGCTGAGTCTGCTAACCAACAGTAACTACTATTATTATTACTTTTTTTTAAAAGGATTCAGCCAGAGATATTCGAGAGGCTCTTCATGAACTCTTATGCTGTACTAATGTTTCAACCAAAGAAGGGATTCATCTTGCATTGGTGGAGCTGCTGAAAAATTTAACCAAGTACCCTACTGATAGGGACTCCATATGGAAGTAATGACTTTTTTGCCCATTTACTCACTGAGTCGCATAATGTGGTAAATGTACAATGCTGACATTTGTTCCGTCCTTATAGATTGAGGGTGGTACGGCCCTGAATTTTGCCTTTACTTTAGAAACCTGATTGAACTTAACCGCTCTCAGGAATCTGATTCCTAAGCTGAATATCACATTTTAGATTACTTACTAATTTGTGCATCTATCCACCTAGCAAATATTATGTGCCTGCTGTGTGCTGACTACGCACCAACCCTTGTGGTAGCTGTTACAAGTATAGAAATAAATTAATTAGATTTCCTCTTTCTCCTATATAGTGTTTTGTTTTGTTACTTTTTTTTTTTGAGATGGAGTCTCGCTCTGTCACCCTGACTAGAATGCAGTGGCGTGATCTCAGCTCACTGCAACTTCTGCCTCCTGGGTTCAAGCGATTCTCCTGCCTCAGCCTCTCGAGTAACTGGGATTATAGGTGCACGCCACCATACCCAACTAATTTTTGTTTTTTTTTTTAGTAGAGATGGGGTTTTACCATGTTGGTTAGGCTGGTCTTGAACTCCTGACCTCAGGTGATCCACCTGCCCTGGCCTCCCAAAGTGCTGGGATTACAGGCATGAGCCACTGTGCCCGGCCTTATTATTTTTTATTCATTAAGTTCTGGTTTAGAAGGTGCACTTAATTGGCTGGGTGCAGTGGCTCACGCCTATAATCCCGGCACTTTGGGAGGCTGGGGCGGGTGGATCACCTGAGGTCAGGAGTTCAAGACCAGCCTGGCCAACATGGTGAAACCTCATCTCTACTAAAAATGCAAAAATCTGCTGGGCGTAGTGGCACATGCCTGTAATCCCAGCTACTCGGGAGGCAAAGGCAGGAGAATCGCTTGAACCCTGGAAGCAGAGGTTGCAGTGAGCCGAGATTGTGCCACTGCATGCCAGCCTGGGCAACAGAGCAAGACTCAGTCTCAAAAAAAAAAAAAAAAAACCATAAACAATAATAAAAATGTATAATTACCTTGCTTGTATAGTTCCTTATAGTTTATAAAGGGCCCTCAGGTAGTTATAATAGCTAACATTGAGTTCTTACTATGTGACAGACACTTTGCTGAGTACTTTATGTTAGTTATTTAATGCATATAGCAACTCTATGAAGTAATGACTTTTAATCTCATTTTGTAGATGAAAAAATTTACTTGCATAAGGCTACTTAGTTTCAGACAGATCTGTGATTTCAGGACTTCACCCAGGATATCAATTAGAATGTTTTTGCCCACAAATAAAAAAGACAATCTGATTAAAAATATCTTAGCCAATAAGTCTGTTTTTTCATAACGAGGTCAGAAGGTTGGTTTCAGGATTGGTCATTCAACAGGTTACCAGGGCTCTCTTTGGTTTCTCTGCAGTTCTCTTGGCTCTTTTTTTTTTTTTTTTTTTTTTGAGACAGAGTCTCTCTTTATCGCCAGGGTGGAGTGCATTGGCATAATATCGGCTCACTGAACCTCCGCCTCCCAGGTTCAAGCGATTCTCCTGCCTCAGCCTCCCGAGTAGCTGGGACTACAGGCCCGTGCCGCCATGCCCAGCTAATTTTTGTATTTTTAGCAGAGATGGGGTTTCACCATGTTGGCCAGGATGGTCTTGATCTCTTGACCTCCTGATCCAGCCATCTTGGCCTCACAAAGTGTTGGGATTATAGGCGTGAGGCACCGCACCCGGCCGGCTTTCTTCTCATGGTTGTAAGATGGCTGCCTCATAAGATAATATCTCAAGACAGAAAGGAAGGGTCATTCCCTTTCATGCATTGCTCTTTTGATTTGCAAAAACATCCCTGAGAAGCTCCCCAGCCAGCATACTCTCGTGCTCCATTGTCTAGAACTGGCTTACTTGCGTACCAGCAAACCAGTCACTGGAAAATGGGAATGGGGTTGCCATGATGGGTTTAGACCAATAGTGGTTCAGCTCTTGGGCTGGACCTGCCTTTTCCGAGCACTTTGCTGCCTGCCTGATACCTGAGTAAAATCAGGGCTCTCTCAGGAAGAAAGATGGGGGAAATGGCTGTTGGTTAAATAAACAGTTCTTTTATCTTTATAATAACCAGTTTTTTTAGATGAATTAACCAAGTTCCAGAATAACTGGGTGACTTATCTGAAGTCATAGAGTTAGCAAAAGTATATGGTTGAGAATTTCCAATTCCAGTTCAGGTTTTCTGATTCCAGTTCCTAGTACTTTTCAAAGGACTAACTTTACTAATTTGTTGATGTGCATTCTTATTTGTTTGTTTCAGGTGCTTGAAGTTTCTGGGAAGTCGGCATCCAACCCTGGTGCTTCCCTTGGTGCCAGAGCTTCTGAGCACCCACCCATTTTTTGACACAGCTGAACCAGACATGGATGATCCAGCTTGTATCCTCTGTGCTTAGGATGGGCCCTGATGTGTTGGCAGGCAGCTTTGGCATCTCCTTCTGCAGTGTAGCTAGGGTGGTCTGAGTTTTCTTTTCTTTGCTTTTCTTTCCTTTTTTTTTTTTTGAAGACAGAGTCTCATTCTGTCACCCAGGCTGGAGTGCAGTGGCTTGATCTCGGCTCACTGAAACCTCTGCCTCCCGGGTTCAAGCAATTCTCCTGCCTCAGCCTCCTGAGTAGCTGGGATTATAGGCGCCCGCTACCACACCCAGCTAATTTTTGTATTTTTAGTAGAGACGGGTTATCACCATGTTGGCCAGGCTGGTCTCAAATTCCTAACCTGTTGCTTGGGCTGGAGTGCAGTGGCACCACCCCAGCTCACTGCAACCTCCGCCTCCTGGATTCAAATGATTCTCCTGCCTCAGCCTCCCAAGTAGCTGGGATTACAGGTGCCTGCCACCACTCCCGGCTAATTTTTGTATTTTTAGTAGAGACGGGGTTTTACCTTGTTGCCCAGGCTGGTCTCAAACTCCTGACCTCAACTGATCCACCCGCCTCAGCCTCCCAAAGTGTTGGGATTACAGGCGTGAGCCACCATGCCTGGCCAGTATGTACTTTGATAGGCAATATAGTTGCTTACTTTATAGGCAAAATCATTTCCATTTTTTTGTATTCTTGGCAGTCTCTGGCATTTTTAAAAACCTTTGGTAATTGGGGGTGTGGGTGGAGTAGGGGAATGTATTTTGTTGTTTGTATTTGCATTTCTTTGATTATTAGAAAATCATAGTCTCTTGATGGAGATTTTGGAGGTGGAAAGTGAGAGTGCCAGAATCTGGCCAACCTTTTATACTTCCAAGTTTACTTAACCCAGTGATCTATCAGATATTGCAGTTTTGGTACTTATTTTCAATGCTGCTAAAACCTGTCCAACAATGCGAGCATTGTTCTCAGATCACACCGTCAGGCACTATGCCTACCTCCGAGACAGTCTTTCTCATCTTGTTCCTGCCTTGAGGGTATGTTGAAAACATCTGTTGTCCTTGTTTTTATTTTGCATGGGGTAGGGGTATTTGTGTTCATGTTTTCCTTTGAGATGGGGGTCTTGTTATGTTGCCCAGGGCGGTCTCAAACTCCTGGGCTTAAGCCATCCTCCTGGCTCAGCCTCCCAAGTCGCTGTGATTACAGGTGAGCACCATTGTGTGCAGCTTGTTTTTGGCTTTTTATTTTTTGTGCTTTGTGGTTATTAAATAGTAGAAAGCAGTCCATATATTCTCTGAAAACTTGTTTGTTCATTCTCCTTCTCTCTTGGGCTCTTTGCCATTGTTTTATACTTTTGCTTTTGTATCCTTTACCTTTTAAGATGATTCATTTTTTTTGGTGTCCCTGGGTTATTGATATTAGGCAAGAAGAAAGGAACCTGGAACAATAGATTATATTTTAGATCAAGAATTTAAATTGTTATATATTTATTTATTTATTTTTATTATTATTACCTTTTGAGACGAAGTCTCGCTGTGTCGCCCAGGCTGAAGTGCAGTGGCGCGATCTCGGCTCACTGCAAGCTCCGCCTCCCAGGTTCACTCCATTCTCCTGCCTCAGCCTCCCGAGTAGCTGGGACTGCAGGCACCTGCCACCACACCCGGCTAATTTTTTGTATTTTTTAGTAGAGACGGGGTTTCACCGTGTTAGCCAGGATGGTCTTGATCTCCTGACCTCGTGATCTGCCTGCCTCGGCCTCCCAAAGTGCTGGGATTACAGGCATGAGCCACCACACCCAGCCTAAATTGTTATATTTTAACTATTACATATAGCCATGATTCTCCAGAAGTGCTTATTTTTTAAAAATAAAACCTTTACTATTTTTAAAACCTAGAGATATAAAGAAGAAAATTTAAAAATGGATCGTAATAATAATAGCAAACACTTCGTGAATGCTGTGGCCCAGGTACTCTTCCAATCTCTCTATTTGCATTAACTCATCCCTGCTTGGGTGACTCCAAATCACTTTATTTGGAGTAATATACAAAATGAGGCCAGGTGCGGTGGCTCATGCCTGTAATCTAAGCATTTTGGGAGGCTGAGGCGGGTGGATCATCTGAGGACAGGAGTTCACGACCAGCCTGGCCAACGTGGTGAAACCTCATCTCTACTAAAAATACAAAAATTAACTGGGCATGGTGGTGGGCACCTGTAGTCCCAGCTACTCGGGAAGCTGTGGCAAGAGAATTGCTTGAACCCAGGAGGCAGAGGTTGCAATGAGCCAAGGTTGTGCCACTGCACTCCAGCCTGAGCGACAGAGTGAGACTCCATCTCAAAAAAAAAAACAAAAAACAAGTAGATACAAATTGAAAAGTGAAATACTCTTTGCTCTCTCCTCCCCATCCATCTTAAAAGGTAACCACTTTTAACAGTAAGAATATCTGAAGGGCTAGGCCAAAAATAAAAAAAAATTATTCTCATGAAAAAATTGTATGCTATATAAGTTTATTTGGGAATAAATCATTACTCTTCCTTCAAGTGAAAGATAAGATAGTGTTTTAAAGATAAATGTGGCCGGGTGCAGTGGCTCACGCCTGTAATCCCAGCAGTCTGGGTGGCTGAGGCAGGCGGATCACCTGTGGTCAGGAGTTCGAGACCAGCCTGACCAACATGGAGAAACCCTGTCTCTACTAAAAATACAAAATTAGCTGGGTCTGGGGGCGGCCACCTCTAATCCCAGCTACTCAGGAGGCTGAGGCAAGAGAATCGCTTGAACCTGGGAGGTGGAGTTTGCAGTGAGCCGAGATGGTACCATTGCACTCTAGGCAACAAGAGTGAAACTCTGTCTAAAAAAAAAAAAGATGTAGCAACAGTTTAATTTTTAGTCTCCTTCCTATGGTTGGCCCATTTATTTCAGTTAGCAATAGAAAATATTATACCTTTTCTGTTTTTCTCCTGGCAGCTGTGGCTGTATTGGGTAGACCATGTTTGCATTTTGTCTCTTTCTCTTTAACTCCCAATTGTTGCTGAGGAAGGGGAGAAATGTTATTTATAGAATCTCCTAGCCTTTTTTCCCCTTTGTTTTGTTTAGCTCACATTTTTAATGTGCTTTTATGTGTTTGTGTGTGTGTTACCAAAAGCTGAGCCACCAAACTTAATGACTCTATAATCCCACTGTGTTTGCTTAGTTACCAGGTAGAAAACTGGTGTCATCAGCTGTTTCTCCCAGCATCATACCTCAAGAGGATCCTTCGCAGCAGTTCCTGCAGCAGAGCCTTGAAAGAGTGTATAGTCTTCAGCACTTGGACCCTCAGGGAGCCCAGGAGCTGCTGGAATTCACCATCAGGTAGGGTAATCATCCCTTCATCTGACAGAGTTAGTGCCGTTACACTCAGCTTGACTGTTCTGAATTCTGGTGTTGGTTACTAGGCTTGATATTCTGACTCTATTGGTCTACATTCACACACGGTTTTATGGTCTGTTTATATTTGGATTAGATTGTGGTTTGAACATATTTTTTAAAAGAGCTCTTTATATTCATGACTCGATTGATGATTAGTACACAACAAAATAGTTACAAAGAACCTGTTTTTAGTTTTTTAATTTTATATATTAGGATGAGTGACCAAAATGCAAAGTAACAGTGGCTAAAACAGGAGCAAAGTTTAAGTCTTCCTCATAGGCAGGACAGGGCTGAGATGACCATCAAGGATCTAGGCTTGCTCATTCTTTTTTTTTTTTTTTTGAGACAGGGTCTCACCCTGTCACCCAGGCTGGAGTGCAGTGGCATAATATCAGCTCACTGCAACTGCAGCCTCCTGGGCTCAAGTGATTCTCCCACTTCAGCCTCCCAAGTAGCTGGGACCACAGGCATATGCCACCACACCCGGCTAATTTTGGCTTTTTTTTTTTTTTTTTGGTAGAGTCGAGGTTTCACCATGGTGGCCAGGCCGGTCTCAAACTCCTGAGCTCAAGTGATCCTCCCGCCTCGGCCTCCCGAAGTGCTGGAATTACAGGCGTGAGCCACTGTGCCCGGCCTAGGCTCATTCTTTCTTGTGTCTTCATCTTCTGCATCAAGCAGCTCTGCTTAACAATTCAGAATCTAACTGTCCCCCCTGTATTCCATCCTGTGGGGAAAAGGAAACGGGAAGAGAAAGGTATCATCTCCACCCTGTGGTTTGTTTAAAGACACTTCCCAAAAGTTGTACACTCTAATTTTACTTGCATTCCATTGACTAGAACTTAAGTCACATGGCCATCTCTCACTTCAAGGAGCGAGGACATGCAGTCTTTATTCTGGGTGACTAATGCCTGGTTTACATGCGATGACTCTAATACTCAGGAAGAATGGGAGAAAGATATTGGGGAACAACCAAAAGGCTCTGCCAGACCTTCCTCAAAATGGCCTGAATGATATGAAAAGAATTTAAACTCATTTGCTTTTAGCAAAAGCAGTATTGTTTGCTCTTAAAAGATTAAAAAATTATGTCTTTTAAGAGCAAACAGTACTGCTTTTGCTAAAAGCAAATGAGTTTAAATTCTTTATTGTTTGCTCTTAAAAGAGAAAAATATTATATCGTCCAGGTGCAGTGGCTCATGCCTGTAATCCCAGCACTTTGGGAGACCGAGGCGGGAGGATCACTTGAGGCTAGGAGTTCAAGACCAGCCCCGCTGAGTGAAACCCCGTCTCTACTAAAAATAGTAGCCTGTAATCCCAGCTACTTGGGAGATTGAGGCACAAGAGTCGCTTGAACTCGGGAGGCGGAGCTTGCAGTGAGCCAAGATCATGCCACTGCACTCCAGTCTGGGCAACAGAGTGAGACTCCATCTCAAAACAAAAAAGAAAGAAAGAAAAATATTATATTATATCATTTGTATCTTGGTTGAGATCTCTTTTGATCTGCCCGGAAGAGTATTTGGCACCAGCCACATTCAACTAATAATTTTTAGTGGATGATTTCATTCCATACACTAAGAAACAAGCTCTGTGCTAGATACAGATCAGCTAGCTAGGATTCTGCCCTTAGAGAGCCCATGTAGACAAGATGGATATAGACAAAGACTTATGATGGTGGATAACAGCGCTTTGTACTTTGTTCATGCTTTCCTGTCCATTATTGCATCTTAACATGTTATAAAGCCGGCCAACTGAACCATCCTCCAAGTTATGTTTTCCCATTATATTAGGTCATTCATTCACTTAGCAGCATTAACTATTTGTTTATTCTAATAAGCCAGTTGCTGAGGGTAGAGAGAAATAAGAAATGACATTTGTTCTTAAGGTACTCACTGTTTATTACAGGACGCAGAAATCATCAATTTGATAAATGATACAGTGAAGAGAAGCATAGATGCTGTGGAAAAACAGATGAAAGGCCCCGACCCATCACAGTAGTAGTGGTGAGGGATGCTTCACAAAGGAGAAGATCCTTTAGCTAGTATGAAATGATAACTGAGCATGTCAGTTTCGTAGTCCATGTGCAGAAGAGAATTCCAACTTCAGCAGACATTAGAAGAGCTGGGAGACCTGAGGGAGAACAGCCTCCCAGAACTGCAGTGGTGTAGTATAGAGATTGAGTGAATGGAGCTTTGAAGGCAGACTCATTTTGGTTAACGTCTGAGCTAATACAGTCATGCACTGAATAACAACGTTGTGGTGGTCCCATGATTATATTTTTACTGTACCTTTTTTATGTTTAGATATACAGATATTTACCATTGTTTACCATATTTACCAATATTTACCATTGTAACCAGTGTTACAGTTGCCTACAGTCTTTAGTACAGTAACATGCTATACAGATTTGTAGCCTAGGAGCAACAGACTATCCCATATAGCCTAGGTGTGTAGTAGGCTATACCATTTGGATTTGTGTAAATATACTCTATGTGATGTTTGTGAGACAAAATCACATAACAGTGTATGTCTCAGAATGTATCTCCATCGTTAAACAACGCATGACTTGTAGTTGTTTGATCTTAGTCAACTATATTGCTCAGGGTTCATTTGCAGAAAACAAAAGAGGCTTTTAACTAATTTAAGCAGAAAGAAATTTATTACAGAATGTTACATGGCTCACAGAGTTGTTGGGAAAGCTAAAGAAACAGACTAGGTGGAATATCCAGGAATGATTTCCAGAGCCACACAATGAGTGGGCCACCAAGGAGGCTGATGTTCCTGCTATTATCAGGAAAGCTGCCTATTGAGTCAGGATGCTACCAATAAAGCTGCTGGCTCCAGAACCGTGTCTTGCATTCTGCCTTTCTTCCGACTTAACATTGTTCCCTATACAAAACTCATGCGAATGTGTTTGATTGACTGATAATAAATCACGTCTGGAACCTAGCTCAAGGGAATCTGAGAAATGCAGTTTTTAACTTTGCAGCTTATGTAGTCCAGGAAGATACAGTAGATGAAGATAGGAATACCACGTGTGAGTGAGCCAAATCCAGTATATGCCGTAAGTACCAACTGCTGTTAGCTCCAGTTTACTCACCTGGGGGACTTGGTGACTTGCTGGGTGCAGGGGTGGGAGTGAGGAACTGAGAGATAAATGGGTGGTCTGATACTCTAGTAATCCACTAAAAAGTTGAGGGTGTCCTGGGCTCCCCTGGGAGTGCCGTGGGCTTGGGCTGGACAGGTCGTGGGGAGAATGCTGGGTAGGTGGGTGCAGCTGCAGCCACAGGGGAGCCAGAGTGTGCAGCATGTGTCCAGCGTGAGCCTCCCGAGCTTCCACCTGGGTCACATAGTCTTTGTGCCCCTGGGAAGCCTCTAGAAGCCACACAGAGGCCCATAGCAACTCTCATGCCCTGGAGGGTCTCACCAGCCACTCCAGTGATGGGCCCTCCAGTAGCTCTGGGACCCAAGCAGGGATGATTCACAAAGTCCCTACCGAGCACAGGCCTTCACAGTTCAACAAGAAAATCCTACTGTTGACTGGATTTTTAAAAATCAGTGGAGGAGATCACACTAGAAATGATAGATATTGCAAGAAACAAAGCTTGAGGGAAAGCTTGTTACCGTAATGAATGGACTCACACATATCACTGCTTTGCAGTGATAGCATCAGCCAAAAGGGCTGCGAACATGAATCATTAACAAGTTGAAATATGTCAAAGATGGCTGTGTGGTGTGAAGAAGCTGCATTAGCTGCACAGGCTAAGGCTAAATGATATTCTAAATGGCAGAGTGTTCACCTGAATACCATCACTGTAATCAGTAACAATAAAAGATAGGGAAAGCTGAATTATTTTTAAGGTTGAAATGATTTTAGCATGACAGTTTGTTCTCTTGCCACTGTACATTGAATCATATACTTGATGTTTATTGTGTGCCTGTGATGTGCCAGTAACAGTACTCTAAACTAGGAGTCACCAGACTACAGCCTGTGGACCAAAGCTGGCCTGTTGCCTGCTTTTGTATGTAAGATCTGATTGAAGCACAGCCACGCTCATTTGTTTAGGTATTGTCTATAGTTGCTTTCATGCTACAATCACAGAGCTGAGTAGTTGCCACAGAGACCATAAAGTTACTATTTTACCTTTTACAGAAAAAATTTGCTGACCCTGCTGTAAGTTCTGGGCAGTCCACAGCTCTGTAAGCGGAGATTCCAGTCCTTTCTATATCTCTTGTGGAGCGATTTCTCTTCTCCCTCAACAAAGTGTTTAGTTTTGGAGGCCACTGAATGAGGTTGTTGGCCCTGAGCCCAGTAAAATAAAGTCTACTTCCTGACTCATCCCCACGTAAATAAACATTTAGATTTTGTCCTTGACAGTTTTATCCTGTTGGCACTAAAGCAAGTGCAAAAGGCACAAAAGCTAGCCAATTTGGTGATCAGCTGCAGTGCTGGCTCTTAGAAGGTACTCGCCTTCATGGTCTGGGTTTCCTGAGATGATAGTCTTGCTAGGCAGTGGCCGGCCAGATCACTGTCCTAAGTTCGGGGCTCTGTGTTTCTAGCTTGAGTGTGTATTCAGGAGCACAGGCAGGATGGTGAAAAATCTGGAAAGGGAAGCAGATGGACCATAGCAGTGAGGGCACCTGCGATGCTTTACAACCATCATTGCAGACATGAAGTAATTTGCTAAGAAGAGGCAGAACGAGGATTTGAGTTCAGCTTTGTCAACTCTAAAATCCATATTCTGTGATGTGCAGTGATTTACAGGGGGTTCCTGTATCACATGAGATTAGATCAGTTGACCCCTGGGGTTCTCCACAACTTACACTTTCTGAGTTGTTATGGAGTGAAATGTTAGCCTTTCATACAGAAGGTTCTCTGATGAGGACTGGAGCCACGTATTTGTTAGTATGAGTGTAAAACAAATTTCACTGTCATACACAGTGCCCTGTTTTGTAATCCAAACAGCCACTTAACCCAATGAAGATCTCACCTATGAGCCAGATGCTGTGGCTCGCACCTGTAGAACTGTTGTGAAGATGATTGTAATGATATGTGGTAAAAGCATTTTGAGAATATCAGTTACATAGATAATAGTTGGACATTTATGGATGTTTGCTTTAAAATTTAAACTAACTGGCCGGGCGCGGTGGCTCACGCCTGTAATCCCAGCACTTTGGGAGGCCGAGGTGGGCGGATCACGAGCTCAGGAGATGGAGACCATCCTGGCTAACACGATGAAACCCCGTCTCTACTAAAAATACAAAAAATTAGCCAGGCGTGGTGGCGGGCGCCTGTGGTCCCAGCTACTCGGGAGGCTGAGGCAGGAGAATGGTGCGAACCTGGGAGGCAGAGCTTGTGGTGAGCAGAGATCACACCACTGCACTGCAGCCTGGGCGACAGAGCGAGACTCCATCTCAAAAAAAAAAAAAAAAAAATTTAAACTAACTATGGCTTATTTAACATACTGGACATGCTCTTGACATTTTGTAACTAAATCAAATTTTATAAATGTAATCATGTTTAAACTCACTAGCAGGGTTGAAGGGGATTGTCTTTTAAGGAATGCTGCAGTCATTTGTCTGCTATTTCTCAGTATGAATAGTGACCTCCTGTTTTTCAAAGTTTACATTTTTGTGTTAAGTCCATGAAAGTGCTGTTGCTATACACACTGTTGTTTCAGGAACCATATCACCTTAGAAGTGTTCCATAATAGAGAATTGTTCTTTTGGAGTAAAATAGCTCATTATAACCTGAAACAGAAGGGGCTTCATTTATCAGAGATAGAAAGAAATGTACTACTTTTCTTATGGGAATTCTTTTACACACTAACCATTGAAGAACATGGGATTTTTTAGTTGAATTCTTTAAAATCCTCTTTTTGCTTTGAAACTTTTATTGTCTTTTAGGGAGACTGCCTATTGTGTAGTATTGGAACTGGTCTAGTAATTAAAGAGTAGAAATATGCGTTTGTAATCTGTCATCATCTAGGTGCAGGAATAAAGATGGCGTTTTAGAAGTCACCAAGACTTTGTATTTATGTTGTATTTCCTAACATTCCTTTTTGCTCTACTAAGCTACTAAGAGACATAATTATAAATTTGATTTTTAGAGATTCTAAGAGATTGAAAAAAATAAACTGCATTTGATTTGCACATCCAGAATCTTTTTGACTATCTTTAATAGTGATTTAAATAATTAATTCAGCCTATTGTGTAAGCTTAAAAAGAATCACTCTATGTAAATGTGTTTACACATAGTGGCATAGTGGCATCATATAGATTGCTAATGTGTGTGTTCCTGGGAGGAACTGTTTTGCTCTGCCTGATAGCATCTAAAGAAAAGTGGCCCAGTGTATCCAGTTGTTGTTTTCTTTTTTGGAGATGGAGTCTCCCTCTGTCGTTCAGGCTGGAGTGCAGTGGTGCGATCTCGGTTCACGGCAACCTCTGCCTCCCAGGTTCAAGCAATTCTCCTGCCCCAGCATCCCGAATAGCTGGGACTACAGGCGCACTCCACCAGGCCCGGCTAATTTTTGTATTTTAGTAGAGATGGGGTTTCACCGTGTTGCCCAGGCTGGTCTCGAACTCCTGAGCTCAGGCAATCCACCCACCTTGGCCTCCTAAAGTGCTAGGATTACAGGTGTGAGCCACCGCGCCTAGCCGTATCTAGTTTTAAATTAGTTTTGGTCTCATCTGTGTTTGATGTAATTAATAAATAAATGAAAAGAGTTTAATAGCAAATAAATAAATGAGATGCAATATGATATGGTTAAAAAAATACTTTTGGAGTCAGAGCTGACTCTGTCTAGTTCATGTCGTTTTGTTGTTTATTCTGTGACCTTAGGCAAGCCACTTAAATTCTGATCTTTAGTTTCCTGTTCAGTGAAATAGGATTAATTGCAATTCATATTGTGAGGATTAAGTGAGCTCAAGTAAGGAAACAGCTAGCACAGTACAGTGCACATAGAATGTGCTCAGTGTACCTTTCTCATTAGAGCCCGTAGTCTCCTGATGGATGTCTAGACTGAGGCTTCCTAAGAATTGTGAGCATAAAGTGACAAAGAGAGGAAACACTGGGACACAGGATTTTTCCCAGAGCTAACAAGTTTCCATTTTTGTTTGTACAGAAGTTCAGATTTCTTATGGCTAATTGTGTTGGATTGGGTTACATCTTGTTCTGTGCACTTCAGAACAACTGCTACAATTCTGGGGCAGGGGAATAAAATAACATTTGGAATCAGTTAGTTAATGTACAGTCAGTTGGTCTGTATTCTGTATAATTGTCGTAGAAGGCAGAATCTTCCTGGAGAGGAAACACAAATGCTTCTGAAGTAGAATACTTCAGGGCTGTCTCTTGCAAGAGAAAAATCAGAGAAGTGAAAGGAAGAGACCATCTGGCCACCAAACTCATACTTCACAGTTGGGCTTAGCTAGTCTATGGTCTTGGCTTTCATTGTGCTGGGTTCCCATGCTTTGGGTAGGCCCTCCAGGACCAGTTCAAGCAACCCAAATGAATAAGAAGTGATATATATCATACATTAATTCTTCAATCACTTTGAGAGTAATTACTCTTTGCCCCTTTGTAGGCATCTCCTTCTTGATGTCAAAGTCCCCAGGAGGCATCGTTAACTATCATAACGTTACCCACCAAGCATGAGATGGGAGGAAGTGGCATAGTCCAGTGGACAGTTTTTTCCAGGCTACTGTGAAACCTGATGTGTTATGCCGGCTCTGAAACAGCTTCCCAAGTGACTCAGACCTTAAGGTTTCCCACAGTTTCCATTTCTATTCAGAATTTAATGTTGCTATTAAAAAGTAATGAGGCAGCTTTCTATGAATGCTGAGATGGTTAGGTAATACACAAACACACACACACTCACATTCCTCCCCTAAAAAAGAAGAAAGCAAAGAAAACCAGTACTTTTTGTAAATGCATGGCATATCTCAAAATTCAAAAGAAACTGGTAATAGTAGTTGCCTCTGGGAAGGTATACAGGGTGGCAGGGCTACAGGGCACAGGCGTAGGAAGGGGAACTAATTTAATTTAATTTAATTGTATATCCTTTGAATGCTATACCTTAAGTATGTATTAACTATTCAAAAAAACTAAATTTTTTTTTAAAGAACATCTGTTCTTTAAAGTCGTAGAACATTTTCATCACTCCAAGAAGTTCCTTCATGCCCCTTTGCAAAGTTGTTTGGCTTTTCCAAGCCTCTGTGAAACCCCAGGAATTCAAGGAGGCCATGGAGAAGAATCCACTTTTCTATAGTAGCAAAATATGGTGAGGAAAGAGAAGTGATTACTCCTAAAAAGAACATATAATTGTTGGTTATTCAATGACAAGGAGTGACAGTGTAGGTAAGGGGCCCAGAGCCAGAACCCAAGGCAAGTGTGTTTAATAACAGGAAAAAAGCTAAATAACTTTTGGTACAGCTACCTAGCAGTATATTCTGCAGTCATTAATTCTTTATGAAGAATTATACAACAACATGACAAAATACTTAGGGTGTAATGTTATGTACCGAAAAGAAGGGGAGCCAATCATAATCCCAAAAGATAGTCCAGAACATCATAGTCCTAAAGTGTTTAAATTCCAAAAGACTAAAATCCCTAAAGTCTAAAATCCGAAAACCACAGCCCAGAAAATATCAAAATCCCCAAAATATAATTATGGAAGAAATAGTTTTAAAAACTTAAAGATATTTATTTTTTAAAGGGGAACTTATTTGAGAAACATAAAAACACAACAGAATACTTTATACACCACTTAATATAATAAAACAGACAATAATAACATACATTTTTGCAAGCATAAACACTCAGGTTACTAATAACATTTGGGTGGGTCTAACAGTTATGAGCAGATGAGCCATATTTATAAAGAAATTGGTCATAAAGGGAAAGGTATAAATGCATATCACTTTGGTTGTTAATTGTGTATACCCAGCTTTTTAACTCTGGTCATCTGAAATACTGTGCCCAACAACCTCAAGTCTTTTGATGAGATTGATGGAAACTGTGCTGGGTCACCACTGCATATGCAGTCACCCAAAGAGCTGAGATCTCAAGAAATTTTATCTTTCACAAATGCAGATGTACGAAAAGGATATCTCATTTATCGAGGAAGTTTCAACATTTTATGTACACACTCAATGCTTATACACAAAGTCAGTATTGTGATAATGCACTTTCATGGAGTCAGATTTCTGATATCCAAGCAGCAGAACCCAGAGAGTCCGTTTTGCTATTTTGCGTTTTTTTGTTTTTTGTTTTTTTTTGTTTTTTTTTTTTTTTTTGAGACAGAGTCTCAGCTTATCACCCAGGCTGAATACAGTGGCGTGATCTCGGCTCACTGCTGCGACCTCTGCCTCTTGGGTTCAAGCAATTCTCCTGTCTCAGCCTCCCAAGTAGCTGGGATTACAGGTGTGCACCACCACGCCTGGCTAATTTTTGTATTTTTAGCAGAGACAGGGTTTTGCCATGTTGGTCAGGCTGGTCTCGAACTCCTGACCTCAGGTCATCCACCCACCTCGACCTTCCAAAGTGCTAGGATTACAGGCATGAGCCACCGATCCCAGCCCATTTTGTCTTAAGTATTTGTTCTCTCCTGGCCACTGGCTGATTGGATGGTGCCCGCCAACATTGAGGGCAGATAGTCTCCACCTAGTACACTCAGATTTATACACTAATCTCTTCTGGAAACACTCTCATAGACACACCCTCAATGTGTAAAACAAAATAATGTTTTACCAGGTTTCTGATATTCCTTAATCTGGTCAAGCTGATACCTAAAATTAGGTCCACAAGTCCACCCCTTGTCAGCTTGGCACTCATACGCATCTCCTTAAGCCATATTTAATTTCCAAATAAAGACAATAACATGGTAATAGTTGTGCCTAACATGATACAACTGACATGATGCAACTATCCTGCATGCAACCCAAAACACACTAATCACTTCCCCAGAATTTGGATGTCAGGATTTCAACATTTGTGATTGTATGTTTTGGGATTATGATCTAATCCCCAAACTTAATTCTGCTTTCTGACTACAACTGTCAAAAAACATGCATACAAGAAATGATTAGAAGTAAATATTCCAGAAATTCCTATAGTTTATCTGTAGTTTAGACCTACCACTGTTTGATAGCCACCAGATACATGGGACTCTTGAGCACTTGAAAAGTTGTTAGTCTAAACTGAGATGTGTTATTAAGTGCAAAATACACACTGGATTTCTCAGACTTAGTATGAAAAGAAAATGTAAACTATCTAATTAATAATTTAAAAAATACTGCGTGGTGAAATGTTAATATCTTGGATATACTGGGTTAAATAAACTTTTTAAAAAAATTAACTTAGTCTTTGTATCTTCAAAATTAACTTACATCTTTGTAATTTAAAAACTGTGGCTATGAGAATATTTAAAATTATATATAGCTCATGTTATATTTCTATTGGACAGTGTTAGTCTAGGTTTTCTGTAATGTCATTTGATTACATCTGTAATTCAGAAGGACTGAGAAAATAAGAGGCTGTCACAGAAGTTTGTGCAAGAGATGAGGTCATGTGGATGGATAGGTGAGGAGAGAGATGGAAGGTAAAATCGTGGCTCTTAGTGGTGGTTTTGAATGTAGAAGATTGAAAGAGGGAGAAATCTAGGAAAGCTGCTTGATTTCTAGTTGAATATGTTGGTAAAGTGGTTGGGGCTTATAACATAATGAGCATAGGGGAAAAGAAAAAAGAACCACAGTCAAGGAAGAAGTATCTAGGTGGCTTGGGTTAGTCCAGTGGCTCTGGGAACAAGGAGTGCCTAGAGCCCGGAAGCTGGCTTGCCTGCGCATTCTGGTGAAGGTTTCATGGTTCCTGTCCTCTGCTTCCAGAAGCACTGATCTGGGACACAGAGCCTTTGGGCCAAGAATTGGATCAAATGGATGGGAATTCATTTAGCCCAAACCATTAGTCTCATCTTTCTCCATAATAGATACAGCTTATTGGGTTAAAAGAATAAGATTAATTGAGAAGTCCTGTTCATGGTAGACTTTCAAAGGAAAACAAAAATGTAAATTCCAAATGATATGCCAGTCTTTGTGACGTCGGTATTCTGTTCCCTCCTGATTTGTCTGTGTAGGCCTTGCAGGAAAAGTCGTGGAATGTAGCTGCCCCTTCGTATTTGAAGCAGAGTGATTTGGCCTCAGCAGCAGCAAAACAGGTAAGCTTATTCAGACCTTCCCTTCAAACAGGTCTCTGTCCAGGAATTGTCTGGTCCAAGGCAGAGCCAGAGGCCTTCCTATAGCTCTGTCTCTGTAGGCCTTGCAGGAAAAGTTGTGGCATGTAGCTGCCCCTTTGTATTTGAAGCAGAGTGATTTGGCCTCAGCAGCAGCAACACAGGTAAGCTTATTCAGACCTTCCCTTCAAATAGGTCTCTGTCCAGGAATTGTCTGGTCCAAGGCGGAGCCAGAGGCCTTCCTGTAGCTCTGTACCTCTGCTGTGGCCTCCCTAATTTTAGGCTATGACAGAAGTTAGTGATATGAGAAGGAGCATAACTAGGGGACGCAGCACTCACTGTGGACTCAGGGGACCTGGGTCCTAGTCCCAGGTCTTCCTCTGATTTGCTGAGTGATATTGAGCAAGTTACTTAAATTCCCTGGATTTTTTCTCTTCTATAAAATGTGGCAGTTGGGCCGGGTGTGGTGGCTCACACCTGTAATCCCAGCACTTTGGGAGGCTGAGATGGGCGCATCACTTAAGGTTAGGAGTTTGAGACCAGCCTGGCCAACATGGTGAAACGCTGTCGCTACTGTCATGAATCTTTCATCTGAAAATGTAGCCCAACTCAGTTAAGGTTGTTTATATCTTTAGCCTGTACCATCTCTTCAACGTTAAAAGGTCCTGGGTAGTTCATTAAGTAGGCTTTAATTTTATTTGTCTCTAGTTTATTTCTTTTTAGCTTTGAGCCGTTCCCCTTTGCACCTAAGTATTGAGACTTGGTGATCTCTGGCAGGTCAAGTCTTCCAGATAGGGAGTCTGTAAATGACCCAGGAGGAAGCTAATGATGGTGATTGTTATTGTTACATTACAGTTCACTAAATGATTTCAAGTCTATTAGCTTAATTAACCCTCATAACAATCCCATTAGATAGGAATAAGTATTAAGTCTATTTTAGAGATGAGGCAGTTAAGGCTCAGCAAGGTTAAATTCATAGAGCTATAGGTAATACAGTCAGGACTTGAGACCAGATCCTCTGATACCCAGAATCTGTTTTCTACTACAGTGCTGAACTCTTGTCTGATCCAGACTCTTTCTCAGACCTGGTATGTGGCTTATTGTAGAAGAGTAGCATTTAATGACTAGAACCCGATAATTGAGCCACATTGGAAGGATGGGATCAGGGAGCAATAATTTGGAAGGAAAAGAGGAAAGGAATTACCATTGCTGTATACCAGATACTGTGATAAACACATTGCATGCTCCATTTGATACTTGAAACTTCATGATATTGGTACTGTTTCTTCCCTGTTTACAGAAAGGGATTGAGACACTCATGTAATTTAACTTGTCTTATTGCCAATTGTAAGAGAGTCTGGAGTCGTTTCCGTGACCCTAGAGTGTTCACTGGGAGGCAAGCACAGAAGAAAAAGAGAAGCATCATTTTGATGAAAATCGCTTATTTGGATGGAACTAAGCAAGATCGGGGACTTGATCTGGGGTCATAGACAATGTTTTCTTGCACTTATTTCCATCCCAAACTCCCTCAGACCAGGCCCATGGAACAGTCTGTCAGGATAACTAACATATGGTTAATAGTTCCTGATGCTTAATTCTTGAGGACTTTGTGGGGATTGGGTTTCCATACATAATATATATTAATTTGTTCCCACAGCAGAGTGGGCTTCATTTAGGGTAAGAAGCAGTGCTTTCAGTGCTTTGCAGTTTGCTTAGTGATTAAACTTTCTTATCTTCACATCATCAACTAAGATGATTTTATTACCAGGTCAGTCTTCTTTTTAAATAGGCAAAATAATTTATTCTCTTTTTACAAGGCATACTATACTAATTTCTTTCCACACTTAAAAGCATAGGGATGTAAAATCTCAGTTAAGAGTTTCACCTAAGGTCATTTAACAGTAGAATTCTATGCTGCTCTCAAGTAAGACTATGATATTTTTATTGATTGTTAATTATCTTTTCTTTATCGATTATGGAAGAGACCTACAAAATGGAATTCATGTAGAGTGGTGTGGAGAATAAGCAGGTGGTGATTATACATCACATGAGGCTGCAGGCCAAAGCTTTGCAACTTATAATAACAGCACGAACTACATGAGGGTAAGATGTGGGGTTGGCCAAAATATGTGGCATGTTCCTTTCAAAGATACTTCAAATGCATTCAGACATCACACGAAAGTTAATGATAAGTAAAATGAAATTTAGGATAGACTAGCTAAGGAATGTGTGATCTATTCATTTTTTTCAGATATTACAAATTCTGTTGTTGGATCAGATTAGACCCTTGGAAATCCAACTGTGCGTCTCCCTTGCTAAAAACCCTCTGGTGACTCTCCATTACATATAGCACAACACTGGACTTTATCTGGCAATAAGGACATTCTGTATCCTCCTACTTGATAGATTTCCTCAAGAGTTTAGTGCCAGGGACCACTTTTTCTGTTCTGAAGGGACTAATAAGCTTTTTCTCAGGCAATAAGGATAAATTAAGAGGATGTACTGGGAAGTCAGACTACTTTGTTCAAATCTTGTCTTTTCTACTTACTAGTTGTTTGGTTATGAACCTTTCTGTACCTTGTTTCCCTGTACAAAATGAAAATGAAGACAGCATCTACCTCATGGCATTTCTATGAAGAATAAATGAGATAATACAATATAAAAACACTTAGCATGGTACTTGATACGTAATAAGAGCTCAGTGTAATTATAGCTGTAAGACTTTCAGATAACTGGAATTGCCACATTTCATTGATTCCAAGATACACATTTTTTATTATTGTAACTTCTCTGAAATCAGATATTTTGATGGTGTCCTATAGTGTTTTTTGTTTCTTACTATTTCATAAAATAAAGGTGCATCTTAAGAATGATGGCATCATAGATTTGATACAAAAAAGTACTTAGGTGACTCATTGCCAGCTCACAGACATGTTTGATGCTCAGTTCAGCTGCTGTGTCAAAAAAAAAAGTGGCATAGAGATATAAATATGAATGTTTAAACACAGAAACATACTAGGTCAGAAATAACATCCTGAAAAATAAAATATTTTATTTCTTCACTTATCTTGATAGTGACCTCATAAAGTCAAAGAATCATTTAATCGTAAAGATATTCATATGTGGCCGGGTGCGGTGGCTCACACCTGTAATCCCAGCACTTTGGGAGGCCAAGGTGGGCAGATCACGAGGTCAGGAGATCAAGAGCATCCTAGCTAACATGGTGAAACCCTGTCTCTACTAAAAATACATAAAATTAGCTGGGCGTGGTGGCATGCACCAGTAGTCCCAGCTACTCGGGAGGCTGAGGCAGGAGAATCTCTAGAACCCGGGAGACGGAGGTTGCAGTGAGCCGAAATCACATCACTGCACTCCAGCCTGGGCAACAGAGCAAGACTCCATCTTTATAAAAAAAAAAAGATATTCATATATTCATTTAACAAATGTTTAATCCCTACTATGTGCCAGTTATAGCTGAAAAAACAAAAGTGCTTGTGATGGCATCTATACTGTTTTTTAAAAAAGATTTTTTTTAGTTTATATATAATTGTTACAAAAATTAAAATATTACAGGGTAAGTGAAGGTTCTCTGGTAATCTACCACTTCGAAAACAGCTGCCAACATTTCATGTGTATACTTCCAGATTTTCCCAAACCGTATAAACATAGGTTATAAAGATGTGTACAATAACATAAAGGGGATCTTACCATACTTTGCTGTTCTGCCTCCTATTCCTTTCACCCAACATTATAATATGCTTATCTTGTCGTGTCATTATATAAAGATACTAATGTTTTTAGGTCTTTATTCATGCTATAATATTTTATATTTTTCTTTTTTTTTTTCTTTTAGACAAAGTCTCGCTCTGTCGCCCAGGCTGGAGTGCAGTGGTCCAATCTCAGCTCACTGCAACCTCTGCCTCCTGGGTTCAAGCAATTCTCCTGCCTCAGCCTCCCAAGTAGCTGGGATTACAGGCATGCAACACCATGCCCGGCTAATTTTGTATTTTCAGTAGAGACGGGTTTCACCATGTTAGCCAGGCTGGTCTCGAACTCCTGAACTCAGGTGATCCACCCGACTCGGCCTCCCAAAGTGCTGGGATTACAGGCGTGAGCCACTGAGCCCAGCCTATATTTTTCATTTGTATGCGTTCCTGTTTTTTTCTTTTTTTTCTTTCTTAAGTTTTGCTAGATTGTTTTCTTTTGTCCTCCAGGGGTTTGAAAGTTATGCACCGTAATTCTAAACACTTCAAGTGAGAGGCAGTAGAACATACTGGTTAAGAGGGCTGTGGTGCCACACTGCTTGGGTTCACATCTTGACTTTACCATTTGCAAACTGAGTAACCCTTGGACAAGTTACTTAACACTTCTTGGCCTCAGTTTGTTCCCATAAGTTAAACTGAGATAATAGTAGTACCTGTCTCTTCCTCACAGGGGTATTGTAAGGGTTATTGAATTATTATATGCAAAACCATTTATTTATTTTATTTATTTATGAGACAGAGTCTTGCTCTATCACCCAGGCTGGAGTGCAGTGGCACGATCTCAACTCACTGCAACCTCTGGTTCCCGGGTCCAAGCAACTCTTATGCCTCAGCCTCCCAAGTAGCTGGGACTACAGGCCCATGTCACCACACTCAGCTAATTTTTTTATTTTTAGGAGAGATGGGGTTTCACCATGTTGGCCGTGCTGGTCTCAAACTCCTGGCCTCAAGTGATCCACCTGCCTTGGCCTCCCAAAGTGCTGGGATTCCAGGCGTGAGCTACTGTGCCTGGCTGGATTATTATATGCAAAGCCTTTAAAATAGTGTCTGTCACATCCATTATAAATACTTGATACATGTTAACTAATATTAGTTTTAGTAATACTGTTATTACTTATATTTTTAATGAACATATTGAACTTATATTTATCAGCATAAAAAGTTAAACAGAATTTATGGTCACCTCTCTGAGATCAAGATGATCTAAGATGAAGATGAAGATTTTAGTATGCTTTTGTTTGTCTCTTACTGCTTAAGTAATTTGGGCCAGTTGGCCGGGCTCAGTGGCTCACGCCTGTAATCCCATCACTTTGGGAGGCCAAGACAGGTGGATCACGAGGTCAGGAGTTCAAGACCAGCCTGGCCAAGATGGTGAAACCCCATCTCTACTAAAAATACAAAAAATTAGCCAGGCGTGGTGGTGGGCGTCTGTAATCCCAACTACTCGGGAGGTTGAGGCAGAAAATTGCTTGAACCCAGGAGGCGGAGGTTGCAGCGAGCCGAAATCATGCCACTGCACTCCAGCCTGGGTGACAGAGTGAGACTCCATCTCAAATAATAATAATAATAATAATTCAGGCCAGTTAAGGTCTCTTACTGAGCAAAAAATAATAATAGCAATTTGGGCTAGATGCAGTGGCTCATGCCTGTAATCCCAGACTTTAGGAGGCGAAAGCAGGAGGATCGCTTGAGCCCAGCCAGGAGTTTGACCCCAGCCTAAGCAACATAGTGAGACCCTGTCTCTAAAAAATAAAAATCAAAAATTAGCTGGACATGGGTGGTGTGCACCTGTGGTCCTAGTTACTTGGGAGGCTGAGGTGGGAGGATCCCTTGAGCCCAGGAGTTCGAGGCTGCAATGAGCTATGATCATGCCATTGCACTCCAACTTGGGCAACAGAACAAGACCCTATGTCTTAAAAATAATAACAATAATATGGCTGGGTGCGGTGGCTAACGCCTGTAACCCCAGCACTTTGGGAGGCTGAATCGGGTGGATCACGAGGTCAGGAGATCGAGACCATCCTGGCTAACATGGTGAAACCCCGGCTCTACTAAAAATAAAAAAAAAAATTAGCCGGGCGTGGTGGCAGGTGCCTGTAATCCCAGCTATTCGGGAGGCTGAGGCAGGAGAATGGCATGAACCCAGGAGGTGGAGCTCGCAGTGAGCTGAGATCCCACCACTGCACTCCAGCCTGGGTGAGAGTGAGACTCCGTCTCAAAAAAATAATAATAATAATAATAATAATAATAATAATAATAACTTGGAGGTTTGTTTCAGCTGATTATGTTTTTATAATGTAGCTTATATTAATTTTTATGTTTATAAATATAATCTTTTAAAGTTATAAGTACATAATCTTTGTATATCCTTGTTTATTTTTATTTTTAATTTTTTTATAAAATATTTTTTATTTTTAAAAATAATAGAAACATGGTTTCACTGTGTTGCCCAGGCCAGTCTTGAACTCCTGAACTCAAACTATCCTCCCACCTCGGCCTCCCAAAGTGCTAGGATTACAGACGTGAGCCACCACTTATGATCTTTATAAGTTTAGCTCCAACTTTGCCACCACTGTTCTCTGTCGCCTTTTAAATTCCTTTGCTCTCATACATAAATGGAATTCTTTTCCAATATTTCCATATTGCTATGGTGCCTTTATTTATTTATTTTATTGGGCAACCCCCGCCAAACCAGAATAGGTTCATAGAGACTCTCTGCCTTTGCTATGTTCCCTTTTAGTATTTAATGTTACAGTTGAATGTTTTATGTCAGTCTGGTTCTCTTCCCTACAGCTTATTTTTCATGCTCAAACCTTTAAAATTTTCTTTCTTTCTTTAATTTCACCAGGATATATCTAGGTATGTGTTTTCTTTCAATATTCTTGCTGATCTTCGGTGGGAGTTTGAAGTATCAGCTGTTTTTAGCTCAGGGATTTTTTTTTTCTCCATTATTTCTTTACTTCTTCTATACACTCTAGTCTGTCATACTAAATGTTGGATTTTCTGGATCTATTTTTCCTATACCTTTTCTTTTGTAATTTCAATTTCGTTGTTTTTCTATTCTATATTCTGAGTAAATTCTTTTTTTTTTTTTTTTTTTTTTTTTTTTTTTTTTTTTTTTTTTTGAGACGGAGTTTTGCTGTTGATGCCCAGGCTGGAGTGTAATGGCACAATCTCAACAATCTCAGCTCCCTGCAACCTCCACCTCCCGGGTTCAAGCGATTCTCCTGCCTCAGCCTCCCAAGTAGCTGGGATTACAGGCATGCGCCACTGCACCCGGCTAATTTTGTATTTTTAGTAGAGACAGGGTTTCTCCATGTTTGGTCAGGCTGGTCCTGAACTTCTGATCTCGGGTGATCCGCCTGCCTCAGCCTCCCAAAGTGTTGGAATTACAAGCATGAGCCACTGTGCCTGGCCAGTAAATTCTTTAATATGCTCTTTTTAGTTTATCATTTCAGTTTACATTGTTGTTGATTCCGCTGTTCTCAACTGTTGAGTTTGATTTCATTATTATGTGTTTTATTTCCAAGTGTGCTTCTCTACTATTTTTTTCCTTTTTTTTCTGCTGTATAGTTTCTCTTCTTGTCATCTGCTGTTTCTGTAGCAGTTTCTCTTGCTTTGTCAATGTAATATCCTTTTAAATCCCTGTTAACTCTCACTGAGGTTGTTGATTAGAATTTTTTAAAAAGTTTTCTGTGCTTTCTTGCCTTGACTTAACTCTTTTTGAGGACTGCTTGGTCTCCTTTACAGCTCCTGATTGTCATTTATAACACCTAGTCATTTTCCATTGTCTTTGCCTACTTACAGTGAAAGTCTAGGCTAGTTTAAATTGGTAATTTGTATTCTTTAATGATTGTTAGCCCCCGAGTGAGCCTCACTTTCATAGCTTTCCTTCCCTCACACCAAAGGAAAAGTAGGAGATCTTAGTATTAGAGGCCTACTTCATGTATATGGCCTGTTGATGAGGATGCCTGCTCTTTTTTGACGTCTGGGGAGAGTTCCCAAATCTTTTTGTATTTTACTTCCTGGAGTCTCTCCAAGATGATTCTCTATATAATCAGGCAAACAAATGAGGAAATGTCACTGCTTGGCCAAATTGCTTTCCTTTGTGCCCTTGCTTGGCTGGAATTCTCTCTTCTAGCCCTCTCACTCCTTGTGGTGTTTGGTGGGTAACCTCACTATGAAATTTCACTTCCATTTCTGGTAGAAGATTAGTTTAAAAACTTTCAAGTGCTACTTTTTTTTGTTGTTTTTTTTTTTTTTTTCAGGAAAAGAATTAGAATGAATGTTGCTTCCAGAGTAGGTTTCCATTTGCCATCTACCCCCGGCCCCATTTTTTGTTCATCAGCAAATACTTATTGAATGCTGCCTGTGCTAGGAAATATATGATGAAGAATACAAAGTCTACTCATGGAGACTATATTTTAATAAAAAGACTAAACTTTGACATCATTCTCTTACATATTTTTACATAAGGAAAGAGTATTTGTTTTATCTTGGTGGGAACTTTTATTCATCCAATGAATAATATATTAAAGAAAACAAGTGGGAAATTTCATGCAGAAATTACATACAAGAAATAGGAAGAAAATATACAAAGGTCAAAACTTAGTAAGTCACATTGACCTAGCATGTTGCCTGGATTATTTAGGTATGCAATAACTTTTTACTGAAATGGAATGTTCTCAAGTACTGTGAGGCCAAGTAATTCAAGATAGAGAGGAAGGAACACCATCCATGTCTGTCGGCAAAATAGTAGCAAAACCTTTTCACCTCTCGCATAGGAATTTAGTTAACTTTTTAGGTATGTTTCTTGGAGCCCTTACAGTATCAACTACATTAGTAGGCTATACCGCTATGGAAAAAATGATCTCTGAGTAAATTGCATGTAGACCAGAAGGAAATATAAATGAACTAGTTTCCAGATGCCGATACAATGGCTGTAGGCTTCATTGAGTGCAGTGATTCTTGAAACTGGGTAGATCTTGCAGCAGTCCACACAGCTATCTGGGAGCTTTCATCCCAATGCTGACAGCTCATGTGCAAGGAGATGAGATCTAAATCAGATAGGTATAGAGACCATGCTAGCTGAGATGTTAATGAAGCAAGGACTCCTGAAGAAGGGGAACTTGACACTGTACTGCCCACATGCTATGCTTCTCTTCTGTATTCGTAGTGAGTCTAGTGCCAAGTGTAGCCTGTGATAGTCTTTGATTTTTAATATTCTTTGAGCTTAATGGGCACTGCAGTGGTTTAATCAGGTCTTGGGATCCCGACAGGTGTTTCCCCCAGGTCCATTAGGAGTCTTCTGTTACTTTTAGAGATCGTTTTTATAGTGTAATATACTAATTTTCCTTTAATTTAGGCTCAGGTTTCTGGGACTTTGGTCCACCTCAGTTTGCAGATTTCACAAGCAAATTATTTTACGTTTCTTTTCTACAGACTTTACCCCTTATTTGGGATGTGTGAAAAATTTTTACAGGAAGTAGACTTTTTTCAGAGGTAAGTATTTTATAACTCTTCCGGCTTATAAAATCTTGGTTACACGGAGTATAGCACTTGCAGGCAATAGGAACAATCACAAATCACATTCCTTGGTTTAGCTTGTGCAGCCAGGCTATCATCTGTGGCCATGTCGTTAACCTTAAATTAGGAAAAAAAAACTAATTTGGTTTTTTTCCTTAATATTATAGAAACTTCTTTGAAGTTGGAGCTTCAAAACTAAACCTACCAGGAATCACTTGCATTTAGCACTCAGCTAGGCCATAAAAACACAAGTAATATGAAGAAAACGTGTAAATACGTTTGTTGAAAAAAATCATTAGTCATCTGTTTTTTTCAACACTGTTCGTTCACACCATTCTTATTTATTTATTTATTTATTTATTTATTTATTTATTTGAGACAGAGTCTTGCTCTGTCACCCACGCTGGAGTGCAGTGGCGCAGTCTTGGCTCATTGCAGCCTCCGCCTCCTGGGTTCAAGTGATTCTTCTGCCTCAGCCTCCCAAGTAGTTGGGACTACAGGTGCCTGCCACCACACCTGGCTAATTTTTGTATTTTTAGTAGAGACGGGGTTTCATCATGTTGGCCAGGCTGGTCTCTAACTCCTGACCTCAAGTGATCTGCCTGCCTTGGCCTCCCAAAGTGCTGGGATTACAGGCATGAGCCACCACCGCGTCTGACCTCATTATTATTTTTTGAGACAGGGTCTCACTCTGTCACCCAGACTGGCACAGCTCACTGCACCCTTGAACTCCTGGGCTAAAGCTATCATCCTACTTCAGACTCCTGAGTAGCTAGGACTACAGGCATGTGCCACCATGCCTGGATAATTTTTAATATTTTTTTTAGAGATGGGGTCTTGCTGTGTTGCTCAGGCTGGTCTCAAACTCCTGGCTTCAAGAGATCCTCCTGCCTCTGCCTCCTGAAGTATTGGGATTACAGGTGTGAACCACTGCACCAGGCCCACACTGTTCTTATACTTGCATATTTCTCTGTAATCTACAAACAATTGTTTTGTAATTCTATAGGTAAATTTTATTTTGTAGAATACATATATTTTTTCAGAGTTTTATATGGAATGAATCTGTTAAAGCACATGCAGTAGTTGAATGGAAAGCTTGATGAAGAAATAGGAGTCAAGGGAGTGACCAGACTTCTGGTATGCTGGCAGAATAATACTGGGAGAAGACATAGGATCTTAAAGCACTGATGAAGTCTGTTTCATTTCTTCCGCTCATTGTCTCTGCCCTCATGAAGTTCACCAAACCTGAGGTTTTTGTGACTCTGTACTTGTCATTGGGGTGATGATAGCTTCTTACAGGGCTGAGTTGCAACGCTACCTTCACCAGCAGGTAATGCTGTCTAGCAAACTGTACCATCTAGCTTAGCTTTTTAAGATCCTAGTTTTGAGGCTGGGCGCGGTGGCTCACGCCTGTAATCCCAGCACTTTGGGAGGCTGAGGCGGGTGGATCATGAGGTCAGGAGTTCGAGACCAGCCTGGCCAACATAATGAAACCCTGTCTCTACTAAAAAATACAAAAAATTAGTAGGGCGTGGTGGTGGGCAGCTGTAATCCCAGCCACTCGGGAGGCTGAGGCAGGAGAATTGCTTGAACACAGGAGGCGGAGGTTCCAGTGAGCCGACATCACGCCATTGCACACCAGCCCGGGCAATAGCGCGAGACTCCTTCCCAAAAAGAAAATAAAAAATAAATTCTAGTTTTGAATCTGAAATAAGTTCATGCCTTACTTTTGGCTTTAGATTCTTTAAAGTAGAGAGTCTGTTTTTGCACAGTTGGGTTGAAAAGATTTTTGGGAAGATGATAGCTCTGAATCCCCAAAGTTCTTCATCTGATGTTCTTAATTCATCCTTTGAGTTCCTGCACAGATATCACCTCCTCAGTGAGATATTTTTTGACTATCCACTGGCACGAGGCCCAAAATTGGATCAGTCTGAGACAGGAGTAACGTACTTAACTTTTCTGAGCCTCAGTGAGGCATCATCCCCTCTGAGTCTCAGTATTTCTGCCACTTGAATGTAAGCTCCATTGAAGCAATCGTTTTGTTCTCTTTTGTTCACTGTGTTTCCAGAACCTAAAATAGTGCTTGGTGCTTCGTAGGTCTTAAAAATGTATTTGTTAAAATAATTAATGAATCTATAATATGAAAATAAAAATTCTAATGATGCATAGGATTGCTGGGAGTTAAATAAGATCATGTAAAACACTTAAGAGTATGCCTGGCACATAATGGTTATCAATAAACAGAGGCCTTTCTGATGATCATGTGACTGAGGCATGATTGTATAGGTACCAGTCTATCTTGGTCGTAAATTGCAAGCTCTTCTCACTTCATCATTCTTCCTACTTCAGGGTTTGGTAGGTGTCTGGGGCCCAGCCTGTGGTGAATGTGTGCACAGTTGAATGAGTCAGTTGCTTCTGTTTGTTCCTCCAGGTATTTCATCGCTGATTTGCCCCACTTGCAGGACAGCTTTGTGGACAAACTCCTTGACCTTATGCCCCGACTCATGACATCCAAACCTGCAGAAGTGGTCAAAATTCTACAGACCATGCTGCGACAGAGTGCCTTTCTGCATCTCCCACTTCCAGAGCAGGTCAGGGTCTATTTGGCCCCTGTAGGCCAAATCTGTCCAGACGGTCAAAAATCTTTACCTTGGTGATCTTCTTTGACCAATGGAGCAGCTGGGCTAGGCTCTTCCTCTGAGTGGCTCCCACATGCCCACTCATTAGATAAGGAGACAGAAAAAAGATGTGTTTTCTTGTCCAGGAATGACCTGGCTTTAGAATCATAGGATTTTCCTCTGGCTTACAGATCCACAAAGCCTCAGCCACCATCATTGAGCCAGCGGGCGAGTCAGACAACCCTTTGCAGTTTAACTCTGGGTTGGTGGTTGCCCTGGATGTTGATGCAACCCTGGAGCATGTGCAGGATCCTCAGAACACTGTTAAGGTCCAGGTCTGTCGGGTTTGGGTCCTCGTGGAGCTTCTAGACTGACCTTGTGTTGAAGTATTTAATGTTAGTACCCCTATAGTCTCTACTTGAGGGACAGAAACTGGGACAGGAGAAGAAATGAGCCTCTGTGGGAAAGAACCTAGGCTTGAATCTCAACTACTGCTGAGTGTGGTTTGAAGCAAGTTACTTTAAACTCTGAGTCTCAGATTCTACAACTGACAAATAGGAGGAGTTGACATAAAGAGATAATGAATTTAAAGCCCCCAGGACCCAGTAAGGGTTCAGTAAATGATAAGACCTTTTCTAATCTTGTAATGTGACGTTAAGATTTGGTCTTTTATTACAGAAAACTATAATAAACAAGTTCCTTTCAGGCTGTGAGTCAGTCAGCTGGCAGATAAAATTTATGGATGGGAAAAAGCGATTACTAGGAAATATTCTTTCCCAAGTTACATAGATGTAATAGAGACACATGAGAAATGTAGTAGAGACACTAATCAATTCAGACAGTGCAGTTAAGCCCCACAAAGAGTACTACTCCTTCATTCATCCATCTGTCCACTCATTCATCCTTCCTTCCATCCATTTGTGCAATTGTGTTTACTCTATTGCATGCACTAAGTGCTGTGGTTGCCAAGGTAAATATATCACAGTTCTTCCTCTCGGGGTGTACACAGTTTCATTCAGAGACATACAAATGGGCAGGCAATTATAAAACAGGGTTTGGTGAGTAGACATGCACAGGATGGGTCATCTCCTAGACTGTCTCCTAAAAAACCCTTTCAAAGCACCTCTACCACATGCAGGGCTAAACCTTTTAGAGTATTCAATTTGGAGTGTGGTGGAGGCTCAGGAAAGGAAAGGAGAAGGGCACAAGGGATATGAGAGAAGGGCCAAAGGGATATGAGTCAAAGCAGGGATGCAAGCACTGGCAGGAAGTACAATAAGGGGACAGAAAAATAGGCTGGAACAGGCAGAGAAGGCTTCCTGGAGGAGGTAAGGATGAATCAGGCCTTGAAGATTACGCTTTTCGGCTATGGTGACAATAAAGGAACGGGCCTTCTGGCTTCCAAGCAGAAATTATTATAAATTATGAGACCTGCAGAGAACTAGTTCTGAGCTAGCTGTGAAGTTGTATTGCATATTGGAGTGTTTTTGTTTTGTTTTGTTTTTTTCCACATTAGTGGTTGTCCACCTTCACTGCACTTTAGGATTACTCAGAAAGCATTAAGAACAGATGAATAGGTGTCAGCCTACATTAATTAAATCAAAATCCTGAGAATAGGGCCTATGGGCACTAGTGTTTAAGAGTTCATAGGTGATTCTAATACGTAGTCAGTGATACCAGCAGAACTACTGTTTTACATTGTCCCTGAAAAAAAACTTCACTGATCACCTGAGTGTAAAGGAGATTGTAGGCAGGTTACTTAAGGGTCATCTCCTAGACTGTCTCCTAAACCCCCTTCAAAGCACATCTACCACACGCAAGGCTAAACCTTTTAGGTACCTTATAGGTAGAGGGACGGGAAACTCACTGCCCCATCGTGGGACAGGTCCAGTGCTTTGAAAGTGCCATCCAGTCCAGTCACCACACCCTGAGTCATTCCTCTGTTCCAGGCACTACTTACTTCAGGTGCTCGATAGAGATATAGCAGTAAACATGCCTCAGAGATGACACTGAGATTACATTCCCCAATAAAATACTGTAGATCTGTTCTTTAAAGCAAAGCCTGCAGAACTCCATTCATTAACTATTTATTTTATTTTATTTTATTATTATTATACTTTAAGTTTTAGGGTACATGTGTACAATGTGCAGGTTTGTTACATATGTATACATGTGCCATGTTGGTGTGCTGCACCCATTAACTTGTCACTTAGCATTGGGTATATCTCCAAATGCTATCCCTCCCCCCTCCCCCCACCCCACAACAGTCCCCGGGGTGTGATGTTCCCCTTCCTGTGTCCATGTGTTCTCATTGTTCAATTCCCACCTATGAGTGAGAACATGCGGTGTTTGGTTTTTTGTCCTTGTGATAGTTTGCTGAGAATGATGGTTTCCAGTTTCATCATGTTTTATGGCTGCATAGTATTCCATGGTGTATAAGTGCCACATTTTCTTAATCCAGTCTATCGTTGTTGGGCATTTGGGTTGGTTCCAAGTCTTTGCTATTGTGAATGGTGCCGCAATAAACATACGTGTGCATGTGTCTTTATAGCAGCATGATTTATAGTCCTTTGGGTATATACCCAGTAATGGGATGGCTGGGTCAAATGGTATTTCTAGTTCTAGATCCCTGAGGAATCGCCACACTGACTTCCACAATGGTTGAACTAGTTTAGAGTCCCAACAACAGTGTAAAAGTGTTCCTATTTCTCCACATCCTCTCTAGCACCTGTTGTTTCCTGACTTTTTAATGATCGCCATTCTAACTGGTGTGAGATGGTATCTCATTGTGGTTTTGATTTGCATTTCTCTGATGGCCAGTGATGATGAGCATTTTTTCATGTGTTTTTTGGCTGCATAAATGTCTTCTTTTGAGAAGTGTCTGTTCATATCCTCCGCCCACTTTTTGATGGGGTTGTTTGTTTTTTTCTTGTAAATTTATTTGAGTTCATTGTAGATTCTGGATATTTGCCCTTTGTTGGATGAGTAGGTTGCGAAAATTTTCTCCCATTTTGTAGGTTGCCTGTTCAGTCTGATGGTAGTTTCTTTTGCTGTGCAGAAGCTCTTTAGTTTAGTTAGATCCCGTTTGTCAATTTTGGCTTTTGTTGCCATTGCTTTTGGTGTTTTAGACATGAAGTCCTTGCCCATGCCTATGTCCTGAATGGTATTGCCTAGGTTTTCTTCTAGGGTTTTTATGGTTTTAGTTCTAACATGTAAGTCTTTAATCCATCTTGAATTAATTTTTGTCTAAGGTGTAAGGAAGGGATCCAGTTTCAGCTTTCTACATATGACTAGCCAGTTTTCCCAGCACCATTTATTAAATAGGGAATCCTTTCCCCACTGCTTGTTTTTGTCAGGTTTGTCAAAGATCAGATGGTTGTAGATATGTGGTGTTATTTCTGAGGACTCTGTTCTGTTCCATTGATCTATATCTCTGTTTTGGTACCAGTACCATGCTGTTTTGGTTATTGTAGCCTTGTAGTATAGTTTGAAGTCAGGTAGCATGATGCCTCTGGCTTTGTTCTTTTGGCTTAGGATTGACTTGGCGATGCGGGCTCTTTTTTGTTCCATATGAACTTTAAAGTAGTTTTTTCCAATTCTGTGAAGAAAGTCATTGGTAGCTTGATGGGGATGGCATTGAATCTATAAATTACCTTGGGCAGTATGGCCATTTTCACGATATTGATTCTTCCAACCCATGAGCGTGGAATGTTGTTCCATTTGTTTGTATTCTCTTTTATTTCATTGAACAGTGGTTTGCAGTTCTCCTTAACATCTGTTAAGGAGATTAATTAACATCTGTTAATGAGACCTTTCCTCGATTAAATATTCTGTCATTGGAGATTGGTACATTTCTTTGTCAAGGGCAACAGTTTTTAAGCCATTCACATACACACGTTCCTGGGAGAAGTGACACTGGGGAGATTTTTTTTTTAACCCCTGAAAATAAACATATCGGAGAATACATTCATGATCTCTCCACAGGTTCTAATAAAGGGGGGAGACCTGGGTTCTGCACCTGGCCTTGTTGTCGTGGTTACGGTTGCTTTCAGGCGATGGCACCTGTTCTCCAGGTGTGTCTGGACTTCTACTTGCTTTAGCCATATATGGCCACCAGGGGGAGCAGTCACCCCACAGTTGCCTGGAGCGCCCTCTCTCTCCAAATTCACAGCTTGAAATGTCACCTGTGGCCGTCTGCGGTCATCCACGGTTTTCTTTCTTACCTTTTCTTTCTTTCTTTCCTTCCTTCCTTCCTCCTTCCCTTTTTCCTTCGTTCCTTCCTTCCTTTTTTTTTCTTTCTTTCTCTTTTCTTTCTTTCTTTCCCCCTCTCTCTCTCCCTTCCTTCTTTGTCTTTCTTTCGATCCTTCCTTCCTTCTCCCCTCCCCTCCCCTCCTCTCCCCTTCCCGACAGAGTTTCGCTCTTGTTGCCCAGGCTGGAGTGCAGTGATGTGATCTCAGCTCGCTGCAACCTCTGCCTCCTGGGTTCAAGCAATTCTCCTGCCTCAGCCTCCCAAGCAGCTGGGATTACAGGTGCCCACCATCAAGCCTGGCTAATTTTGTATTTTTAGTAGAGACGGGGCTTCCCCATGTTGGCCAGGCTGGTCTTGAACCCCTGACCTCCGGTGATCCATCCTCCTCAGCCTTTCAAAGTGCTGGGATTACAGGTGTGAGCCACCACAGCTGGCCATCCATGGCTATTTTCACCATGCCTCGCTTTCCCCTGTTGGTTCAGTCACCCTCAAAGGACAGAGCCTCTGTGCTATAGGCCTCCCCCCAGATCTGTGCATTGCCTAATATGACTGGACCCTCCTCCCCACTCCCCATCCTGCCCCAGCTCCTCTGATGACATCATCGGCTCTGGAGCCACCACTCAGCCTCTTGCAGGAGGGTCCCCTCTCTCCAACCCCACTGGCCCCTCAGGACCCCACATCCCCCGGCACCGTCTGGTGCAGGGACTCTTTTTTCTCCTATACCCCACGTACTGTAGAATCTAAGGTAGGGTCTATATCCTTCATGGTTCCTGTGGTCGTGTCCAAGACCTTTCTCTTTCAAAGGCAGCGGAGTCACCTGCTGTCCCTCTCAGTGACTGCTGTCTGCTGGTCTTCCGCTTGCACCTCGTCATCCATTGAGGACTTGTGTTCCTGGCTGACTGCGTTCTCCATCCTTCTTGCCGTCTTGTAGAGCAGCAACCCCTCTACATTCCCCCAGCAGGTTTGCAACAGTGATTTCATACAAGACGTTGGTGTCGTCACCCACGTGGACAGGCCAGCCTACTCCGCATCTCTCTGGGCACTTAGACTGCTGCAGCTCCAGTGAGCTTTTCCAACATGCCTCTCAGCCACCACTCCCTGCCTGCGGTCACACCTGGGACCCTCCATCACCCAGAAAGGAGACTTCAGACAGCTCTCTGCTGACCTCTCTTCTGTTGCTCCAGAACTCTCCACTTGGCCTCCCCACCTCATTGTCACTCTCTCTGTGGTCATTGCCTTCCTTAATCATGGTTCATAATTAAAATCAACTCCTGCAGGGCGAGGTGGTTCACGCCTGTAATCCCAGCACTTTGGGAGGCCGAAGTGGGTGGATCACTTGAGGTCAGGAGTTCGAGACCAGCCTGGCCAAAATGGCAAAACCCCTGTCTCTACTGAAAATACAAAAATTAGCTGGGTGTGGTGGCAGGCGCCTGTAATCCTAGCTACTAGGGAGGCTGAGGCAGGAAAAATCGCTTGAATCCGGGAGGTGGAGGTTGCAGTGAGCCGAGATCACACCACTACACTCCAGCCTAGGCGACAGAGGGAGACTCCATCTCAAAAAAAGAAGAAAAAAAACCTCCTTTTTCTCTCTCTCTCCTGACATTGTTCCCCTGGGCAAGGGTGACATGAACAGGCTGGATCTCTTGCATCTGCAACTGGACAGCCAAGCATCACTGGGAAAGCACACACTCAGCTGCACTTTCACTTTATTCATCTATTTATTCATTTACTTATTTATTTATTTATTTATTTATTTATTTTAGTGACAGGGTCTCACTCTGTCACCCAGGCTGGAGTGCAGTGGTGTGATCAGAGCTCACTGCAGCCTCCATCTCCTGAAGCGATCCTCCCATCTCAGGTTCTGTGGGAGCTGGGATCACAGGCGTGCACCACACCATGCCCATCTAATTTTCTAATTTTCTATAGAGATAAGGTCTCGCCATGTTGCCTAGGCTGCTCTTGAACTCCTGGCCTCAAGCAATCCTCCTCACCTCAACACCCCAAAGTGCTGGGATTACAGGTGTGAGCCACCATGTTTGGCTGTACTTTGACTTTTTTTTTTTTTTTTGAGACGGAGTTTTGCTCTTGTCACCCACGCTGGAGTGCAGTGGCGCAATCTCAGCTCACTGCAACCTCTGTCTCCTGGGTTCAAGCAATTCTCCCACCTCAGCCTCCTGAGTAGCTGGGATTACAGGTGCCCACAACCCTGCCCAGCTAATTTTTATATTTTAAGTAGAGATGGAGTTTCACCATGTTGGCCAGGCTGGTCATGAACTCCTGGCCTCAGGTGATCCACCCATTTCAGCCTCTGAAAGTGCTGGGATTACAGGCGTGAGCCACCGCACCTGGCCTGGCTGGACTTTCACTTTAAATTCAGACTTCAAGTGGGCTTCCTGGCAACCCCTCTACATTCCCCCAGGAGGTTTGCAACAGCGATTTCATACTTCCTCTCTCTCTCTCCTCAAACCTCCTGTGCTTCCTTCCCTCCCTCCCTTCTGCTCAGCTGACACTCACTTCTCCAACATTACTAGAAGCCCTCAGAGTGAATGTTCTTATCTTCCCACCATCCACCGACTGTGTCTCTCTCTTCCTTCCACTGTCACTGTGTAATAATTGCCCTTCTGCGGCTGGGCATGGTGGCTCATGCCTGTAATCCCAGCACTTTGGGAGGCTGAGGTGGGAGGACTGCTTGAAGCCAGGAGCTTGAGACCAGCCTGGGCAACATAGTGAGACTCCATCTCTACAAAAAAGTTTAAAAATTAGCCATGGGCTGGGTACGGTAGCTCACGCCTGTAATCTCAGCACTTTGGGAGGCTGAGGTGGGCGGATCACCTGAGGTCAGGAGTTCAAGACCAGCCTGGCCAACATGGTGAAACACTGTCTCTATAAAAATACAAAAATTAGCTGGGCCTGGTGGCATGCACCTGTAATTCCAGCTACTTGGGAGGCTGAGGCAGGAGGGTCACTTGAACCCAGGAGGCGGAGGTTGCAGTGAGCCAAGAATGCACCATTGCACTCCAGCCTGGGTGACAGAGCGAGACTGTGTCTCAAAAATAAAAATAAAAGTTAGCAAGGCATGGTGGTGTGCACCTGTGGTCCCAGCTACTCAGGAGGCTGAGCTGGGAGGATCACTTGAGCTCACGAGTTCAAGGCTGCAGTGAGCCATGATTGGGTCACTGCACACCAGCCTGGGTGATGGAGTGAGACCTTATCTCTCAAAAAAAAAAAATGTCCTTTTGATTTATGAAGCCTCGGCCCGGCCTGAGCTGTGGGTTCCTATTCCTTCTGGCTTTCTCAAGCTTTTCTTGTCCACTGGAAGCTTTCACTAGAGGGTAGAGGACTGGCTCTGTAATTGGGGACCTAATTGATGCTCTGTTTTCTGTAAAGAGGAATTTTTCTAATTGCCACTTAGCAGGGAGCCTGGCTAGGGATGGAATCTGGGGGCCTTACTATTGGTTCACCCTCCTGGGGACCCCTCATCTTTGGTCCATGCATATTCTCCTTGGGGTGGCATCCTGGAATTAATGATCTCTTACACATCACAGCACCTCGAAGCTCCCCCAGACACATCCTCATCCAGCCTCTCACTCTGATGCCATCATTGTCTAGGGACACCTCCGCATAGGTCCATACCATGTCTCAAGCTGCTCATCTCAACAACATTTGTGCTCCAGGAGGTGGAGGTGCCCTAGGGGGCTCCTCACCAAGGGAGTGGGCAGGTGATCCCAGCACTTTGGGAGGCCGAGGCAGGTGGGTCATTTGAGGTCAGGAGTTCATGATCAGCCTGACCAACATGGTGAAACCCTATTTCTGCTAAAAATACAAAAAAATTAGCCAGGCCTGGTGGTGCATGCCTGTAGTCCCAGCTACTCAGGAGGCTGAAGAGAATCGCTTGAACCTGTAAAGCGGAGCTTGCAGTGAGCCGAGATCACACCACTGCCCTCCAGCCTGGGTGACAGAGTGAGATTTAATAAAAGTGTATGCATTGAACCCATTGGGAGGTTTATCTGTTAGGGAAATGGGAATAACTGGGAATCACACAATCAGAGAGACAGGAGTCGGGACTTGCATGGGGCTGTGATGCCGTGGCCTGTGGGTCTGGGTGGGGGAATGTGATGCACTCTGCCCTCCCCCTAGGCCCCATCCCTCCTGTCTAACTCAGTTGTCCTTACCTGTGGCTCTCAGGCTCCCCTGCAAAGGCACATTGTGGCTGCAGCTTCCAGCTTCCTCAGAAGCAAACATCCTTTGGTAAAAGCCAAGAGGTCAAGCCGGGCTTGGTGGTTCACTCCTGTAATCCCAGCACTTTGGGAGGCTGAGTATCACGAGGTCAGGAGTTCAAGACCAGTCTGGCCAACATAATATAACAGTATAACGTATAATAGTCGAATGCATAAAAAAAATTACAATGACAGCAAAAAAAACAAAACAAGACCAAAAAAAGACAAATCAGACTTACCTTTCTCCGTGCTAGATTTCTAGGAGGCCACACTCTTCTCTTCCTGTTCCTCCCCTAAATAAAAATGGAGCACAAAATTATGACTACAGATTTCTTCAAGAAAGACCTGTAGATTCTGCAAGAGCAAGATCCTAGAAAGAGAGAATGAGGAAATGAACATTGAAGTCCAGACACAAAACAGGAAAGAGGGAGACTGGCTTCACTCTCTCCTGGTGGGACTGTCACAAAAACGAGTCAGAGGCAAAATTTCCTAAGACTGCTTCCTCTAGGTAATGCTTTAGTTTTACCCCCTTCAAGCACTGCAGAGTCAGCATATTCTTTTCTGTGGCTTCAATTCTGCAAGATTCAGGTCTGATAGGAAATCATGTAAACCTGATTAGCAGAGTACAAAGAAAAGAGAGAGGCAGAGGGAGAGGGAAAGAGAATCTCTTGGGAGAACTAAATGAATAGACACAGAAGCAGACTCAGGCGGGCGCAGTGCCTCACGCCTGTAATCCCAGCACTGGGAGGCCAAGGCTGGTGGATCACTTGAGATCAGGAGTCTGAGACAAGCGTGGCCAACATGGTGAAACCCTCTCGCTACTAAAAATACAAAGATATTAGCCAAGTGGTAGTAGCATGTGCCTGTAAGCCCAGCTATTTGGGAGGCTGAGGCAGGAGAATTGCTGAACCCAGGGGGCAGATGTTGCAGTAAGCCCAGATCACGCCACTGCACTCCAGCCTGGGCAATAGAGAGACACTCCGTTTCAAAAGAAAAAAAAATTCACCGGATGTGGTGGCACATGCCTGTGGTCCCAGCTACTCGGGAGGCTGAGGCAGGAGAATTACTTGAACGCCAGAGGTGGAGTTTGCAATGAGCCGAGATCGTGTCTCTGCTCTGCAGCCTGGGTGATAGAGCGAGACTCCATCTCAAAAATAAATAAATATATAAATACAGGGGACAGAGACAACAGCATTCCAAGATGAATCAGAGAAAGGATCTGCTGCCCAATTACAAGGAAGCAAAGACAACAGTTTGTGTGTGTGTGTGTGTGTGTGTGTGTGTGTGTGTGTGTGTGTGTGCGCATGTCTGAGACAGGGTCTTGCTCTGTCACCCAGGCTGGAGTGCAGCAGTGCAATCATAGCCCACTGCAGCCTAGAACTCCTGGGCTTAAGCAATCCTCCTACCTCAGCCTCCTGAGTAGCGGGGACTACAGATGCACACCACCATGCCCCGCTAAGTTTTTATTTTTTGTAGAAACAGGGTCTCGCTATGTTGCCCAGGCTGACATTGAACTCATGGCCTCAAGGAATCCTCCCACACTGGCCTCCCAAAGTGCTGAGATGACAGCCGTGAGCCACCACACTGGGACTGCAGTTTCTTATAAAGTTAAACATATACTTATCATAGGACCCACCAAGGCTGGGCGCGGTGGCTCATGCCTGTAATCCCAGCACTTTGGGAGGCTGAGGCAGGTGGATCACCTGAGGTCAGGAGTTCAAAACCAGCCTAGCCAACATGGTGAAACCCCCGTCTCTACTAAAAATACAAAATTTCCAGGCATGGTGGCACATGCCTGTAATCCCAGCTACTAGGGAGGCTGAGGCAGGAGAATTGCTTAAACCCAGAAGGCAGAGGTTGCGGTGAGCCGAGATTGCGCCATTGCACTCCAGCCTGGGCAGCAAGAGTGAAACTCCATCTCAAAAAATAAAAATTAAAAAGACACCCAGCAATCCCAGTCTTGGAGTTTTATCCAAGAGAAATGAAAACATATTCATAGCAGCTTTATTTGTGACTGCCCAACACAAGAAAAAACCCAAATATTCACCAACAGATAAATAGCTAAACAAATTGTGGTATATCCCTACGATGGAACACTACTCAGTAATAAAAAGAAATGAATTACTGATACATGCTACAACATGGATAAATATTTTAAAAAATATACCAATAGGGCTGGGCGCGGTGGCTCATGCCTGTAATCCCAGTACTTTGGGAGGCTGAGGCAGGTGGATCACGAGATCAGGAGATTGAGACCATCCTGGCTAACACGGTGAAACCCCGTCTCTACTAAAAATACAAAAAATTAGCTGGGCACGGTGGCACATGCCTGTAGTCCCAGCCACTCAGGAGGCTGAGGCAGGCGAATCGCTTGAACCCAGGGGGCAGAGGTTGCAGTGGGCCAAGATTGCGCCACTGCACTCCAGCCTGGGGGACAGAGCAAGACTCAGTCTCAAAAAAAAAAAAAATTATACCGATGGAAGGCCAGGCACGGTGGCTCACACCTGTAATCCCAGCACTTTGGGAGGCCAAGGCAGGCAGATTACCTGAGGTCAGCAGTGACCAGCCCAACCAACATGGTGAAACCCTGTCTCTACTAAAAATACAAAATTATCTGGGCATGGTGGCGCATGCTTGTAATCCCAGCTACTCAGGAAGCTGAGGCAGGAGAATCACTTGAACCCGGAAGGCAGATGTTGCAGTGAGCTGAGATTGCGCTACTGCACTGCAGCCTGGGCAACAGGAGCGAAACTCCATCTCAAAAAAAAAAAATTATACCGATGGAAAGAAGCCAGACACAAGAGCACATACTGTTTCAGTTATATGAAACACTAGAAAATACAAATGCCCTAACAACAAAGATCAGATCAGTAGGGCTGGGGGTTGGGACGGGGCTGACTGGAAAGAGGCCCTAGGAACCTTCTGGGTGATGGAAATGTTATTGTGATGATTACAAGTATGAATAAATTTGTCAAAATTCATCAAAATGCACACTTAAAGAGTGTATTTTATTACATTTAATTATATAGCAATAAAACACTGGCTTTAAAAAAGTCTCTGATAAGAGGCTGGTCTAGGCAAACTTGAGGATCCCTTCCACCCTAATTCTAGCCCAAATATTTTCTTTTTTTTTCTTTTTTTCTTTTTTTTTTCCTGAGATGGAGTCTCACTCTTGTCGCCCAGGCTGGAGTGCAGTGGCGCGATCTTAGCTCACTGCAATTTCCACCTCCCAGGTTCAAGCAATTCACCTGCCTCAGCCTCCTGAGAGCTGGCATTATAGGCACACACCACCATGCCCAGCTAATTTTTTGTATTTTTAGTAGACAGGGTTTCACCATGCTGGCCAGGCTGGTCTTGAACTCCTGACCTCAGGTGATCTGCTCGCCTCAGCCTCCCAAAGTGCTGGGATTACAGGTGTGAACCACCATGCCCAGCTAGTCCAAGTATTTTCTTAAAAATAAAATAAAACAAGGCCGGGCATGGGGGCTCACCCCTGTAATCCCAGTACTTTGGGAGGCCGAGGTGAGAGGATTGATTGAGCCCAGGTGTTTGAGACCAGCCTGGGCAACATAGTGAGACGTCATCTGTACAAAAAATAAAATAAATGAGCCAGGCATGGTGGTGCATACTTGTAGTCCCAGCTACTTGGGAGGCTGAGGGGAGGATCACTTGAGCTCAGGAGTTTGCGACTGCAATAAGCTATGATTGCACCACTGCACTCCAGCCTGGGTGACCAAGTGAGACCCTGTCTCTTAAAACAAAAAAGAAAAGAAGGAAGGTAGGTATCAGGCATATATTAAATCATCTGAAAATTTTAAAAAGTCCTGATTACTTTGTTTCACCGACATGAAAGTGACAGGACTATGGTCATGATATTGAAAACCTACCTGGCACTGTAATACAGGAATATTGGATTTTATTATTTTCCTCCCTGATTCTCATTCCAATATCAGTCATCAAATATTTAAAAAGTAATAATATGCAAACATACGTAAAGAAAATATAGTGGCCAGGTACAGTGGCTCATGCCTGTAATCCCAGCACTTTGGGAGGCTGAGGCGGTGGATCGCTTGAGGCCAGGAGTTTGAGACAAACCTGGCTAACATGGTGAAACCCTGTCTCTACTACAAATATAAAAATTAGCTGGGCATGATGGCATGCGTCCAGCTACTCGGGAGGCTGAGGCAGGAGAATCCCTTGAACCCCGTAGAGGGAGGTTGCAGTGAGCCAAGATCGCGCCACTGCACTTCAGCCTGGGCGACAGAATGAGACGGTCTCAGAAAAGAAAGAAAAGAAAAGAAGAGAAAAAAAGAAAAAGATAGTAAATACATTTAATGAATGAAAGCATGATTAACTTAATTCCCAACTTGAAGTTGTATCGTTATTAACAATGTACCTGGTAAGTACTTATTTTAAAATTCTAATTCTAATTCTAATGGGAAAGGAGACGACAAAGTCGGACACTTCAACTCTGAGTTTGGGATGGCCCCAATTTTGCACTGAGAGTGCTCCTGCGCAGGACTGCATCATTCATTCATGCTGTTTGGAAACAGGCAGCTGCTGAGAGATTAGACAGTGAAGCTACCCCAAAAAATAAATCAATGAAAAGAAAGCCTGGAGATTCTAGGAAATGATCTGCCTATGCGACTAAGCAGAATAAATGTAGACTCAGACAGGAAGCCTGGAAGAGGAAAAGGAAAGTCGGCGAAATCAGAAAGTTGGGCACAGGGAAGGCACAAGGCAGGGACTTACCCTGCGTCCTGGGCCTCCGGGGCTCCTGCGGCTGCAACTTTCTGGCTGCAGGGGGCCAGGGCCGGCTCCGACGCTCAGGCGAGCAGTTCCCAGGGAGGTGAGCTGTGCAGACCGGCAGGGCCTCCACTGAACACTCTCCTGAGATCTGCTGATAAGCGGGGTGGCTTCTGATCAGTTCTGAAAGTGCCTCCGTAAACTGGAGACACCAGATCTCTGCTCTGCAAAGCCGGGCTGGGAGGACGCCTTGGCCCCGCCCCAGGGTAGGGGCTCCGCGAGCCTGCCCCCTCCTCCTCCGGGGGCTCAGCGCCTGCAGACGGAGAGGTGCACCGTGCGGAGTACGCTTTCTCGGAAAGCCGCGCCCTGTGGCACCTTTGCTTTGCAGAGGAGGAACAAAAGAGCTCCTGGACCTTCAGAAGCTGCTCTGCGCTGCCGCCACCGCCACTTGGGATAAGAGTAGGTGAGGGAAGCAAGGGACCGCGGCACTGATTCTGCAATTAATGAAATCCCCGTGGGGGTCCTCTTTTGAAATCCAGGTTTGACCTATTTGGCCTATTTTTAATTTTTATTATGTTTTTAAATAGAGATTGGGGGGGGGGGGTTCTCACTGTGTTTCCCAGGCTGTGCTCGAACTCATGGGCTGAAGCGATCCTCCCTCCTCAGCCTCCCAAAGTGTTGGGATTACAGGTGTGAGCTACTGCGCCCAGCCTATTTCTTTCTGTTTCAAAAATTTCTGGCCCGGCGCAGTGGCTCAAGCCTGTAATCCCAGCACTTTGGGAGACCGACACAGGTGGATACCTGAGGTCAGGAGTTTCAGACCAGCCTGGACAACATGGCAAAACTCCGTCTCTAACAAAAATGCAAAAATTAGCGGGGCATGGTGGCGCATGCCTGTAGTCCTAGCTACTTGGGATGCCAAGGCAGGAGAATTGCTTGAACCTGGGAAGAGGAGGTTGCAGTGAGCCAAGATCATGCCACTGCACTACAGCCTGGGCAACAGAGTAAGACTCCCTCTCAAAAAAAAAAAAAAATTTATCCCATGTGTCACTTGCCCAGCTCCTTGTATGTTAACTACAACAAATAAGAGGTGTTTCCCCCAAACATTTACCACTGGCGTTAGCTGGGTGGAGCTGGGCATCAAGGTCCACTCTAAAACACAACCTGAAACCTCAGAGGCTGACAGTCTGCACTCCAGGCTCACTCTAAGTTGCTCACCCACACAGAGGATGCAATCCCTGGGGCAGGACACATGGTCACAGCATCCCTGCCCTTAGCTACAGGACCCTCCCCACCAAAACACAATCCTTTTTTTTTTTTTTTTTTGAGACCGAGTCTCCCTCTGTCACCCAGGCTGAAGTGCAGTGGTGCTCACTGCAACCTCCGCCTCCTGGGTTCAAGTGATTCTCCTGCCTCAGCCTCCCTAGTAGCTGGGATTACAAGTGCATGCCACCACGCTCAGCTAATTTTTGTATTTTTAGTAGAGACAGCGTTTCACCATGTTGGCCAGGCTGGTCTCGAACTCCTGACCTCAAGTGATCTGGCCACCTTGGCCTCCCAAACTGCTGGGATTACAGGCATGAGCCACTGTGCCTAGTCACCAAAACACAATTCTATCCGGTAACAAGAGGCCTGATGCTCTTGGATTGGATGTGCCCTATATTCAATACTTCCAGATTTTGAGGCCAGGCTCGGTGCTCCCGCCTGTAATCCCAGCACTTTGGGAGACCAAGGCAGGAGGATTGCTTGAGCCTAGGAATTTGAGACCAGCCTGGGCAACAAAGTAAGGCCCTGTCTTTATTATAAAACTAAATAAATAATATTTCCAGATTTTATTAGTAAGAAAATGGTTGCAAGTTTTTGGGGACATCCAGTTTAATATCTGCCAGTGAGGCAGAAAATTTAAAAATAAATATGCATTCATTCACTTCAAGAAAAGTAGCAGGCAAGGCAAAGGTTAAAAGGAAAAGAAACAAGTTTTCCTCTGCTTAGCAGCTCACTTAAAGGACAGTTATAAAATAACGCTGTCCGAAAAGCCAAGACCAAAGGAACAGGCTCCAGACACCTCTCCCTCTTCCAGAGCAAGGTTGAAAGAAAAAAAAAGGAGAAAGACAAATTACTTTACTGTTACTCTCCTTTCTCTAGCTTTTTTTTGTTTTTTGTTTTTGTTTTTGTTTTTTTTTGAGACAGAGTCTCACTCTGTTGCCCAGGCTGGAGTGCAATGAATGGGATGATCTTGGCTCACTGCAACCTCCGCCTCCCGGGTCCAAGCGATTCTCCTGCCTCAGCCTCCCAAGTAGCTGGGATTACAGGCATGTGCCACCATGCCCGGCTATTTTTTTTGTACTTTTTTAGTAGAAACAGGGTGTCATCATTGGCTGGACTGGTCTGGAACTCCTGACCTCAAGCGATCCACTGCCTCGGCCTCCCAAAGTGCTGGGATTACAGGTGTGAGCCACTGTGCCCAGCCACTCCTTTCCCTAGCCTCTTAAGCGTGACTGTGTTTTACAAATGTCTGTATTTAGCCAGTTCTTGTTTTTCTTTCGATGCAGCTACAAGGCCACCAGCTATGCAAGGCCACAAGTTATGCACTATATGATTAACTGCCTTTGTTTTGCTTTTGTAAGCCTGCTTATAAACCCCCCACCTCTGTCTTTGTTCTAGGCTCAGCTTTTTAGATGTGAATCCACTGAGCCAGTGCTTACCTTAAAATGAATATCTTCCTGTGTTCCCATATCAGTATCTCTGTTCCTCAGTTTACCATAACACCAAGTCTGTGGGAAGTGGTTCTGATAAAGGATTCAGAGGATGAATTCTGATATTTTGAAATAATGAGATTAAAAAATTATACAATTCATGGTGGGGTTCCTAATAGGGGTCTGAAATAACAATCTAGTCAAGAACCTGTATATATTTTGCTTTTGTTCTCTGTCACCCAGGCTGGAGTGCAGTGGAGCAATCTTGCAACCTCTGCCTCCCAGGTTCAAGCAATTCTTCTGCCTCAGCCACCCAAGTAGCTGGGATTACAGACGTACACCCATGCCTGGCTAATTTTTGTATTTTTAGTAGAGATGGGGTTTCACCATGTTGGCCAGGCTGGTCTCAAACTCCTGACTTCAAGTGATCTGCCCACCTCAGCTTCCCAAAGCTCTGGGATTACAGGCATGAGCCACTGTGCCCAGCCTGAAGTAGTTTTTTTAAAAGCATAATAAAGGAAACAAAATGTTAAACACCAAATGTTTGTATCTAAGTGTAAGTTGTAACTGAGAAGTTGTTTTGAGGGGAAAAGAAACTCAAGTATGTAAATGTGGATGGCTAGAAGAGTTACCTATTATTTGTATTTCATAAATGTTTAATATTAAATAGATTTCAGATAAAATATTTATATTTACCAAAATCTTGCTGGGTGTGGTGGTGCATACCTATAGTCCTAGCTACTTGGGAAGCTGAGGCAGGAGGATCATTTGAGCCCAGGAGTTCCAGGTTACAGTGAGCCGTCATCATGCCACTGTACTCCAGCCTGGGTAAAAAAGCGAGCCCTTGCCTCCAAAAAATTAATTAGTTAATTAATTAAAATAAAATCTGTTACCTCTTCATGGTCCTGGAATCCACCTCACACTCACACCTGTATTAATACTTGTGGGCATGAGATGGCAGTATTGTAGACGCTGTTTTGCTAAAGCATATCACATTAAAAATATATATATATAGTTGCCTAGAAGACACTAATGAGTGGTCACATATAGTGTAACAACCAGGAGGTAATCTTGCCAGACAAGGCAAAACTATGAAACAGATTAAAATATGCTTCATTAGGCTGGGCGGAGTGGCTCACGCCTGTAATCCCAGAACTTTGGGAGTCCGAGGTGGGAGGATCACCTGAGGTCAGGAGTTCGAGGCCAGCCTGGCCAACATGGCAAAACCCTGTCTCTACTAAAAATACAAAAAGTAGCCGAGCCTGGTGGCGGGCGCCTGTAATCCCAGCTACTCAGGAGGCTGAGGCAGGAGAATCACTTGAACCCAGGAGGCAGAGGTTGCAGTGAACCGAGATTGCGCCACTGCACTCCAGCCTGGGTGACAGAGCCAGATTCTCTAAAAAAAAAAACAAAAAAAGTTTAATTGCTGTTCTTACTGGAATAATAGCACATGTGAACCAAATACAATACAGCAAAATGAAGCCATAATAAAAATATTAGCAATTTATTTTGCAAAGTTTTTAATCACAATTGGTTAGTCAAAAGTAATGCACGTCATACTACTGTTCCTGAAGCTTCGAACTGCTGGGCTCAAGCAATCTTCCTGCCTCAGCCATCTAAGTAGCTGGGACCACAGGTGTGTGCCACCATGCCAGGCTGGTTTTTTATGTTTAGTAGAGCCTGGGTCTCATTATGTTGCCAAGACTGGTCTCCAACTCCTGGGCTCAAGCCCAAGTGTGATCCGCCTTACCCGGCTCTGAAAGGTTTTCTACAGATCACATTTTTTAAGCTAACAAATTTTCTTTTAATTTTTCTTTTTCTTTTTTTTTTTTTTTTAGACGGAGTCTCTCTGTGTTGCCCAGGCTGGAGTGCAGTGGCGTGATCTCGGCTGACTGCAACCTCTGCCTCCTGGGTTCAAGTGATTCTCCTGCCTCAATCTCCCAAGTAACTGGGATTACAGGCAGGCACCACCATGCCCAGCTAATTTTTGTGTTTTTAGTAGAGACGGGGGTTTCACCAGGTAGGACGGGCTGGTCTCAAACCCCTGGCCTCAGGTGATCTGCTCACCTCAGTCTCCCAAAGTGCTGGGATGACAGGAGTGAGCCACCGTGCCCAGCCACAAATTTTCTAATGGCTAATTGTGTTAGAATCATGTACTCCTTTTTAAAAAGTTATTCACTGATAATGGCCTTCTAAAGTATAGTAAATTGGAACGAACACTCCGGAAAACAATATGGTGTTAGTAACACTAAACACACGCAATTTATACAACCCAGCAATTCCACCTGAGGGAGACACTCAGGAGAAACTTTCATGAGTAGGCTGGGTGTGGTGGATCATGCTTCTAATCCCACCACTTTGGGAGGCCTAGGTGGGAGGATCGCTTGAGCCCAGGATTTCAAGACCACCCTGGGCAACATATTGAGACCTAATCGCTACAAAAAATAAACAACATTAGTGGGACGTGGTGGCACACACCTCAAGTCCCAGCTACTTGGCTGAGTTGGGAGGATGGCTTGAGCCTGGAGGTTAAGGCTGCACTAAGATCACGCCACTGCACTCCAGCCTGGGTGGCAGAGTGAGACTCTGTCTAAAAAAAAAAAAAAAAAAAAAAAAAGAGGCCAGGCACGCAGTGGCTCATGCATGTAATCCCAGCACTTTGGGAGGCTGAGGCAGGCGGATCACCTGAGGCCGGGAGTTCAAGACCAGCCTGACCAACATGGAGAAACCCCGTCTCTACTAAAAATACAAAATTAGCCAGGCGTATTGATGCATGCCTGTAATCCCAGCTACTGGGGAAGCTGAGGCAGGAGAATCGCTTGAACCCGGGAGGCAGAGGTTGCGGTGACCTGGGATCACGCCATTGCACTCCAGCCTGGGCAACAAGAGTGAAACTCTGTCTCAAAAAAAAAAAAAAGAAAGTTGTATGATTGGAGGAGCCACATATATAAGAATTTTTACAGCAATACTGTGAACATTCTCAGTTACTGTGATTACTGTGATACTCCAATAGCCATTGGAAACTTTAAAAAGAGAATATCATTTAATGTCATAAATGATAACTTACAACATAAACTGCAGGAGAGTAGTTACTTCTGAAAGTAAGAAAGGAAATGAGATTGAGAAAAGGTATGTAGAGTTAATCAATGGCATTATAGTAATAATGTTCCTTTAAGTAGGATAGTAGGTGTACAGATGCTTTTTGTATCTGTGTGTATAAAATATTTGCTAACAAATTTAATATTTCATATCAATATGTTAAATAGCAATACATTGCTGCCTGGGCACGGTGGTTCACACCTGTAATCCCAGCACTTTGGGAGGCCGGGGCAGGCAGATCACGATGTCAGGAGATCGAGACCATCCTGGCCAACATGGTGAAACCCCATCTCTACTAAAATACAAAAAAGTAGCTGGGCATGGTGGTCCACACCTGTAGTCCCAGCTACTTGGGAGGCTGAGGCAGGGGAATCGCTTGAACCCAGGAGGTGGAGGTTGCAGTGAGCCGAGATCGCGCTACTGCACTCCAGCCTGGTGACGGAGAAAGATTCCATCTCAAAATAAATAAATAAACAAATAATACCAATACATTAAAATAGCATGAATGTCTTAAAAGAACACAGTTTGAAATGTGATTTAATATAAACATTAGCATTCAAAATAAGTCACACCATGGAAATATGCCCATGATATGTCACATGAATAAAGGAAGTTGCAGAACATATATATAATGTGAGCCCCCATTTTTGAACAAATAAATCTCTACGTGTGTCTATATCCAGGTATGGTATATGGTTATACATCTATGTCTATACAGCTATATAAAAGATGAAACATTCATTTATTTATTTATTTTTATGTTTTTGAGACAGTGCGTGGCTCTGTCGCCGTCCAGGCTGGAGTGCAGTGGTGCAATCTCAACTCACTGCAATCTCCACCTTCCGGGTTCAAGCGCTGGGATTATAGACATGAGCCACCACATCTGGCCTACAGCTATCTTTATAATGGAAAAAGTGGGGGAAATTTATATTACAAAGCAATATGATTATAGTATAAGAACTGCAGCAATATTTGACCGAATCTTCCCCTTCCTCCTCCTAGAAATTATGCAAAGTGATAGGGAGACATAGTGGGGGGGAATGAGGCAGAAATCCCATATTCAGCAAAACTAGAAGACAAAAAGTCACTGGAGACTCCAAGACCTGCACAAGGGCTACCAAAGTTACACGCGAAGAGGCAGATGCAGATCCTAGGAAACACAACTAAAACAGACTCTCTGAAGATGAGCCGTTCATGCCACAGTCCAAAAATGTGTTGTTTGAAACAAGCACAGCAGAGCAGGGATAAAAAGAACTGAGGGCAAGGCTCAAACAAGCAGAAAGGGAGTTGAAACCCTTGTAATCCAAGGGGTGAAGGGCATCTCTCCTGGCCTGAGCATCTTATGGGCAGAGTTAAGGTCCTAACACCCAGCTCACTCTCCTAGGGAGGGCATGGGAAAAGAATCAGCCTTCCAAGTAAATTCAATGTAGGGTGTGTCACTAACATTCTATTTTGGCCAGCACGGTAGCTCATGCCTATAATCCAACCACTTTGGGAGGCTAAGGCAAGAGGATTGCTTGAGCCTAGGAATTTGAGACGAGCCTGGTCATCATAACAAGAATCTTTTTTTTTTTTTTTGAGATAGAGTCTTACTCTGTGGCCCAGACTGGAGCGCAGTGGCACGATCTCGGCTTACTGCAACCTCAGCCTCCCAGGTTCAAGCAATTTTCCTGCCTCAGCCTCCTGAGTAGCTGGGATTACAGGTGCACACCACCAAGCCCAGCTAATTTTTGTATTTGTAGTAGAGACGGGGTTTCATCATGCTGGTCAGGCTGGTCTTGAACTCCTGACTTCATCATCTGCCCATCTTGGCCTCCCAAAGTGCTGGTATTACAGGCGTGAGCCACTGTGCCTGGCCCTAAGACTCTATCACTTGAGAGAGAGAGAGAGAGAGAGAGAGAGAGAGAGAGAGAGAGAGACAGCCAGTCGCGCCTGTAATCCCAGCACTTTGGGAGGCCAAGGCAGGTGGATTGCTTGAGTCCAGGAATTTGAGACCAGCCTGGGTGGCATAGCAAAACCCCATCTCTGCAAAAAAATACCAAAAAAGGCTAGACATGCTGGCTCACGACTGTAATCCCAGCTACTCGGGAGGCTGAGGCACAAGAATCCCTTGAACCCTGGAGGTGGAGGTTGCAGTGAGCTGAGATCGTGCCACTGCACTTCAGCCTGGGCAACAGAGAGACTGTCTCAAAAAAAAAAAAAAGGTAGATGAAGAGCTCACCAGAAACACAGGGGCTGTGTGCCCTATGTGCAGTGATTGGTGGTGATGCTAGGGAGTACTGGACTGGGAGGCGAAGCCCTACAGGGCCAGTTTAGAACAGTGCAAAGAAAAAATAACAAAAATAAAACAAAACAAAAAATAGTACACAGCAAAGGAGGCAGAACTACACAAAAACTACCAAGAGCCACATTGAATGACACAGTCTGACTGTGGCAGCTGAAAACCTTCGTTTGCATTGAGAAGCTTGTAAAACTACCCTGGTCCCTCTTGTCTTTCCTTCAGAGAAGACCCTTGCAAATGATCGGTCCAGGAAAATACAACTCATTCTATAATGAATTAAAGAAAAAAGGAAGGGACACCTTTGCTATGGGCTGAATGAACTGTGTTCCCCCAAAGTCCATATCTTGAAGTCTTAACCCCCAATACCTCAGAATGTGACTATATTTGGAGACAAGGTTTTTGTTTGTTTGTTTGTTTGTTTGAGACCAAGTCTCACTCTGTTGCCAGGATGGAGTGCAGTGGTGTGATCTCAGCTCATTGCAACCTCCACCTCCTGGGTTCAAGCGATTCTCCTGCCTCAGCCTCCTGAGTAGCTGGGACTACAGGCGCCCGCCGCCATGTCCAGCTAATTTTTGTATTTTTAGTAGAGACGGGTTTTCACCATGTTGGCCAGGATGGTCTTGATCTCTTGACCTCATGATCTGCCCACCTCAGTGTCCCAAAGTGCTGGATTACAGATGTGAGCCACCTCACCTGGCACAGAGACAAGGTCTTTAAAGAGGTGATTATGTTAAAATGAGGTCTCTAAAGTGAGCCCTAATCTAATCTGACCTGTGTCCTTGTAAGAAGAGAAAATTTGGACATGGAGAGACATCAGAAACATGTGAGTGCACTGGGCACAGTGGCTCACACCTGTAATCCCAGCACTTTGGGAGGCCAAGGTGGGCGGATCACTTGAGGCCAGAAGTTGGAGACCAGCTGGGGCAACATGGCAAAACCCTGTCTCTAGTAAAAATAGAAAAATTAGCCGGGTGTGGTGTCCCACACCTGTAATCCCAGCTACTAGGGAGGCTGAGGCAGGAGAATTGCTTGAACTCAGGAGGCTGAGGTTGCAGTGAGCCAAGATTCAAAAAGATCTGTTTGGAAAAAAAAAATGAATTCTTTCCATGGAAGACAAACAAAAATACAAATACAGGAATTCATGGAAAAGATGACAAAATAAGACAAGGAGAAGAGACAAAACTGACAAAATCCAGGAAAGAAGCAGAAGGAAGCCGGGCACAGTGACTCAAACCTGTAATTTCAGCACTCTGGAAGGCCAAAGCAGAAGGATTGCTTGAGGCCAGGAGTTCAAGACCAGCATAGGCAACAAAGTGAAGCACTGTCTCCATGAAACATCAAAAAATTATCCAGGTGTGATGGCGAGTGCTTGTGGTCCCAGCTACACGGGAGGCTGAGGCAGGACAGCTTGAGCCCAGGAGGTTGAGGCTGCAGTGAAACATGTTCGTGCCACTGAACTTCAGCTTGGGCAATGGAGTGGGACCCTGTCTCAAAAAAAGAAAAAAAAATCAAAAGGAAGTAGAAGGGAAAAACATAACTATCATGCTGGGCATGTTGGCACATGCCTATAATGCCAACTACTCAGGAGGCTGAGGCAAGAGGATCACTTGAGCTCAGGAGTTCAAATCCAGCCTAGGAAACATATTGAGATGCCATCTCCAACAAATAGGTAAAATAACCATCACAGAAGTGAATATGAAACTAAAAAGGGCAAAAATAAAAGTGGACACTATGAAAAATATATTAACCAATATGGAGGATAAAAATGAGAAAAGCAAACAGTATAAACAAAAGGAATTAAATGAAATTAGAGAAAAAATGACAGCTGGCCAGGTGCGGTGGCTCATACTTGTTATCCCAGTACTTTGGGAGGCCAAGGTAGGCAGATCACCTGAGGTCAGGAGTTCAAGACCAGCCTGGCCAACATGATGAAACCCTGTCTCTACTAAAAATACAAAAATTAGCCAGGCGAGTTGGTACAAGCCTGTAATCCCAGCTACTTGGGAGGCTGAGGCATGAGAATCGCTTGAACTCAGGAGGCAGAGGTTGCAGTGAGCTGAGATGGCACCACTGCATTCCAGCCTGGGCAACAGAGCAAGACTCTGTCTCAAAAAAAAAAAAAAGAAAAAAAAAGATAGCTATACAAAACAGACCAAAGAGAGCCAACATATGCACAACTGAAATTTCCAAAGAAGATAACCAAACATCAGAACAAATAAGTATTTAACTGGGTGTAGTGACTTGAACCTGTAGTCCCAGCTACTGGGTAGGCTGAGGTAGGAGAATCACGTGAGGCCAGGAGTTCAAGGCTAGCTTCAGCAACAGAGTAAGACCCCCATCTCTAAAAATAAATAAATAAATATTTAAAGATATATAGGCTGGGCATGGTGCCTCATGCCTGTAATCCTAGCACTTTGGGAAGCCAAAGTAGGAGGATCACTTGAGGTCAGGAGTTTGAGACCAGCCTGGGCAACATGAGACTCCTCCCTCCCCACCCCAACCCTGTGTCTACAAAAAAAAAAATTCGCTGGGCTTGGTGGCGCACACATGTTGGGAGGCTAAGGTGGGAGGACGGCTTGGGCCCCAGGGGTGGAAGCTGCAGTGAGCTGTAGTCATGCCACTGCACTTCAGTCTGTGCAACAGAGCAAGACCTTGTCTCAAAAAAACAAATGAATAAAGTATGAGCCAGTGATTTTTTGTTTTAAAACAAGCCAAGCCATTATTCACACAGAAAGGCTACAAACGATAGTTTTGAACATATAGGAATTCTGGGTATATTTTGCCCATGGGAATATTTTTCTTTTTTTTTTTTTTTTTTTTTGAGATTGAGTTTCACTCCTGTTGCCCAGGCTGGAGTGCAGTGGCGCCATCTCAGCTCACCACAAACTTCTGCCTCTCAGGTTCAAGCGATTCTCCTGCCTCAGCCTCCTGAGTAGCTGGGATTACAGGCATGTGCCACCACACCCAGCTAATTTTGTACTTTTAGTAGAGATGGGGTTTCTCCATGTTGGTCAGGCTGGTCTCCAACTCGCAACCTCAGGTGATTCGCCTGCCTCAGCCTCCCAAAGTGCTGGGATTAACAGGTGTGAGCCACCGCGCCCAGCCTCCCATGGGAATATTTTTCTTGAGGAAACTGTTAACGAATAAACTTTACCCACCAATGTATGGCAAAGGGAACTTCAGCAAAGGGACAAGCAGGAGCATTGAGTGTATATAACTGCAAAACTAAGACTTAAACAAACCCAGGTTTGGGGGAGAAAAAACAGAACGTAAATGTTATCTACTCGACAATATAGAAATGATGCAATAGAAAATTTAGGAGGACAAAGATTATGGAAGAAGTGAAGTAGGGTGAGTTTTTGCTGGCTGTTTCATCTATAACAACTGAGAGTTAAAAGATATTACTTAAATCACATTTAATTAACAGTGAAAGAATATTAAGAAAAACAACATTGTTGGCTAAAATCAGATAATAGGTCAGTCACGGTGGCTCACATCTGTAATCCCAGCACTTTGAGAGGCTGAGGCAGGAGGATCACTTGAGGCTAGCTACTTGGGAGGCTGAGGTGAGAGGATCACTTGAGCCCAGGATTTCAAGGCTGCAGTGAGCTAATGATTGTGCACTGCACTTTATTTAGCCTAGGTGACACAGTGAGACTCCATGTCAAAAAATAAAAATAAAAGGCCAGGTGCGGTGGCTCATGCTTATAATCCCAGCACTTTGGGAGGCTGAGGTAGGCAGATCACCTGAGGTTGGGAGTTCGAGACCAGCCTGACCAACATGGAGAAACCCCATCTCCACCAACAATAAAAAATTAGGCATGGTGGCGCATGCCTGTAACCCCAGCTACTCAGGAGGCTGAGGCAGGAGAATCGCTTGAATCCAAAAGTTGAGGTTGTGGTGAGCTGAGATAGCTTCATTGCACTCCAGCCTGGGCAACAAGAGTGAAACTCTGTCTCAAAAAAAAAAAAAAAGAATTCTTGAATCCATAATGATACAAATTCATTCATTCACTCATTCATAGAGGAGAAGGGAAAGTTCTCCTTTACAGTAGAATTCCAACCAATAAATGTATAATGAATGATGAAAACAGAAAATTGGCCAGGTGCAGTGCCTCACTCCTGTAATCCTAGCAGTTTGGTAGGCTAAAGTGGGAGAATCGCTTCAGGCCAGGAGTTCAAGACCAGCCTGAGCAACATAGCAAGACCTTGTCTCAAAAAAAAAAAAATCAGCCAGGCACGATGGTGGATCACTTGAGCCCAGGAGGTCAAGGTTGCAGTAAGCAGTGGTTGCGCCACTGCACTCCAGCCTGGGCAACCAGAGTGAGACCCTATCTCAAAAACATATATAAAATAAAATAAAAAATTAATGGAAAATTACCACTTGCAAACTGTCAGGTCTGAAATTTGATTTTACCCTACTTACAAACTAATAAATTAGCCTCTTGCTTGTTTTATGGATGTGGCCAAAGAAACAAGACTGCTGGCCAGGCGCAGTGGCTCACACCTGTAATCCCAGGACTTTGGGAGTCTGAGGCGGGCAGATCACGAGGTCAGGACATTGAGACCATCCTGGCCAACGTGGTGAAAACCCACCTCTACTAAAAATACAAAAATTAGCCGGGTGTGTGGTGCACGCCTGTGGTCCCAGCTATTCAGGAGGCAGAGGCAGAAGAATCGCTTGAACCCAGGAGACGGAGGCTGCAGTGAGCCGAGATCACGCCACTGCACTCCAGCCTGGGCGACAGAGCAAGACTCCATCTCAAAAAAAAAAAAGAGAGAAGGAAGGAAGGAAGGAGAGAGAGAGAGAGAAAGAAAGGAAAGAAAGAAAAAGAAAGAAAGAAAGAAAGAGAAAGAAAAGAAAGAAAGAAAGAAACAAACAAACAAACAAGACTCCTGGGTCAGAGACAAAGGACTTTATTGCTTACAGCATGGCAAGCAGCGTAGGCAGCAGGATATTTGCATCAGTTCCCCTTTCCCTCCAACTTCCATGGGGTAACACAACGTGGCCCAGATGGATGCCTCAAAGATGGTGGGTTTGGATCACAGCTGAGGAACACTCAGCTCAGGGAATCTATTGTTTTTGTTGTTGTTGTTTTATTATATATTTTTTTATTTTTATTTTTTATTATTTTTTTGAGACAGAGTTTTGCTCTTGTTGCCCAGCCTGGAGTGCAATGGCGCAATCTCGGCTCACCGCAACCTCTGCCTCCCAGGTTCAAGCGATTCTCCTTCCTCAGCCTCCCGAGTAGCTGGGATTACAGGCATGCGCCATCATGCCCAGCTAATTTTGTATTTTTTTAGTAGAGATGGGGTTTCTCCATGTTGGTCGGGCTGGTCTTGAACTCTCAACCTCAGGTGATCTGCCCACCTCGGTGTTTTATTGTTTTATTTTTGTAGAGATGGGGTCTCACCATGTTGCCTAGGCTGGTCTTGAAATCCTTGCCTCAAAGGATCCTTGACTTGGCCTTCCAAAGTGCTGGATGGCTGGGCACGGTGGCTCACACTTGCAATCCCAGCACTTTGGGAGGTCAAGGAGGGTAAATCACCTGAGGTCAAGAGTTCGAGACCAGCCTGGCCAACATGGCAAAGCCCTGTCTCTACAAAAATACAAAAATTAGCCAGGCATGGTGGCGTGTGCCTGGAGGCTGATGCAGAAGAATCACTTGAACCTAGAAGGCGGAGGTTACAGTGAGCCGAGATCGCACCACTGCACTCCAGCCCGGGTAACAGAGTGAGAATCCATCTCAAAAAAAGAAAAGAGAAAAAAAAATCAAGGCTCATGCCTGTAATCTCAGCACTTTGAGAGGCTGAGGCGGGCGGATCACCTGAGGTCGGGAGATTGAGACCAGCCTGACCAATATGGAGAAACCCCGTCTCTACTAAAAAATACAAAATTAGCCGGGTGTGGTGCTGCATGCCTGTAATCCCAACTACTCAGGAGGCTGAGGCAGGAGAATCACTTGAACCCAGGAGGCGGAGGTTGCAGTGTGCCAAGATCGCACCATTGCACTCCAGCCTGGGCAATAAGAGCGAAATTCCATCTCAAAAAAAAAAAAAAAATCAAAGTGCTGGGATTATAGACATGAGCCACTACGCCTGGCTGAAATCTATTGTTTTTATACCAAGCAGTGGGCAAGCCTGCTCTTTGTCCAAGAGGAAACATTAACTTGTCTCTGAAGATTACCAGCTGTGTAAACAACCCTGAGAAAAGGCCCAAATAAAGAGCATTCTTGGGCCTTGCATTCTTGGCACACCCAGCAAGACATGTAAGCACACAACAGATCCATGGAGGACTCTCAACACAAAGATCGCAATAAAAATTGTTTCAGGCAAAAATTATTGATGGGCTGGGTACAGTGGCTCAAGCCTGTAACCCCAGCAATTTGGGAGGCTGAGGCAGGAGGACTGCTTGAGCCCAGGAGTTTGAAACTCACCCAGGCAACAAAGCATGACATCTCTACACACACACACACACACACACACACACACACACACACACACACACACACGTTTTAAATTAGCCAGGCATAGTGATGCAAGCCTGTAGTCTCAGCTACTCAGGAGGCTGAGATAGGAGGCTGAGCCCAGGAGGTTGAGGCTGCAGTAAGCTGTGTGATTGCACTACTGCACTCCAGCCTGGGCAACAGAGTGAGACGCTGCCTCAAAAAAAAAAAAAAAAATCATCGATGGATGCTTAAATTAGTAGGCACTGTTATGATGAAAAACAGAACAGTCACATATTTTCCCACAAGATGCTTATTAAATACAAAGAAAAAATAACAACTTTATAGTAGAGCAATCTAGCAAACATTAACCAAGTGAACAAAGTTAACATCACCAGGAATGGGAAAAACTGCTGACATCATGTGACTCTTCCTACGATGCCTTGAAATGACACATAATTTCTCTGGCGTTCTTGCCAAATATGAATAACCTGCATTTTTTTTTTTTTTTGAGACAGAATCTCAGTCTGTTGCCCAGGCTGGAGTGCAGTGGTGCGATCTTTGCTCACTGCAACCTCCACCTCTTGGGTTCAAGTGATTCTTCTGCCTCAGCCTCCTGAGTAGCTGGGATTACAGGCACGTGCCATCAGGCCCAGCTAATTTTTTCTATTTTTAGTAGAGATGGGGTTTCACCATGTTTGCCAGGATGGTCTCGATCTCTTGATCATGTGATCCGCCTGCCTTGGCCTTCCCAAAGTCCTGGGATTACAGGCGTGAGCCACCGTGACCGGCCGTAACCTGCATTTAAACATAAGGAAACATGAGGCCAGGCGCAGCGGCTCATGCCTGTAATCCCAGCACTTTGGGAGGCCAAGGCAGGCGGATCACCTGAGGTCAGTAGTTCCAGACCAGTCTGGCCAACATAGTGAAACCCCATCTCTACTAAAAATACAAAAATTAGCCAGGAATGGTGGCAGGTGCCTGTAATCCCAGGTACTCTGGAGGCTGAGGCAGGAGAATCACGTGAACCCGGGAGGTGGAGGCTGCAGTGAGCGGAGATCGCACAACTGCACTCCAGCCTGGGCAAAAGGGCGAGACTCTGTCTCAAAAAAATTTTTTAAAAAATCATAAGGAGGCCAGGCACGGTGGCTCAAGCCTGTAATCCCAGCACTTTGGGAGGCCAAGGCGGGCAGATCACGAGGTCAGGAGATCCAGACCATCCTGGCTAACATGGTGAAACCCTGTCTCTACTAAAAAAAATACAAAAAAATTAGCTGGGCGTGGTGGCGGGCGCCTGTAGTCCCAGCTACTCAGGAGGCTGAGGCAGGAGAATGGCATGAACCGAGGAGGTGGAGCTTGCAGTGAGCCGAGATCGTGCCACTGCACTCCAGGTTGCGCGACGGAGCAAGACTCTGTCTCAACAAAAAAAAAAAAAAAAAAAAAAAAATAAGGAAATATCAAATAACCCTAAAGTAAGGGACATTCTGTAAAATAACTGGCCAGTACTAAAAGCAATGCCAAGATCATTAAAGACTGAAAAACTGCAGAACTGTTTCAGACTGAAGGACATGACAACTAAATGCGAAGCGTAATTCTGGATAAATAGACTCCTGGGCCAGAGATAGATCATGATATAATTAGCAAAATTTGAAAGCCATCTATAGATTGGATCATGCGTCAATGTTAATTTCTTATTCTGGGGTTAAATATGATGTTTACATTTGGGGGATCTGTGTGTAGAGTATGGCAATTCTTCTTACTGTTTTTTACAAATTCTTTTTATTTTTAATTTTGAGACAGGGTCTCACTCTGTCGCCCAGGCTAGGAGTGCAGTGCTGCGATTTTGGCTCACTGCAACCTCTGCCTACCGGGTTCAAGCAATTCTGCCTCAGCCACCTAAGTAGCTGGGATTACAGGTGTGCGCCACCACACCAGGCTTTTTTTTTTTTTTTTTTTGCTTTAAGTTCAGAGATACATGTGCAGAATATGCAGTTTTGTTACATAGGTATACACATGCCATGGTGATTTGCTGCACCCATCAACCCATCCTCTAGGTTTTAAACCCCGCTTGCATTAGGTATTTGTCCTAATGCTCTCCCTCCCCTTGATCCCCACCCCCTGACAGGCCCCAGTGTGTGATGTTCCCCTCCCAGTATAGACCCATAGGGAATGTTTCAAAAGTGAGAACTTCTTATACATGTTATTTAAAATGTTTTTCCCCCTATCAATAACTCCTATTTATGTATTTAATATACTTCCATTATGTCACCTTGGCAACAAGTCTCGCTCTTGTCGCCCAGGCTGGAGTGCAATGGCGTGATCTTGGCTCACTGCAACCTCCAACTCCCGGGCTCAAGTGATTCTCCTGCCTCAGCCTCCTGAGTAGCTGGGATTACAGGTGGCCGCCACCATGCCTGGCTAATTTTTGTATTTTCAGTAGAGACAGGTTTCACCACGTTGGCCAGGCTGGTCTGGAACTCCTGACCTCAGGTGACCCACCCACCTCAGCCTCCCAAAGTGCTGGGATTATAGGTGTGAACCACCATGCCCAGCTTTTTTTTTTTTTTTTTTTTTTTTTTTTTTTTTTTTGAGAAAGAGTCTCGCTCTGTCACCCAGGCTGGAGTGCAGAAACATGATCTTGGCTCACTGCAACCTCTGTCTCCAGAATTCAAACGATTCTCCTGCCTCAGCCTCCCAAGTAGCTGGGATTACAGGCGTGCGCCACCACACCCAGCTAACTTTTTATATTTTTGGTAGAGACGAGGTTTCACCATGTTGGCCAGGCTGGTCTTGAACTCCTGACCTCAAATCAAATCATCTGCCTGCCTCAGCCTCGCAAAGTGCTGGGATTACAGATGTGAGCCACTGGGCCCGGCCTTTTTTTTTTTTTTTTTGAGACACAGTCTAGCTCTGTCACCCAGGCTAGAGTGCAGTGGCATGATCTTGGCTCACTGCAACCTCTCCTTCCCAAGTTCATGCAATTCTCATGCCTCAGCCTCCGAGTAGCTTGGATCACAGATGCACACCACCATGCCAGGCTAATTTTTGTATTTTTACAGAGACAGTGTTTCACCTTGTTGGTCTTGCTAATGTTTGTATTTTTACAGAGACAGGGTTTCACCATGTTGGCCAGGATGATCTTGACCTCCTGACCTCAAGTGATCCGCCGGCCTTGGCCTCCCCAAGTGCTGGGATTACAAGTGTGGGCCACCACGACTGGTCTCCTCATAACATTTTTAACAGCAGTTATAATAAATCTGCATGCACACCATGTAATGCCTATGGAACTAATAACTAGTCTTCTATTGTGCAGTGCTTCTAGTCACATATATAGATGTTTTTGTGATTCTCAAATACACAAATCCTCCTAAAAGCATCATATACCGATATTCACTGCAGCCTGAATAGCAGATTGGGAACAACTTAAACATCAGTCAGTAGGTGACTGGTTAGTTGTATCATTCTTTTTGAGACAGGCTGCAGTGCAGTGGCAATATCATAGCTGACATAGCTGACTGCAACCTCCGCCTCCTAGATTCTGGCGATCCTCCCACCTCAGCCTCTCGAGTAGCTGGGACCATGGGCATGCACCACCACGCCCGGCTAATTTTTGTACTTTCTGTATAGATGGGGTCTCACTACATTGCCCAGGCTGGTCTTGAACTCCTAGGCACAAGTGATCCACCTGCCTCGGCCTCCCAAAGTGTCGGGATTACAGTCGTGAGCCACCGTGCCCCGGCTCCTAGTTGTGTAATTCTTACGAAGAACATCACGCAGCTGTTAATGAGGACTTCCCATTAGTCTTGATATGGCACACTCTCCAAGACATTTAAAGTATAACACACCCTACAGTGTGTATTAGGAATTGCCATTTGTGTGGGGAAATGATTATATTTACATATAAGTTTATAAATTCAGAAAGCATTCCGAAAATTCATCGAGTATCCGGGGTAACTGTGCTTGTCTCTAGTGTTGAACTAGTGGCGGGAGGAAGATTTAATTTCCACCACATGCCCTTTGGTGCCTTTTGAATTCAGAACAATTTCCGTTATCTATTAAAAATAAAATACTGGCCGGGCACGGTGGCTCATGCCTGTAATCCCAGCACTTTGGGAGGCCGAGACGGGAGGATCACTTGAGCTCAGCAGTATCACTTGAGCTCAGGAATTTGAGACCACCCTGGGCAACATGGTGAGGCCGTGTGTCTATAAAAAGAAAAAATGAAGTAAAATATCACGTGTAACTGAATCCCTGGAATTTGGCGGGCACCGGATACTGTAAACAATTGTGGAGCTCTTTGGAAATTTACCTTAAAAGGGAGTCCTCTCAAAGGCTGGACACCATCACTCTACAAGGGTGAGTTTTCAAATCTACCATAGAAGCCTAGGGCCTCAGCAGCATCCTGAGTCCTAATGACGGACAGGTTATGACTCAACTCCCATCGCACCAGTCCTGCAGCTTTCTAAAGGCATCCAGCACTTTCTACCTTGCATTCTATCTTCATCTTCGTTAGTCCTTACAGCACCGCATGATTCCGGCGGAGGGTGCTTATCAGACTAGCCTGTGTGTCCCCACGGCACCTACAGCACCGTCAAGCACAGGGTCCAGAAAGCTCCAATGAAAGTCGTGAAAGCAGCAAGGGAAGGAGACTGAGGAGCAAACCGCGCGAGTAGGGGCAGGAGGAGGCCCACCCTACGCCCTGTCCGGCGCGGGGCATAAGCCCTGCCTGCATCCTGAGATCCCGGGTCCGCAAACTTGGGCCCCACTGAGCAGCAACGCCAGAACCCAGAAGCACTTACTGCCAGGAACAGGGTACTCCAGTGCGCCATAGCGTCGCGGCCGCTGGGCGAGGGGTGGGACTGCAGGCACCGTGCAGCCGCGGACCAATGAGCGGGGGCCGGACAGCCCGTGGCCCAATAGCGGCGGCGCGGGCACGCTAGGGGCGGGCTGGGCGCGCCGACTTTTCCGGAAGATCCGGATAGTGCATCCCGGCCACGGCGCGCCTGCTCTGGGCTCTCCGCGTGCCGCGTCGCTTTCTTTTCTTCCTCTGGAGCAGTTATGGCGGCGGCGAAGACCCTGAACCCCAAGGCCAAGGTGGCCGGAGCGCAGGCGGCGCTGGCGTTCAACATTAGCGGGGCGCGGGGTCTGCAGGACGTGCTGAGGACCAACCTGGGGCCCAAAGGGACCATAAAGATGTAAGGTGGGGCTGGCGGGAGGGCTGGGTGGGCACCGCGCGCCGCTGCGCACCTGGCGGGCCCAAGACCGCAGATGGGAGCCCGCTGCCTCGGGGCTCCGCAGCCACCCTTCCTCGCGTCCTCCCGGGCCGGTCCTGTTCCCTGCTAAGCCCCACCGTTGCGTCCATTTCTTCCTGCGTCGATGCCGTCTCCATGGAGAAAAAAGCGGCTCTAGTGTGCGGCGTTCCCCGCCTTCTTGGGCTTCCAGACACCCTGAGGACTCTGCACAATCTCTGCGGGGACGGGGTGGGCACTACACTTGTCCTCCAGCCTGCGGGAGATAACTAGCTCCATATTCTCGGCTCCCTAAGATCGGGGAAAAGCCCGTTTTCTAATGGGACTTTTTAATTTAGTTTTCGTTGATAACTAGCTCCATATCCCTGGCTCCCTGAGATCTGGGAAAAGTCCTTTTTTGTTGTTTGTTTTGGTTTTTTGTTGTTTTTTTTTTTGAGACAGAGTCTCGCTCTGTCACCCAGGCTAGAGTGCAGTGGCGCGATCTCGGCTCACTGCAAGCTCCGCCTCCCGGGTTCATGTCTTTCTCCTGCCTCAGTCTCACGAGTAGCTGGGACTACAGGCGCCCGTCACCACGCCCAGCTTGCTTTATTTATTTATTTATTTATTTATTTTGTATTTTTAGTAGAGATGGGGTTTCACCGTGTTAGCCAGGATGGTCTCGATATCCTGACCTCGAGATCCACCCGCCTCGGCCTCCCAAAGTGCTGGGATTACAGGCGTGAGCCACCGCACCCGGCTGGAAAAGCCCATTTTCTAATGGGACTTTTTAATTTAGTTTTCGTTTTAATTTCGTTTTTGTCACAATTTGATTGATTTCTGTCCCTTAAACAGTCTTGTTTCTGGCGCTGGAGACATCAAGCTTACTAAAGACACAGGAGTTGACGATCAGCCCTGGCCAACATGGTGAAACTCAGTCTCTACTAAAAATACAAAAATTAGCCGGGCACGGTCCTGCACAGTGCGCTGCTTCACGAAATGGTGAGAGGTGCTCTGCTAGGTCAGAAATGTCTTGATTTTCCGTAGAACTTTTGCTTTGTAGAAAGATTTGCAATGTCCATTCTCAAGGTAGGAGAACATTCAGAAGTGACATGTAACAGTGACAGTAATAGTACTGACTGTGCCTGGAGTCTGACAGCCCTGTCTTTGAATCCCTGCTTTTTTGCCATTCACAGTCTGGGCTAAAGGACTGTAATTGTACATTAATTATAATAAAATTTGAAAAATTAAGGGTGGTTGACACAATCACATGGGCAAAATGCATGAGGATGGTTTTTCTCTTTATGGGTTTTTTTTTTTTTTTTTTTTAAGACAGAATCTCACTCTGTCGCCCAGCCTGGAGTCCAGTGGTTCACTGCAACCTCCGCCTCCTGGGTTCAAGTGATTCTCCTGTCTCAGCCTCCCAAGTAGCTGGGATTACAGGCTTGCTCCACCATGCCCAGCTAATTTTTGTATTTTTTGTAGAGATGGTATTTCACCATGTTGGCCAGGCCGGTCTTGAACTCATGACTTCAGGTGATCCGCCTGAGTCAGCCTCCCAAAGTGCTGGGATTACCAGGCGTGAGCCACAGCATCTGGCCGGTTTTTCTCTTTTTAAAACAGCAATTTCTCTGTTATGTCTCATCTCCATCTCCAACTGGAGGGGAGAGAAATCTCTTTGCTTTAACATTTTTAAAGTCTTAGGGATGGAGAATATGAGATTATTGAAGGGAGTATGCGTTTTACTCATCCCTAAATTCCCAAAACTTAACAGTTCAAATCCAAGAAAGGGAAATGATTTCCTGCTGATTTGAGTTCAGAATAATCAGGGTTTTGCTAGTAGTATACCATGCTATCAACATCCAGATGAAATATCTTTAATAAAGACTTGCTAATCTAGGAGGTGTTTTTGTTTTTACTGGGTTCAGTGGTGGCTCGTGTTAGCAGAAAAGTGGAGCCACGGTTAAACTTGACGTCAGAATTGTTTTGGGGCCGGGTGCAGTGGCTCATTCTTGTAATCTCAGCACTTTGGAAGGCCGAGGTAGGTGGATCACTTGAGGCCAGGAGTTCACGATCAGCCCTGGCCAACATGGTGAAACTCCGTCTCTACTGAAAATACAAAAATTAGCCAGGCATGGTTCTGTACGCCTGTAGTCCCAGCTACTCCAGAGGCTGAGGCAGGAGAATCGATTGCTTGAACCTGGGAGGCTGAGGTTTCAGTGAGCCAAGATTGTGCCACTGCACTCTCCAGCCTAGGTGACAGAGTGAGACTGTCACCAAAAAAAAAAAAAAATTTATTTGGGTTTTAGTGTGTGAGAAATACAGCATAAGTAGAGAGAAGCACGTAGAACATTTACAATTTAGGAAATAATTATAAAGTGGACACACACAACCACTATTGTAGTTAAGAAATAAATTGTTGCTACCACCTCAGAAGTCCCCTCCCACTGGAACTTCTCTCCAATCTCCAGAAGTCTGTTTTTCAGTTTTCTTTGAAAAAATTACAAACCTACGAAAATAATGATTATATTGTGTGTGCCCTTTACCTAGATTCACCAATTGTTTACATGTTGCTCCATTTCTTTTCTATTTTTCCTCTGAATCATTTGAAGGTAAGCTGCAGACATGTCATTTTACCTTTAAAATACAATTTTTTTCCGCTTTTTTTTTTTTTTAAGAGATAGGATTTTGCCATGTAGCCCAGGCTGGTTTCGAATTCCTGAGTTCAAGGGATCCATCTGCTGTGGCCTCCCAAAGTGCTGGGATTACAGGCATGAGCTAACGCACCTGACCTTTCCTTTTAAATTACTTGGCCATTGCAGAGTAACAGTGGAGGCTGCTGAGCTTTCATTTTAGGAGATACCTGGCTTATTCTCGTAGAGCCCTACACTTGCCTAAAGAGGCAAGGATGTAAAATTATCCGTTACTGTTAACTGTTAGCTGTCATCTTGCGTAAACTTTCACTGAGCCTCAAGCTTCCTCATCTGTAAAGTAGAGATAACCTGGGAAATAAATTACACATGAAAATGTTTCCATCATTATAATTGCATGCGCATGATAGCAAATTGTGACTTTTTAATCTTAGTAATTTGTAGCCAAACACTTGGGTAGCTTTTTCAAGTAGATAGTACTTAAAGAGGCCCTTCATGCATTTTATTTGTGGTATTTTTAGACTGTTTCATATTGTTTTAAGTGATTCGTTCTTTTTCTACTTTCAGCAAATTCAACACCCAACAGCTTCCTTAATAGCAAAGGTAGCAACAGCCCAGGATGATATAACTGGTGATGGTACGACTTCCAATGTCCTAATCATTGGAGAGCTGCTGAAACAGGCAGATCTCTACATTTCTGAAGTATGCACAACTTTTTTTTGTTTTGTTTTTTTGAGATGGGATTTCACTCTTGTTGCCCAGGCTGGGGTGCAATGGCATCTCGGCTCACTGCAACGTCTGTCTCCTGGGTTCAAGCAATTCCCAGCCTCAGCCTCCTCAGTAGCTAGGATTACAGGCATGCGCCACCACGCCCGGCTAATTTTGTATTTGTCGCAGAGACGGGGTTTCTCCACGTTGGTCAGGCTGGTCTCCAACTCCTGACCTCAGGTGATCCACCCATCTTGGCCTCCCAAAGTGCTAGGATTAAAGGCGTGAGCCACCGCGCCCGGCACACAACTCTTGTTTCTGTAATATATTATTGTATATAGGACGTGTCAGATACTTATTTATACAAATTGATGTGTTAATACTAGCGGAGGCCATACAGTAGGATTAGGGGGCTTAAATCTGGGTCTTTGTCTTGGTCTAAAACAAATTTGTTGTGAGCTTGGACAGGTTATGGAACCTTTTTTGGCCTGAAAATAATTTTGTAATCAAGTTGAATTGCCTATGTGATTTGTATCTGTCTTTAGATTAATAATTGAGATTTTAAAATGGGATGTTTAGGACTAGGCATATTTATTTGTTAGGAAAGAGACAACCAAAAGCTTACATTTAGATAAATTCCACTTTTTTAGCCCTGACTAGTTCCAAGGTTTAAAACAAACCTCAGTGACTACGAATCTATTGTCAGAATTTTCGGGTAAAAGAGAGCAGATAGTCTTTATTTATTTTTATTAGTAAATGATGGAATTAGTTTGAGATTACCTATAGAAAAGATAGAATAATGCTACCATCTGTGAGTTGTTGGGACACAGTGTCGGTTTTGACATGATTCGGAGTGGTTTGCACAGTGAACACCCAAGTGTGCTTTATAGTTCCCTTGGCTTTGACCCTGTGCTAGAGCATTGCCTGCTCTTCTCCTCTGCATTAAAAGGAATATTTATCCTTTTAAATGTATTCAGAAAGCCAGCACATTATATTACCTCGTGTTCAAAGATAGGATGATCAGAGTATCCCTCCAAGAATTGTCTGAACTTTATCATGAACTATAGTTGCACCTAATTGAAGATGCAAGTGTTATTGTGTGTTTATTGTAGGGCCTTCATCCCAGAATAATCACTGAAGGATTTGAAGCTGTGAAGGAAAAGCCCTTCATTTTTTGGAAGAAGTCAAAGTAAGCAGAGAGATGGACAAGGAAACACTTAAAGATGTGGCCAGGGCATCTCTTTGTACTAAAGTTCATGCTGAACTTGCAGATGTCTTAACAGAGGTATGTATTAAATTTTGTCTGTGTCTGGTATGGTACACCTATGTAGAAAATCTCTGATAGTAGAAACATGAATATAATTACCAATTTCAATCACAAGGTGCTATGTAGGTTCATTTTTGTGGCAGTGATACCTAATCTGTGTCTCTAAAAAGTAAAATGAGGAAATTCAAATAATAGTATACCTAACCGGGTTTTAAAAGTAAAATTGGAGCTTTCATTAAAAGGTTTATAAAGTGGAGATTTTGTTATTAGAAAGCTTCCAGTTATCAGTATTTTTAATGAAACACCAGGAGGAATGTTAATGTTAAGGAATGTTAATGTTTGAGAATTACAGATTGAGATTTCAGAAATGTAACAGCTGTTCATATATAATGTATTCTATCTGCTTATAGAAAAATACAAATCAGTGTAGAGATTGTAAAATGAAGAAACTGTCTACTTTAGCCTTCTGAAAAGCAACATGTTTCTGCTGCTGCAAATTGAATTTACTTAATGGTTATCCTTCTCCTATTGCAGGCTGTAGTGGGCTCCATTTTGGCCATTAAAAGAAAAGATGAACCTATTGATCTCTTCATGATTTTGTGATCATTGACAAGAAACATAAATCTGAAACTGATACAAGGTAGGTGGTAGAAGACTATGAAATACTAATGGTCGGGCCTGGTGGCTCAGGCATGTAATCCCAGCACTTTGGGAAGCCGAGGTGGGTAGATCACCTGAGGTCAGGAGTTCGAGACCACCCTGGCCAACATGGGGAAACCCCGTCTCTACTAAAATTACAAAAATTAGCCAGGCATGGTGGCGGGCTCATGTAATCCCAGCTACTTGGGAGGCTGAGGCAGAAGAATTGCTTGAAACTGGGAGGCGGAGGTTGCAGTGAGCCAAGACCACACCATTGCACTCCAGCCTGGGTGATAAGAGCAAAACTCCATCTCAAAAAAAAAAAAAAAAGAAACTAATAAAGTGTGTTTTGAAATTTAGGGGTGCTTTGTACAATATATATTGTTGGCAAAATTTTTAATATATTTGGATATAAAATATTGTATATTTACCTGAAGATATCAGTTGGATAAATTGCTAGGTAAAGATATAAGTTGGATAAATTGCTAGGTGAAGATTGTTTTTACTTTTAGTAATATTTTCTCCTGAAATAAGGTGAATGTTATGTTGTATTTATGGGTAGAATTATTCCGAAAGGTGAACAACATCAGTCATTTGGCGTTTATTGAATTGCTAGGTACAAAGCATAATGAGAAGCAGTAGAGGAATTAAAAAAATTTTTTTTTCTAAAGACTTAGTTAGAAAACATGTATATGTTCATTTTTCCTTTCTTTTTATGGAGAATGGAGTCTCCTTATGTTGCATAGCCTGGTTTTGAATTCCTGGGATTAAGGTGTCCTCTCACCTCTGCCTCCCCAAGTGCTGGCATTACAGGCACTTGGCAGAAAACATGTTTTTAAAAGATATCATCACAGTTTGACAGCCTACCAGGGAGACTATCTCTGCAGACTTTTCTGTACAGCATAGGATCTTCAAGTAATTCAAGAAACAACGCTGACTGCATGAAAATTATCAGTGCCTTCTCAGTTCGGTGTTTAACGTACACCCATCTGGAAATCAATAACCATAATTTTGTGTATGTTTGAACAGCTTAATCAGAGGGCTTGTTTTGGACCATGGAGCATAGCATCTTGATAGGAAGAAAAGGGTGGAGGATGCATATATCCTCATTTGTAACGTGTCATTAGAATATGAAAAAACTTAAGTTTATAGCCCCTTAACTTAAATGGAGGAGCTTCGTGTTTTAGGTGAGTTACTTTTTTGTGAAACTTCGTTTCCCACTGTAAGGACAATAATCCTCAAATTGGTTTGGGAGAGTTATAGGAAACAGCCTCTGAAGATGTGCAAGGGGCAGGATTGGAGCTCAGTGAGCTGTTTGTTAAATCTTAGGACTAATCCAGTTTCAGAAGCTATTTTCTCAAAAAATAAATGTTTCCCTGCTTTCTGTAACTTTTTTTTTTTCTTAATAGAGAAGTGAATTCTGGCGTTTTTTACAAGAGTGCAGAAAGAGAAAAACTCATAAAAGCTGAAAGAAAATTCATTGAAGATAGAGTTAAAACAAATAATAGAACTGAAAAGGAAAGTCTGTAGTAATTCAGATAAAGGATTTGTTATTAATCAAAAGGTGAGAATGAAAATCCAGTGTATAAACTAAATAGTATGTATCATCCTTTTTACTTTTAAGGTGAAAGATGTTGAAACTAATTTTTATTTTTGTTATAGGGAATTGACCCCTTTTCCTTAGATGCTCTTTCAAAGAAGGCATAGTCGCTCTTCACAGAGCTAAAAGGAGGAATATGGAGAGGTATGAGTAGCAGATTTATCTGAGTAATTTGACTTTTACTTATTTTGCAAATGAATTGGGATTATTTTTCCTTATACTTTATTTTTGGGTTTTCAACTGTACAATTAATTGGCATTAACTATATTCGCATTATTTTGCACCCGTCAGCACTGTCCATCTCTAGGATTTTTTTTATCATCACAAACTGAAACTATACCCATTAAATAGTTACTCCCCATTTCTCATTCCCTCTATGCCCTTGTAAACATTATTTTACTTTTTGTCTCTGAATTCAGTATACTTTCTCCCAAAGAGCTCACCACAATAAAAGTTTTTTTAAAAATATTATTTTATTATTTTTTTGAGACAGTCTTGCTCTGTTGTACAGTGGCATGATCGTGGTTCATTGCAACTTCTACTTCCTGGGTTCTTGGGATTCTCGTGCCTCAGCCTCCCGAGTAGCTAGGATTACGGGTGTCTGCCACCATGCCCGTTGAATTGTTTCGTTTTCGTTTTGTTTTGGTAGAAATGGGGTTTTGCCATGTTGGCTAGGCTGGTCTCAAACTCCTGGCCTCAAGTGATCCACCCACCTCAGCCTCCCAAAGTGTTGGGATTACAGGCGTGAGCCACCATGCCTGGCCATTAAAGAGCTCTTGTCCATCTTTAGATTTGCTGACTTGGGGAGAGTGGTTTAAATGGAGGGTTAAAAGACTGGTTTTCAGTTGGTTGATGGCAAATGAAAAGGCTTAGGTTAAAGTACATTTTAAACTCTAATTTTGTGTGTAATTCTGAAAAATTCCTTCCTAGAAATTACTGGTCTTCTCTTTGAACTTCACTGGTAACATTGCTTATTCATTTCCCTTAAAATGCTATTTCAGGCTGACTCTTGCTTGTGGTGGGGTGGCCCTGAATTCTTTTGAGGACCTAAGTCCTGACTGCTTGAGACATGCAGGACTTGTATATGAGTATACATTGGTAAGTGTATTTTCTTCCTGAGGGTAATAGAACTTTTTAGCTCATGAATTATTTTTGTTTTGTTTGAGATGGGTTCTCACTCCTGCCCGGGCTGGAGTGCAGTGGTGTGATCACAGCTCACTGCAGCCTCATCTTCCTGGGCTCAAGTGATCCTCCTGCTTCAGGCTCCTGAGCAAATGGGACCACAGACATGTGCTACCATGCCTGGCTAAATTTTTTTTGTAATTTTTGTAGAAACAGGGTGGTATTGTGTTGCCCAGGCTGGTCTTAAACTCTCGGGCTCAGGCTGTCCTTCACCCTCAGCCTCCCAAAGTGCTGAGATTACAGGCATGAGCCACTGTGCCTGGTTCATGAAGTCTTTAGCAGAAAAATCAATTGAAATTCAGGATCAGATTTTTGTTTATATACATTTTGAAGGTTTATGTGTAGTAATGGGAAGCCATTTATATGTGATTTTTCAAAAAGATAATTTGGTTTGATGTGATCAAGTTTGTTCCTTATTAATATGCTGCTTGTCATTCTCTGTAAGTCCCTCTTCTCTCTTTGCACACATCGTGTTTTTGAAAATCATGTTTCTTCTACACAAAGGGAGAAGTTCACCTTTATTGAGAAGTGTAACAACCCTCGTTCTGTCACATTATTGATCAAAGGACCAAATAAGCCCACACTTAGATCAAAGATGCAGTAAGGGATGGCTTGAGGGCTGTCAAAAATGCTATTGATGATGGTAAGATCCTCACCATATTTCAATTCTATTAAATTGTTTTGCTGGTCTGAAAAGCATGGCTGAATACTGTGTTCTTTTATCAGTAGTTTACACAGCCAGACACCATGCAAAAGCAGTCTTCCCTTTAGAATGACTGATGGTATGCTAAGGTTTTTCATAGCATATCATTATTAAAGGTGAATACAAATAAATGAACTAATACTGATCTGTTGAAAGAGCTGCCAGTGGCCAGTGAAGCCATTCTGGTTGGACCATTCTCCTATTTGATATGTTAGTCGCTTGTATTGTGGCTTTCACATGCAGTACTTAAATTGATGTGGTCATAGTGAATTTGTAAGAAATTAATGGCTTTCATATGTATATTTTGTTATTCATAATTAGTTCTACAGTTTTCTTAGCATTTTTCTTTTTCCCCCATCCAACAGGCTGTGTGGTTCCGGTGCTGGTGCCGTGGAAGTGGCAATGGCAGAAGCCCTGAATAAATATAAGCTCAGTGTAAAGGGCAAGGCACAGCTTGGAGTCCAAGCATTTGCTGATGTGTTGCTCGTTATTCCCAAGGTGTGTATGCCTTAAACAGTCAATCTTCCAAAAGATTCAGCTGATCAAAACTTTTTGATAATGTAGGCTTTATTCATAATACGGATTTTGGATAAACGGGTTTGATCAGTTTTCTTCCTGACTATAAAACATCCAAACGTATTTGGTTTCTCTGGGAGGCCTGAATAGCTGACGTTTCAGATGGCAAGAGAGAACCTGTAGCTTAATATTTGCAGTATTAGGGGTTATACTTGAGTACCAACTTGCTTTTTGTTTTGGTTTTAGCTAAACTGATATCATTGTTTTTTATTATATACTAATTTTGAAGTATAGTTTATGACTGATGTATTGCTGCTGGGTTTGGGGTAGATGAGAGAGTTGATCAGTAACTTGTGTCTGGTTATTCTCTGAAGGGAACATAAATGTTCTGTCTTCATGCAATGAGATTCTTGTTTTGTTTTGTTTTGTTTTTAAGAATTTTGAGAGTTTTGCTCTTGTTGTCCAGGCTGGAGTGCAATGGTGTGATCTCGGCCCACTGCAACCTCAGCCTCCCCAGTAGCTGGGATTACAGGCACCTGCCACCACACTCAGCTAGGTTTCTTTTGTATTTGTAGTAGAGGTGGGGTTTCACCATGTTGGCCAGACTGGTCTCATACTCCTGGCCTCAGGCGATCCACCTGGCTTGGCCTCCCAAAGTGCTGGGATTACAGGCATGAGCCACTGCATCTGGCCGAGACTTTGTTTTGCTTTTTTTTTTTTTTTTTTTTTTTGAGATGCAGTCTCTTGTCGCCCAGGCTGGAGTGCAGTGGCGTGATCTCAGCTCACGACAACCTCCACCTCCCAGGTTCAAGCGATTCTCCTGCCTCAGTCTCCTGAGTGGCTGGGACTACAGGCACGTGCCACAATGCCCAGCTAATTTTTTGTATCTGTAGTAGAGACAGGGTTTCACCATGTTGGCCAGGATAGTCTCAATTTCTTGACCTTGTGATCCGCCTCAGCCTTTCAGAGTGCTGGGATTACAGGTGTGAGCCACTATGCCCGGCCCCTTTTTTTTTTTTTTTAAATATCAATTCTTCCTGTTTTCTCAGGAATTAAATTTGTTTACTTTAGGTTCTTGCGCAGAATTCTGGTTTTGACCTTCAGGAAACATTAGTTAAAATTTAAGCAGAACATTCAGAATCAGGTCAGCTCGTGGGTGTGGACCTGAACACAGGTAAGAGAATGCAACTGTTTGTAGAGGAAAAACTAGATGTAGTACATGTGAGTTGAAGCCAGGAAAGATTCAAAATGGGGACCAAAAAAAAAATCTTTTGCTTTGCAATTTGACACCAGTACTATTAGGGAAGTCTGGGTTCTAAAATGGGATAAAATAGGATATTAATAAAAAATGGAATGACTAGGTATAATAATTAAGGGAGTAGAGTAGACTGAGTAATTTTGGTATAGTTTTGTTGGAGATGTTGAGTGGTGGTAGATGGTTCAGATTAATGTTGAAGGATTTTCATATTGCATTTGCCTTAAACTCAGTTCTTTGTTTCTTTTTGTTTCTTTTTTTTTTTTTTTTTTTGAGACGGAGTCTTGCTCTGTTGCCCAGGCTGGAGTGCAGTGGCAAGATCTTGGCTCACTGCAACTGCTGCCTCCCAGGTTCACGCCATTCTCCTGCCTCAGCCTCCCGAGTAGCTGGGACTACAGGCACCTGCCACCACGCCTGGCTAATTTTTTGTATTTTTAGTTGAGATGGGGTTTCACCATGTTAGCCAGGATGGTCTCGATCTCCTGACCTCATGATCTGCCCGCCTCAGCCTCCCAAAATGCTGGGATTACAGGCGTGAAGCACCGCACCCGGCCACCTTACTCAGTTTTTAATCAAGTACTATGATAAGAAAATAGATTGGGTGATTATATTCATGGGTGAAAAACAGCTAAAGATAGCAAATAATGCCAGAAGAGGGGATCTAGAAATCTAATGAAATGGTGACAGCCCTGATCTTAGGCCCCTGTAACAAAACAACACAAATTAAGTACAAAGTAGGAGACAGATAACAGGTACATCCATGCAGTATGTGCAAGACCTATTGCTGTCAACATTATTATTTAATAAAAAAGATTTCTGGAATGAGGGAAATGATCAGTCCATTTTAGCCAGATTAGAGTTGCAGTGCTGTACTTTAGTATGGGTAAACAGAAATGTATCCAGAAGGAGAGAGGGGTGTTCAGGTCTTCTAAGTAGAAGTCAGACACTCCTCAAATATTGTGGACAGGGGTCATGGTTTAGAGTAGAAAATTGGGCTAACAGAGAAGCTTTGAATTCCCATAGTTAATACTGGAGGAAATGAGTCATCGGTGATAAGCAAAGCCACACACAATATTGTTGGTTCTTATTGACTGAATTTACTTTGGTTGCCTTTTAGGTGAGCCCGTGGTAGCAGCAGAAGCAGGCATTATGGGATAACGATTGTGTAAAGAAACAGCTTCTTCATTCCTGGTAAGTTTGGGAAAATGAAAACTAAACTGTTAGAGAATCATCATACTCTTCATTTGGTGTTTTCTGTTTAGTTGCTCATTTTCCCCCATGAATAATGTAATCAGCTGAAAGTATGGAAACCGAACTAGCCCTCTGATGTGTAGAGGGGAAGGGGGAAATTTAATTGGATGTTAACGTGTGCAGCTTAGTTGGAAGTGGGAAGTTGAGTCGAATTAGGGCTCCTAATCATCTGAGCTATCTAATTTTTATCCCCCTTTCAGCACTGGTTGCCACCAACATTCTCTTGGTTGATGAGATCATGCGAGCTGGAATCTTCTCTGAAAGGTTGAATTGAAGCTTCCTCTGTATCTGAGTCTTGAAGACTCTGCAAAGTGATCCTGAAGAATACAGCTGTGGAATTTTTGTCCAAGCTTCAAATGAGTTTCAAGGGAATTTTCCCATGTGAAAAAAGGAGAGAACACTGGCATCTGTTGAAATTCGGAAGTTCTGAAATTATAATCACAGTATTTTTTAAAAATTGCACTGAAGTGTACACAGATAAAGCAGGTCTTTCACCCAGTGAACAGGATGTTTTGCTTTAGCAGCAGTGACATAAAATTCCATGTTAAATAAGCATATATTACCTACCTTATTAAATATTCCTTGAAAAAGCAGATTTTAATGGTTTAATTTTATGTGGACATATGTTAAATTATTCAGCAGTACCCTATTGTTAAGCATCTGGTTTTAAAATTTTTATGCTAATATAAATAACGCTTAGTAATTTAAAATTTTGGAAGCATCCCGTTAGTGTAAATTTCTGAGTAAATTTATTGATCAGTTGGACTTTTCACGCTTTTGAAATAGCTTTGCTAAAATGCTCCCCCTACAAAGTTGTAGGAAATGGGAAGAGGAGTAAACTAGAGGCAAGGGAGTTGAGAGAGCTGGAAGGCATGGTGGCTAAGGGCTACGGTTATCAGGTGAAATTTGAGATTTGTAGGCTGACTATATTTTCAAGCTTCTGAACTTTTGCTTATGCAAAATATTCATCCCAAAGCCTCTAGCGTCATAGTTTCCTCACCCAAATTACTATGTTTCCACAAGATTTATATAGTTGGTCTATCTCTGCGGTCCTTGAAAGTGAAGTTGGTGTTACTAGGCTGTGGGTTTTGGGGGCTCAGCAGTGACCTGGAGTGTGCAAATAAATGTTAAGTTGAAACCTCCTTTGTGGTCTTGCAATGGTTTGACACACAGAAGCAATCTTAAAGGGAATGAAAGCTGTCCAAAGGTTCAAAAAGTAGTGAAGGGGCCTCTAGGGACCCTCAACCTGCTTTTCCTTACTTCCCTGGGCAGCCTTGCAGGTGGTATGGCCAGTCCTACACCTCGTGTCCGTCAGTTTCCCCCGCTGAACCGTTGGGTGAGGGGCGGTGGTGGAGCAGCATGCGCATGTGTGGAGGAGGCGACTGCCACCGTGGTGCGTGAGGGCGGATGAGCAGCGGGGCCGTGGGTGTGCGCGGCGTGGCGCGCCAGTCCTGATGCCAGCATGGGTTGTTCATCACCGCTGCTGTCCCTGCTGTCGCTCCTGGTTGGTGCGTGGCTCAAGCTAGGTCACTGAACCGCCGGCCACGCCGGAGGCGCTGGGAAAGGGGATGGGGCCCTCCGCCCTGGCGGGAGAGAGCCTGAGGCCCCTCTGCCCGCTTCCGGGATGCGCCTGCAGCCGCCGGCTGGGGAGGTCGCTCTCGGTGCGCAGGGTGCCTCACCGCCTTGTGCTTTCAACTTCTTGCTCTGGAATCTTTCAATCTTATAAAAGGGAAAGAGAGGCCGGGCGCGGTGGCTCATGCCTATAATCCCAGCACTTTGGGAGGCTGAGACGGGTGGATCACTTGAGGTTAGGAGTTGGAGACCAGCCTGGCCAACATGGTGAAACCCCGTCTCCACAAAAATACAAAAAATTAGCCGGGTGTGGTGGCGTAGGCCTGTAATCCCAGCTACTCAGGACGCTGAGGCAGAAGAATCCCTTGAAGCCAGGGGGCGGAGGCTGCAGTGAGCCGAGATTCTGCCACTGCACTCCAGCCTGGGAGATAGAGCGAGACTTCATCTCAAAAAAAAAAAAAAAGGGAAAGAGGAGAATGTAACGAGGAACGACCCCTGCCCTCACGTACTCGTGGGCCACCTTAAAGAGCTGCCAGTTTGTGGCCAGTCCTGCTCCTGTGGAATCGCACTCTCCCCGTCTCCTGGAGCCATTTTGAAGTGGGTCCAGACATAACCCATTTTATTCTAAACCTTCAGCTGGAATAGTCAAAAGAAGTCACGAAAAAATAATTACCCTTTCTCAACTAAAAAACTGGCAGTGCTGCTTAATAATATATCCAATCTGTTCAAATTCATCTATTATCCCATAAAGGGTTTTTAACGTTTGCTGGCTGAATTAGGGACAAAATAAAGCTCATACATTGCAATTGTATGTTATTTCTTAATTCCGATTCAATCTGATTATTTCCCTACTTACTCCTTTTATTTATTTGTTTTTTTGGTGGGGCGGGGGGGCAAGGTCTCACCGTGTTGCCCAGGCTGGAGTGCAGTGGTGCCATCATAGCTCACTGTGGCCTCAAGCAATCCCTGCCTCAGCTTCCCAAAGTGCTGGGATTACAGGCCTGAGACACCATGCCAGGATGATCCATTTTTTCCCCTTGGTGATATATTTGTTGAAGAAACTGAAAATAGGCCAGGCGCGGTGGCTCAAGCCTGTCATCCCAGCACTTTGAGAGGCCAAGGCGGGTGGACCACAAGGTCAGGAGTTCAAGACCAGCCTGGCCAATATGGTGAAACCCCATCTCTACTAAAAATACAAAAAATTAGCTGGGAGTGTTGGCACACACCTGTAGTCTTAGCTACTCAGGAGGCTGAGGCAGGAGAATCGCTTAAACCCAGGAGACAGAGGTTGCAGTGAGCCGAGATCATGCCACTGCACTCTGGCCTGGGCAACAGGGCAAGGCTCTGCCTAAAAAAAAAAAAAACAAAAAGAAAGAAAAAGAAAATGGATGAAATCAGTGTGAATGTGTCAGAATAAGAGAGCCAAAGACAGGATCTTGAGGAACATCAAAAGACCAGGACTCTGCCTTGAAAGAAGTTACAGTGCTTAGACATCCTTTCTTGGAAAGACACTGAAGTGGTGCATCAAGCTGAAGAAGTGTGGCCTACTGGAAACAGTACCGTAAAGAGACCCAAATCTAGTCCTGTCACCTACTAACCAGCTCTTTAAGTCATATTTATTTTTTGGGTCTTGGTTTCCTCCTGTGGAATAAGGAGTTTGAAGCACAGACCCTTTTTTATTTATTTTGAGACAGAGTCTCACTCTGTCCCCCAAGCTGGAGGGCAGTGGCACGATCTTGGCTCACTACAACCTCCGCCTCCCAGGTTCAAGTGATTCTCCTGCCTCAGCCTCCCAAGTAGCTGGGATTACTGGTGTGCACCATCATGCCTGGCTTTTTTTTTTTTTTTTTTTTTTTTTGAGATGGAGTCTCGCTCTGTTGCCCAGGCTGGAATGCAGTGGCACAATCTTAGCTCACTGCAAGCTCCACCTCCTGGGTTCATGCCATTCTCCTGCCTCAGCCTCCCGAGTAGCTGGGACTACGGGTGCCCGCCACCACGCCCAGCTAATTTTTTTGTAGTTTTTAGTAGAGACGGGGTTTCACCTTGTTAGCCAGGATGGTCTTGATCTCCTGACCTCGTGATCCGCCCACCTCGGCCTCCCAAAGTGCTGGGATTACAGGTGTGAGCCACCGCACCCAGCCTAATTTTTGTATTTTTAATAGAGACGGGGTTTCGCCATGTTGGCCAGGCTGGTCTCTAACTCTTGACCTCAGGTGATCTGCCCACCTCTGCCTCCCAAAGTGCTGGGATTCCAGACGTGAGCCACCATGCCTGGCCGGTCCTTTTTAATTCTATGATTTTTCTGAGGCATTCAAACAAGTCTAAAGGTGCTCATTTAACTATATGGCGATAATCATTGCGCATTTATGGCAGGGGCCAGGGATATACTGTCAAAAATATATATGTATTATATACTTCCCTTCTGGAGCATATAATGGTGAGAATCACCAAGAACTGATAAGAGTTCAGTAAATGGAGAGGAAGAGGCAGAGAAACAGCATGAGCAGAAGGATGGGTAGAAAGTGCTAGATGTATTTTAGGGTAGAGTGTCTAAATTCGCCTAGCTGGGGCAAGGGTTTGTGTAGAGGAAGAAAGAGGTAAGTGCAAATCTATCATGTGCGCAACATTTCACCCATGCTATTTTATTACTATCTTTTTATTTTTTATTTTTTGAGACAGGGTCTCACTCTGTCACCCAGGCTGGAGTGCAGTGACATGATCATAGCTCACCGCAACCTTGAACTCCTGGGCTCAAGCAATCCTCCTGCCTTAGCTTCTGCACCCTGTCTCTGAGCCATTGCACCTGGTTCCGTGTTACTTTAATTGATACAGCTACTACCTAAGAGATAGTGAGATATTATCCCCATTTTTCATACTTATTTTTCTTTTATGAACAAGCTACAGTTGTCCATAGGTATCCTCATTTTTCAGATGAAGAAACTGAATCTCAGCCGGGCGTGTTGGCTCACACCTGTAATTCCAGCACTTTGGGAGGCTGAGGTGGAAGGATCACTTGATCTCAGGAGTTTGAGACCAGCCTGGGCAACATAACAAAACCCCATCTCTACAAAAAATACAAAAATTAGCCAGGCGTGGTGGTGCACACTTGTGGTCCCAGCTACTCAGGAGGCTGAGGTGGGAGGATTGCTTGAGCCCACGGGGGCAGAGGCTGTAGTGAGCCAAGACTGCATGACTGCACTCCAGCCTGGGTGACAGAGTGAGATCCTGTCACAAAAAAAAAAAAGAAAAAAGAAAAGAAATTGAATCTCAGATTAAGAAATTTGCCTAAGGTTTCCCATCAAACTAAGTGGCAGAACAAGAATGTGAAGGCAAACAAAATGCAAAAGGAATTTAAAGCCAGATTTTTAAGCCTCCACATTTTTTGTTTTGTTTTGTCATACCATCATGAGTATTGCATACGATCCAAATATTACCACTTGTTTTATATATATGCATGTATTACCGATATCTCTCCTTTTTATCTGCAGGAAATGGACAGGCTACTAGCATGGTCCCACTGCCAGGTGGGAGATTCCTGATGGGAACAAATTCTCCAGATGGCAGAGATGGTGAAGGCCCTGTGTGGGAGGCGACAGTGAAACCCTATGCTATCGACACATTTCCTGTCACCAACAAAGATTTCAGGTACATCAGATGTTCTTCCAGGAGGAATGAAGGCCCTCTCTAATCTCATTCTTTTTTCCTTTCTTTTTTTTAGACTGAGTCTCACTCTGTCACCCAGGCGCTGGAGTGCAATGGCGCAATTTCGCTCACTGCAACCTCCGCCTCCCGGGTTCAAGTGACTCTCTTGCCTCAGCCTCCCAAGTAGCTGGGATTAGAGGCGCCTGCCACCACACCCACCTAATTTTTGTATTTTTAGTAGAGACGGGGTTTCACCATATTGGCCAGGCTGGTCTCAAACTCCTGACTTTGTGATCCACTTGCCTCGGCCTCCCAAAGTGTTGGGGTTACAGGTGTGAGCCACTGCGCCTGGCCTAATTCTTAACATTTAAAGGGAAACTAACTTTTTCACTGTCACGTGTCATCTTTGCAGTGTACTATGGGATAAGTGTTATCTACGTTATTCAGATGAAGAATCTGAAATCCAAACAAGTTTGACTGACTCTGTCAGTCAGTGGATGAGCTTGGCCTGGAACTGAAATCCCTGGGCTCTTGAGCCAGTCTGTGCATTTTCCATTACACTGGGCATAGCACTGAGAAATATAAGCAAATGCCAGTCACTCAACAGAACCCTCTTCTACATGCGGAAAGGGATTGGGAGAAGGGACATCATAGTAGAGAGTCCCTTAAATTCCCCTTATAGGCCAGGTGTGGTGGCTCACACCTGCAACGTGAGCTTCCTTTAGGAACCCGAGGCAGGATTGCTTGAGCTCAGGAGTCTAAGACCAGCCTGGCAACATAGGGAGACCCTATCTCTGCTAAAATAAATAAGTATATAAATATACATATTATATATATAAATGTATATATAACAATCCATCTTACCCTGACAATCTGCCTGCTAAAACTTACTAAACCATACCAAACTATATGAATTTATTTTTATTATTATTATTATTTTTTGAGACAGGGTCTGGCTCGTCACCCAGGCTGAAGTTCAGTGGTATGATCTCAGCTCAATACAGCCTCTGCCTCCCGGGCTCAAACCATCCTCCCATCTCAGCCTCCTGAGTAGCTCGGACTACAGGTGTGCACTATAATGCCCAGGTTATTTTGTGCTTTTGATAGAGACAGGGTTTTGCCCTGTTGCCCAGGCTGGTCTCGAACTCCTGGGCTCAAGCAATCCTTCTGCCTTGGCCTCCCAAAGTGCTGGGATTATAGGTGTGACCCACTATGCCTGGCCTTGAAAATCCATTTTATTTCATTTTTTATAATTTATTTATTTTTTTGAGACGGAGTCTCACTGTCACCCAGGCTGAAGTGCAGTGGCACAGTCTTGGCTCATTGCAAACTATGCCTCCCGGGTTCACGCCATTCTCCTGCCTCAGCCTTCCCAGTAGCTGGGACTACAGGCGCGCGCCATCACGCCTGGGTAATTTTTTTTTTTTTTTTGTATTTTCAGTAGAGACGGGGTTTCACCGTGTTAGCCAGGATGGTCTCGATCTCCTGACCTCGTGAACCGCCCGCCTCGGCCTCCCAAAGTGCTGGGATTACAGGCGTGAGCCACCATGCCCAGCCGAAAATCCATTTTATTTATTTATTTACTTATTTAGGTGTGACCCACCATGCCTCGCCTTGAAAATCTTATTTATTTATTTAGAGACAGAGTTTTGCTCTTGTTGCCCAGGCTGGAGTGCAATGGCGCGGTCTCGGCTCACTGCAACCTCCACCTCCCGGGTTCAAGCAATTCTCTGCCTCAGCCTCCCGAGTAGCTGGGATTACAGGCGCCCGCCACCACCCCTAGCTAATTTTTGTATTTTTAGTAGAGACGGGGTTTCACCATGCTGGCCAGGCTGGTCTTCAACTCCTGACCTGGTGATCCACCCACTCGGCCTCCTAAAGTGCTGGGATTACAGGTGTGAGCCACCGCACCCGGCCAGTCCCTTATATAAATTTTTAAAAAGATGTTTTCTTCGTTTCCTAGCCCCTTCTACCCACCTACAAAGTTCCAAAGGCTTTAATACTATTGCAACGGCAGTCAGAGGTCAAGCTGGGGGGGTGCGGTGCAGCTCCCTAACGCGGGGCAGCCTCAAAGGGGGCCGACCCTGCCCAGCACGAATGGCACCGGGCGGTGGGGGACGCTCTCGAGGTCCCCGGAACATGGCTGGGGGAAGTGTTGGGGGGTGCACATACCCAGGCTCAGCTGAGGCGAGTGCGCGGCCAGGGCTGCAGCTGGCGCTGGCTGGTACTTGCTCAGGCCATTGAGGAGCTTCTGGGCGACCCTGCGCTCGTGCCTACCAGGCGCCAGCCAGTAGGTGCGCAGCGCCTGCTCCAGCAGCGTCAAGCCTTTGCTGCGCGGACCCCGCAGGCCGGGAAGTCACGCAGGTGGTAGTAGTCCAGGTGGTCGTAAACTCCTCCTCATAGCTTATGGGTGGCGGCGGCTGGGCTGAAGACTGCGGACAGGACATCCCGCCCGGCCGCCTGTGGTCACCCTCCCGCGCAGGCGCGCTCCTGGAAGACCCAGCACCTGGAGTTCCGATTGGCTCTGCGTGAGGGGCGGGCCTTTGCGACATCTTGGGGGCGCCTTCGGTGACGTCACAGGGGCGGGCCTTCTGCCACGTCACAAGGGCTGTACAGTTCCTGGAGCTGGGCAGTCTTCTCAGAGTGGAGCCTGGTAACCGCGACCTCCCCGCCAGTTCCTGTGTGTTGCTGGCTGGAAAGGGGTAGTTGACAAACTCCCACCCAGCACAGTATTTATGTCGGTCAAAAATGGAAAACTATGTGTCCGGGCACGGCCCAGGAAGGAGGATTCCTTCAGGCCAAGAGCAGCCTAGCAATATGGCGCAACCCCACCTCTGTAGTCCAACCTCAGCCTCCCAGCTACTTGAACCCCAAGATTCAAGGCTCCAATGAGCTGTGATCTCACCACAGCACTCCTGCCTGCGAGACTGAGGTAAACCCTGTATAAAAAAATAAAAAAGAAAACTATCCAAGTGTACAACCGGGAGGGACTGCTTAAAGAACACATGAGGCTCCCTGGGCCGTGCTATCCCGGCACTTTGGGAGGCCGAGGCAGGAGGATGGCTTGGGTTCAGGAGTTCGAGATGCGCCTGGACAACATGACGCAACCCCGTCTCTACGAAAGATACAAAGATTAGCCAGGCGCGGTGCACGCTTGGCCTAATTTTTGTATCTTCCGTAGAGATGGGGGGGGTCTTGCTATGTTGCCCGGGCCGGTCTCGAACTCCTGGGTTCAAGCGATCTTCTCACCTTGGCCTTTAGAGTTGTTGGGATTACAGGCGTGAGCCACCGTACCCTCCTGGGCTAGGCTATTTAATAACATAAGAAAGTGCGGTGGCTCACGCCTGTAATCCCAACACTTTGGGAGGCCGAGGCGGGTGGATCACCTGAGGTCAGGAGTTTGAGACCATCCTTGCCAATATGGTGAAACCCAGTCTCTACAAAAAAATACAAAAATTAGGCTGGGCGCGGTGGCTCACACCTGTAATCTCAGCACTTTGGGAAGCTGAGGCGGGCCGATCACCTGAGGTTGGGAGTTCAAGACCAGCCTGACCAACATGGAGAAACCCCATCTCTACTAAAAATACAAAATTAGCCGGGCGTGGTGGTGCATGCCTGTAGTCCCAGCTACTCAGGAGGCTAAGACAGGAGAGTCTCTTGAACCCAGGAGGCGGAGGTTGCAGTGAGCCGAGAAGCATCACTGCACCCCAGTCTGGGCGACAGAGCAAGACTCCAGAGCTTGAGACCAGCCTGGGCCATGTAGTGAAACCCTGTTTATAAAAAACAAACAAAAAAAGCCAGGTGTACCTGTGTCCACCTGTGGCCCCACTACTTAAGAGTCTGAGGCAGGAGGATAACTTGAGGCCAGGAGCTGAAGGCTGCAGTGAGCTATGGTCATCCCACTGCTCTCCATCCTGAGCAATAGAATGAAACCTTGTCTCTAGATAGCTAGCTAGCTAGGTAATTGATACGTAGTTTTCTATCGGAAATCTTTTTCCTAGACTTGAACATGTTTTTCTAAAGTAGCATTCAACACATCAGCATTTTACAGTGTTATTAGTTGTTAATATGATTATGTTTTTCTGAAATACAGTATTCTTTACCAAAACAGTGTTGTCTTTCAAAGCACATACATAGGTCCTCCAGTGAATTTGTCTGATGTTGGCGACCTTCGCTTTCTGGTGACTGAGTCAACAGTATCTGTTTCATAAATAATGTAGCCCTATTTTTTTTGAGACAGGGTCTTGCTCTGTTACCTGGGCTGGAGTGCAGTGGCATGATCTCTGCTCACCATAACTACCGCCTCCTGGGTTCAAGCGATTCTCCTGCCTCAGCTTCCTGAATAACTGGGATTACAGGCGCCACCATATCTGGCTAATATCTTTTTGTTTTTGTTTTTGAGACGGAGTTCGCTCTTGTTGCCCAGGCTAGAGTGCAATGTCGCCATCTCGGCTTACTGCAACCTCCACCTCCCGGGTTCAAGCGATTCTCCTGCCTCAGCCTCCCTAGTAGCTGGGATTACAGGCATGTGCCACCACGCCTGGCTAACTTTGTATTTTTAGTAGAGACAGGGTTTCTCCATGTTGGTCAGGCTGGTCTTGAACTCCCTACCTCAGGTGATCCGGCCACCTCAGCTTCCCAAAGTGACAGGTGTGAGCCACCGCGCCCAGCCTAATTTTTGTATTTTTAGTAGAGATGGGGTTTCACCATGTTGGCCAGGATGGTCTTGAATTCCTGACCTCAAGTGATCTGCCTGCCTTGGCCTCCTAAAGTGTTGGAATTACAGGCATAAGCCAACATGCCCGGCCAACCCTATTTCTTTAAGCATATACATTTTGCACTTGTTAAAAGTATTTGAACATAAAATTATCCAGCTTCCCTTGTTTATGTATGTTTGAATTTTGTATAAGCTTAAATATTTTTTCCAATCTAAGCTTTATTATATTCCCTTTCTTCTATATTTGTATAACTTTAGGTGGCTGTCTTTGTTGAAAGTTTTTTCTGAAAAGCCTTAAAACAATATAGTTATTGGCAGCAATTTCAGAGTTATTTGAGGGCAAGGGGAGATTTATAATGATGATTCAAATGAAGCAAACTAAAAAGTAATGAAGCAAGACAGAGGATAAAGCAGTATTCACTTGAGCACATCCCAAAAGAATAAAATTTCAAATGTAACTAGAAAAATGTATGCTGAAGATCATAGTACAGGAATAATTATTAATATTCAAAATAGCTTTAAAGCCGCTCACCTTTTGAATGTTGGGAATTTACCAGGAGGTGGCTGTAACCTAGAATTGTTCCTTCAGTAATGACCATTTTCTTTTTCAACATGATGATGATTCTCCACCTTCTAAGAGACCAAAGACCAACAAACTACCACAGCCACCAGTTCCGGAACCTGCCAATGATGGGCAACGGAAAGTGAGGGAGTTCAACTCTGGTAAGTTCTCAGTGAAATCCACAACCTTTTCCCTCATCTTCTGGACTCTCAATGTGGCTGATGAAAGTTACAACATGCTCATCTGCAGGGGGAAATGCTTTAGCATGTATTACTATGTTATAATCTCACCTTTGTAAAGCCAGGAGCTTTTTGAAAGTCCCATTATAGACATTGTTTAAACATGGTTTGAATTTACCAAAGCATAGGACATTGTTTCATCTCATATTAATTAGTTGGCTCAAAATTAGTCCTAATGACTTAGGAATTCAATGGTTTCTCTTAGCTTTAAAACCTTCTTTATTTCAGAACTATTTCACCTGTTGGTTTTCGTTTTTGCTGTGTGTCACTGCCTGCCAGCTGCTATTGTGTTAACTCCCAGTGGATCATGTGTCCTGTGAAGGGACTGAATGAGATATTAATGGCAAATTATGTTGATGATTCATATTTTGAATATAAATAGATCATTAAGCTTGTATACATTTTGAAAATAGTATGTTAATATTCTGTTGTGTCATAGTCACAATGATTGGCTACATATTGAATTTATATGTACATTAAGTTGTTGTATGCTTATGTTCTTTAACATTCTAACTTGCAACTGTATATCTGTTAAGTCTTTTTTTTTTTTTTTCCGAGAAGATCAGACTCTGATTTATTGAGGCATCTGTTTGATGCCAAGTTAAGTGGCCCAGGCTCTGTGTAGGGGGTGAGGTTAACGCAGGAAGAAAGATGGTGAGGGGCAAGGGTGCAAGGATTATGTTGGAATGAGGCTCCCCAAGTTTCCCTGGCCCTGGCTGGTTGTGCTGCTGGCCTGAACATCTGATGAGCTTGCAAGGGTGACTCCGAGAGGTGGGTGGTCCAGGGGCTAGGGCAGGGACTTTGGAGTCACGCTGTTGGCTTTGAATCCAGACTCCTACACTTGGTAGCTGTGACCTTTCCATGCCTCAGTGACCTGCAGAACTGAGCTCTGTCTGAGCCAGGTCCCATCCAGGCACTGCAGATCCATCCAGAGTTAAACCACCCCAGGTTGCTGACTATCTGCTGCCTTCTCAAGCAGATCCTTGTCTCCTTGGAGGCCTTCACAATCCAGTGGAGGAGGCAAAACTCATCTGCCTCTGTCCCTCTGGGTGCACCTCATGCCAGGTGCATCTGTGGGCACAGGTCATGCTCCTGGGCTTCCAAAGTTGGAGAAAGTTGCCAGGCTCAGGTGGCTATATCAGAGCAGCTGCTACCCTCTGGACACAGTGACAAAAGAACACTCTGGGCCTAGAGTCCTGGTCTGGGGCACTGGGCAAGGCTCTTGCACTTCTCTGAGCCCGTTTCCCCATCTGGAAAGTGTGCTGATTGAGTCTCCCTTTGGGCACTGAGGGCTCAGGGTTAGTTTGAGAGCCAGCATCTGGGGTTTGGGCTGTAATTCCCCTTCAGCCCCATAGCTGGGGGGAGTCAGGGACTTTGTCGGGATTACCCTAGGCATCAGTCCAGCTTCCTGCTCCTGGCTTGGGCTCAGCATCTGAAGTAGTTTGGGGGGCAGGTGGTCCTGGTGGGGGTTGGGGCTTTTCCCCAGAATTAGGTCACACCCAGAGCCAGAAATCTTGGCACCTGCTCTAGGCTAAGGATGCATCTGGCCCCCAGGGTGCAGGTAACTGCCCACCTTTCCTGGTTTCTGCCTGCCAGGGCCAATCTTCAGACCTCGGGACTTCCCAGCCTATCCCACCTCCCTCTCTGGCCAGCCTTGAACCCTCGTGGGTCCAGCACTTTTTCCAGGCCATCTCCTGGTTGTCCTCCTGCCCCGAGGCCTGGCTCATGCTGCTCCCCCTCCCACTCACCATGACCCACAAGGACCACTCCACACCCAGCTCAGCCCCAACCCCTTGGATAGTCCTTTCGCTTTCCTCAGGCAACCAGGTGCATATCTTGGTGTCAGGACCTTCCCTGCACCTGGGAATGCCTACTGGTCACGTCGGTCACAGAGACCAAGGCATTTACTTGATTTGAGTGCCTTTGGTTCATTGTCTGCATGGCCAGGGAGGGAGTCAATGATAGGCTTTTCACTTGCTGCAAGGGTCAGTTCTCCTGGCCCCATGGCCCTAGGGATGGAGGATGCTGCAGGATACACACCCCTCACTTCCCAGCTGAGTGCTGTGGGTCATCTCAGGGCGATTTCACAGTCCCGCATGCCCCACCCCCTCAGCTCTGCAAATACCAAGCAGCGCAGCCTGCCTAGGGGACAGTGGGCTCAGGACTGCCCAGGTGGGCTCAAGACTGCCCAGGTAGTCCCCAGAGTGCCCTTGGCAGGCCCCTCACCTAGCTGCTCCCACAGCTCTGTAGCAAGAGTCTAACCTTTTTTGAGTGTGGAGCCTGCTGAGAATGAGAACTGTGGGCTGTTTTCCCGGAAACGCATGTGCACACTCTCCACACAAAACCTTGCATCGTTTCAGGGGGCTCACACCTCCCTAAGGGCCCAGTTATTGAACCCCTCGGACCTGAGAATGAGAAACCTTGCCTCAATAGAGTCTTGCTCTGTTGCCCAGGCTGGAGTGCAGTGGCCCAACCTCAGCTCACTGCAACCTCCGCCTGCTGGGTTCACGCAATTCTCCTGCCTCAGCCTCCTGAGTAGCTGGGACTACAGATGCGCACCTACCACTCTCAGCTAATTTTTTGTATTTTTAGTAGAGATAGGGTTTCACCATGTTGGCCAGGATGGTCTAGATCCCTTGACTTCGTGACCCGCCCGCCTCGGCCTCCCAAAGTCCCAGGCATGAGCCACCACGCTGAGTCAGGGTCCCTCTTAAACTTGTATTTTTAAGGTCTGGTGTCCCTCTTACTTAATCTTTTTTTTTTTTCTTTTTTGAGACGGAGTCTTGCTCTGTCACCCAGGCTGGCAGTGGCATGGCCTCGGCTCACTGCAACGTCCGCCTCCTGGGTTCAAGTGATTCTCCTGCCTCAACCTCCTGAGTAGCTGGGACTACAGGCACCTGCCACCATGTCTGGCTAAGTTTTATATTTTTGGCATAGACGGGGGCGGAGGCAGGGGGTTGGGGAGGGGAGGGGGGATTTTGCTTTGTTGCCCGGAGCTCGAAGTGATAATCTGCCCACCTCTGCTCTCAAAGTGCTAGGATTACAGGCCTGCACCACTGCACCCAGCTGCTGTAAAGCCTTATTTCCACACAGCTGAGACATGTTTTAGGAAGTTTGCGAAAAGGCCTCTGGAGACCTCCTCATTGTGGCCTCCCTGTTGTCGTGTTTAATTTGATTGATCTTTTCTGCCCTCCTTTTCAGAAATTAAAGGCTAAAAAAAGGCATTAAACTTTAAAACTTCTCTTGTAGTCTCCTATTAAACTAATTCTAAGAACCACCAAAAAAGGGAAAAATGTTTTCGAAAGCAGTAAAATGATATGGACTGTTAGTATGTAAAATATAGGAAATAAGTCATTATATATTATTGCTGCTCTGACATAGGGACATATTATTGAGAATCAACTTTTGCTCAGTTTTCAGAGAAGTGGAATAATCATATCGCTGATCTATGTAAACAAGTTGAAGAATTGTCTGACAGAAAATATGGTATGTTTAAATTGGAAAAGTCCTGTAATACTTTGTTCATAAGCATTTACACAATGGAGTTATTGTTCATCATGGGAGTACTGTGGACAAGCCCAGGGCTGCTGGTGAATCCTGCCATCCTTACACGTCTCTCCTTGTAAGGTGCTTTGTAGTTTCTGTCTAAATATTAGAAACATTCTTTGTTTCTAGATTACTGCAAAACTAAGGAAAAGTTTTATTTCTTTAGCATTTCTTTTAAACTTTCAGCATGGATATTGGGGATTTATTTACATGTTTATTGCAAAGCCCTGGATCTTAGAGATTTAATTGAATATTATTTTTTGAAACTAATTGTTTCTCTTAATCTGCTTTGTTAAATTCGGTATTCACCAAGATGCCTCTATTGTCTCTACTTTTATCCTTTTTTTTTTTTTTTTTGAGTTAGAGTCTCACACTGTTGCCCAGACTGCGGTGTATTGGTGCAATCTCAGCTCACTAAAACCTCCACCTCCTAGGTTCAAGCGATTCTCCTGCCTCAGCCTCCCGAATAGTTGGGATTACAGGCGATTCTGTTGCCTCATCCTCCCAAGTAGCTGGGATTACAGGGGTGTGTCACCAGGCCCAGCTAATTTTTATATTTTTGTAGAGACAGGGTTTCACCATGTTGGCCAGGCTGGTCTCGAACTCCTGACCTCAAATGATCCATTCTCCTCGGCCTCCCAAAGTGCTGGGATTACAGGTGTGAGCCACCACACCCGGCCTATGTTTTTATTATATTGTTAATTTAGTACTATTCTGAGTAAAAATAATTTGCTATTACAGTTTTATAAATTGACTATGACAATTTTATAAATGTCAGTGCTTTTTATAAAATGAAACAGATTATGTTGTGGGGCTTTTGTTGTGATGGTGATTTACTATTTAAAGACATTAATATTCAGTTGTTGTGAAACTATAAAAACAATCTTCACATTTTATATATATATATATATTTTTTTTGAGACAGTTTCGCTTTTGTTGTTCTGGCTGGAGTGCAATGGCGCAATCTCGGCTCACCGCAACCTCCGCCTCCTAGGTTCAAGCGATTCTCCTGCCTCAACCTCCAGAGTAGCTAGGACTACAGGTGTGCACCACCACGCGCAGGTAATTTTTGTACTTTTAGTAGAGACAGGGTTTCACCATGTTGGCCAGGATGGTCTTGATCTCTTGACCTCGTCATCTACCTGCCCTGGTCTCCCAAAGTGCTGGGATTACAGGCGCGAGCCACCACACCTGGCCCACATTTTGTAATTTTAAAGCAGTATTAATGGTAATTGCCTTAGAGAAAGATACTTTTGTTGTGATATATAAGTATGATATTCAAGTATAGTGTACAGCAAAGGACATTAAACCTAAGTCAGCACTAATGTGTTATAGGATACACTTGAAACTTTAGTACAAATAGTAATGTTTAGCAAATAGACCTTAACACATAATGATAGCAAAAAAATGGAGCTGTTCAGATGAGAGACCATTGGTTATGTCTGATTTTAATACTCCCTATGCTCTTGACTTTTTCTTTTTTTCCTTTGAGACAGAGTCTTGCTTTGTCACCCAGGCTGGAGTGCAGCAGCGTGATCATGGCTCACTGCAACCTCCACCTCTCAGGTTCAAGCGATCCTGCCGCCTCAGCCTCCCTAGTAGCTGGGACTACAGGTGAGAGCCACCATGCCCAGCTAATTTTTGTATTTTTAGTAGAGACGGGGTTTTGCCATGTTGGCCAGGCTGGTCTCAAACTCCTGACCTCAGGTGCTCCACCCGCCTTGGCCCCCCAGAGTGTTGGGGTTACAGGCATGAGTCACTGCACCTGGCCATCACTTGACTTTTTATAGTTGTTGTAGTATTTTAATCATGAGTAAATAAATGCTAGTTGAAATGATGCAGTTCAGGAGCATCTTCTGCTTCTCTTACTAAAAAAAAGTATTTTTTTAAGTCCAATAGTTACACTAATGTTTATGTGTGGAAAATATTACCTTTTCCAGCCGGGTGCGGTAGCTCACACCTGAAATCCCAGCACTTTGGGAGGCTGAGGTGGGTGGATCACCTGAGGTCAGGAGTTCAAGACTAGCCTGACCAATATGGTGAAACCCAATCTCTACTAAAAATAAAAAAAACTAGTCGGGCATGGTGGTGGGCGCCTGTAGTCCCAGCTACTCGGGAGGCTGAAACAGGAGAATTGCTTGAACCCAGGAGGCAGAGGTTGCAGTGAGCCAAGATCGTGCCGTTGCACTCCAAGACTCTGTATCAAAAAAAAAAAAAAAAATGAAAATATTACCTATTCCATTTAGTACTATATGTTTTAAATGATATTAGCTGGTATTTTTTTGGCTTTATAATGTGGTTCAGATTTCTGTAGAAATTCTGGCTGTATCTGCATTGCCTTAAAGTAATGGGATATTTCTTTTTTTCTTTTTCTTTTTTTTTTTTCTTCAGCTGGAGTTCCGCTGTTGTCACCCATGCTGGAGTGCAATGGTGTGATCTCGGCTCACTGTAACCCCTGCTTCCCAAGTTCAAGTGATTCTCCTAGCTCAGCCTCCTGAGTAGCTGGGAATACAAGCACCTGCCACAATGCCTGGCTAATTTTTGTATTTTTAGTAGAGATGGGTTTTACCATGTTGGCCAGGCTGGTCTCGAACTCCTGACCTCATGATCTGCCTGCCTCAGCCTTTCAAAGTGTTGGGATTACAGTCATGAGCCACCGTGCCCAGCCTGTCTTTTCTTTCCAAAGCCACCCTTGGTGATTAAATGTTAAATATGTACTAGTGGATATTACTTTGCTGAATATTGCCTAGTGAATATTAAGTATTTATTCTCACCTTGCAGACATGAACTTGTGAATTCAACACGTGAAGATTTACAACTTGATAAACCAGCTTCAGGAGGTAGGTCTTCAGTCTTAAGTCAGATTAGAAGATTATGTGAAATAATTATTTAATGCTTAACATTGATTTTTTAATGGTATCTTCCACATGAAATAATATTCCTCTAACATTTAATTACATGCCAGGACAGGAGAATTCATGTTGTCAAAATTCTAATACTCTCTAGAACAGTAAACTCATTTTATTTGTATTAACCCATTATAAATACATGTAAATGTTGCATTTATGGGTAGACAGAACTAAAAGAACAATATTTTTCCTACTTTTGAGATGCAAAAGTTGTCTGGCATAATGCATTGAACAGGTTATTATTGAAGCTTGCACCAGACAACTGAACAAACATTCCTCAAATGTCCATGATACCCAGGACATAAGAGGCTTCCTTTTAGAGTATGGAGCCATGCATATCATCTCTTAATTGTTAGATGTGTTTTGAAAGAAATAGAAATATAACGGATTTTCTTATTTGTTTTGGCTCTGGAGTAGAGTGGGGACAAAACAGAATGGAATCACACTGTTTAGATTTACTGAAATGGAAGGATTGCTGCAAGATTATATCCCTAGTCTCCCCATAGCAAATGGCACCTGCTAGCTGTTTTTTGTTTGTTTGTTTGTTTGAGATGGAGTTTTGCTTTGTCGCCCATGCTGGAGTGCAGTGGTGTGATCTCAACTCATTGCACCCTCCACCTCCCAGGTTCAAGCAATTCTCCCTGCCTCAGGCTCCCAAGTAGCTGGGATTACAGGCACCTGCCACCACGCCTGCCTAATTTTTGTATTTGTAGTAGAGCTGGGGTGTCACCATGTTGGCCAGGCTCTTCTTGAACTCCCAACCTCAGGTGATCTGTCCGCCTCAGCCTCCCAAAGTGCTGGGATTACAGGTGTGAGCCACTGCACCCGGCCTGCTAGTGGTTCTTGAGCACACTGAGTTCTGCTTTTTCCCAGCTTTAATGAATGTCTGGTTCTTCCTTTTTTGTGCAGTGTGTGTCAGCATTGTTTCAGTAATAAATACATTCTGGATATTAGAAATAATTTTAGTCACAGGAAAAGAAAAAATAATACTATTTTATAATAACAATATTTAATAACCCGAGCTATTAAACCCATTAAATTGAGAAAACTTGTATTCCTGTGATTTCGACAGTAAAGGAAGAATGGTATGCCAGAATCACTAAATGAAGAAAGATGGTGGATCAGCTTTTCTGCAAAAAAATTTGGTAAGTCTCTTTTTTCCCCTTTCAACTAAAGTATATTACTGAGTAATGTTTTTTATAATGTTGTTTTATTTTAGGAAAGTAAATATAATGAGCAGGACTCAGCTCCAGTTTTTTCTTACTGTTTTGAGACGGAGTTTCGCTCATGTTACCCAGGCTGGAGTGCAGTGGCGCAGTCTCAGGTCACTGCAACCTCCGCCTCCCAGATTCAAGCAATTCTCCTGCCTCAGTCTCCCAAGTAGCCGGGATTACTGGCACCTGCCACCATGCCCAGCTAATTTTTGTATTTTTAGTAGAGATGTAGTTTCACCTTGTGGGCCAAGCTGGTCTCGAATTCCTGACCTTAGGTGATCCACCCACCTCAGCCTCCCAACGTGCTGGAATTACAATTGTGAGCCACCACGCCCAGCCTCTCTTACTATTTTCTTTTTTTTTTTTGAGATGGAGTCCAGGCCGGAGTGCAGTGGTGTGATCTTGGTTCACTACAACCTTGCCTCCTGGGTTCAAGCAATTCTCCTGCCTCAGCCTCCCTAGTAGCTGGGATCACAGGTGCATACCACCACACCCAACTAATTTGTTTTTGTATTTTTAGTAGAGACGGGGTTTTACCACGTTGCCAGGCTGGTCTCAAACTCCTGACCTCAGGTGATCCACCTACCTTGGCATCCCAGAATGCTGAGATTACAGGTGTGAGCCACCGCACCTGGCCAGGAGTGGATTATTTTTATGGTTCCCCTTTTTAGACCATATAGGGTAACTTCCTGATGTTGCCATGGCATTTATAAACTGTCATGGTGTTGGTGGGAGTGTAGCATTGAGGACAACCAGAGGTCACTCTTGTCACCATCTTGGTTTCTATGGGTTTTGGCTGAATTCTTTACTGCAACTCATTTTATCAACAAGGTCTTTATGACCTGTATCTTGTGCTGATCTCGTCTCTCACCCTGTGACTTAGAATGCCTTAACCATCTAGGAATGCAGCTCAGTAGGTCTCAGCCTCATTTTACCCAGCTTCTATTTAAGATCAAGTGGTTCTCGTTCAAACACCTCTGACAGTATTGCTGCTTTCTTTAAGGTTCCTGAAAGGGAGAGAGGAAATCTTAGATTTGTCATTGCTGGGAACCACTGCAAGTATTCAAGAAATATTCACTACTTCCAACCTCATAATCCTGCAGTCATTTGTTACCTGTGAGTCAGGTGCGGGGGGAGCTGGGCAGTGCAGAAGACAGTGCCCTGCCCCGTGCATTCTGGAGCATTCAATCTGCTGGGGAAACGTATAGTAAGTAGGGGATATTTACTCTGTAAGAAGATATAAGGTCTGGGAAAGAATTAAGTAGAATAAGGGGAATGGGGAAGCAGGGGTTGTGATTGGGGCAGCCTTGATGATATGTGATGAGCACGTTCTGTAGTTGGCCTCGCCTCTTTCTAAACTTCACTTTTTACTCTCAACTCCAATTGGTTCTTTTTTATTTTATAAAAACTTTGTTAGAATTAGGCTTATATATTTCCTTGTTGAATTAACAGAATAATTTTATTTAACATCACTCTCTAGTGTGACTGAAAGCCTCTAATCCTTTACTATGATTTGTTTATGGGCATATTTCTTTTTACAGCTATGATAATTATTTCATTTTGTGTGGTTTCTCAAAAATACATGTGTTTCTGATCTCAGAGAGTTCCTGTACTAGAGCCCTTCAGATTTGGTGCTAATATCATGAAGTAAGAATTTGAGACAAATCTTGAGATGTTAGAGGAAAGCCGATCTAAGAACAAAGACATTAATTATTAATAAATAATTAAATTATTTATTAATTAATTAATTTCAAGTTGACATTTAAGTTGAGGTGTGGAGGTGAAGGAGACAGTTGGATAAATAAGTCTGGAAGTAAGGAGAAAGATCTGGCAATAGATATAATTTTGGATTTTGGGTTTTTTTGTTTTTTTGTTTTTTTGTTTTGTTTTTTTTGAGACGGAGTCTCGCTCTGTCACCCAGGCTGGAGTGCAGTGGTGCGATCTCGGCTCACTGCAAGTTCCGCCTCCCGGGTTCACGCCATTCTCCTGCCTCAGCCTCCCAAGTAGCTGGGACTACAGGTGCCCACCACATGCCCAGCTAATTTTTTTTTGTATTTTTAGTAGAGACAGGGTTTCACCGTGTTAGCCAAGATGGTCTCGATCTCCTGACCTCGTGATCCGCCTGCCTCAGCCTCCCAAAGTGCTGGGATTACAGGTGTGAGCCACCATGCCCAGCCTATAATTTTGGATTTTATAGTTGTGTTTTGATAGCAATTGTTGATATCACCAAAATAATTCATCAGTGAGCTCCCTGAGAGCTCCCCGACTTTTCTTTTTAAAGAAACAGGGTCCACTGGGTGCGGTGGCTCACACCTGTAATCCCAGCATTTTGGGAGGCTGAGGCAGGTGGATCACCTGAAGTGGGGGGTTCAAGACCAGCCTGACCAACATGGAGAAATCCCATCTCTACTAAAAATACTCAGTTAGCGGGGCGTGGTGGCATGCACCTGTAATCCCAGCTACTTGGGAGGCTGAGGCAGGAGAATCACTTGAACCCAGGAGGCAGAGGTTGCAGTGAGCCAAGATTGCACCATTGCACTCCAGCCTGGACAACAAGAATGAAACTCCATCTCAAAAAAAAAAAAAAACAAAGAAAAAGAAAAGAAACAAAGAAACAGGGTCTTATGTTGTCTGGGATGGACTAGAACTCCTGGGCTCAAGTTATCCTCCTGCCTCAGTCTCCTAAATAGCTGGGGCTACAGGCACATGCCACCATGCCCAGCTTTGAGCCACTCCCAACCATCAGGCTGCAAAATATTTAAATGTTACATACAGAGGTACAAGGGAGATCTATATATAAATAGCACGATATAAATTGCTTGAATCTTTCTTTTTAGAGTTTTGTTTGGATGTGGCTTCAGAGCAGGGATTAGTCAATTCATTTTTACTTTTTTTTTTGGTGGATTCTCATTCTGTCGCCCAGGCTGGAGTGCAGTGTCACGATCTTGGCTCACTGCAGCCTCTGCCTCCCAGGTTCAAGCAATTCTCTTGCCTCAGCCTTCTGAGTAGCTGGGACTACAGGTGCCTGCCACAACACCCGGCTGATTTTTTTTTTTGGTAGAGACAGGCTTTCACCATGTTGGCCAGGCTGGTCTTGAACTCCTGACCCAAGTGATCCACCTGCCTCAGCCTCCCAAAGTGTTGGGATTACAGGCATGAGCCATCGCTCCTGGCCCTTGTTTTACATTTTTAAATTACAGTTTTTATACCTATTCAAAAGTAGAGAAAATAGTACAGTGAACGCTAAAATACCCATTCCTCAATTTCTGTGATCATTAAGATTGTCCCACATTTTGTTCTTCTATTCCTTTACCTCCCTTTGCAGGAATATTGTAAAGCAAATCAGTCATCACCATCATTTTATCTGTTCAGTGTGCATCCCCGAACAGCATTAACATTTTCTTACACAGCTACTATCTCATCACATCTGACAAAATTACAATGATTTTTTGGTGTCAGCTCATCTGTAACCCTTAGTTGAGTTTCCTCACTCTTTTTTTTTTTTGGAGACAAAGTCTTGCTGTGTCACCCTAGGCTGGAGTGCAATCTCAGCTCACAGCAGCCTCTGCCCCCTGGGCTCCAACAATTCTCCTGCCTCAGCCTCCTGGGTAGCTGGGATTACAGGCGCACGCCACCATGCCCAGCTAATTTTTGTATTTTTAGTAGAGACAGGGTTTCACCATGTTGGCCAGGCTGATCTCGAACTCCTGACCTCAGGTAATCTGCCCACCTCGTCCTCCCCAAGTGCTGCGATTACAGGTGTGAGCCACCATGCCTGGCCAAGTTTCCTTACTCTTACCTGAACAGTATCTCATTTCCTCATTATCTGAAAAATTTTGCTTTAAATCTGGGTCCAAACAGTCTTCATGTGCTAACTTTGGTTGTTATGCCTCTTTTAATCAAAACTGGCCTCTGCTTACTATTTTTATTTCCCATTTCATGAATTCTTTGTGGAAAGTTATTTCTTTTAAAACAGCATGCTCATGAGGTTGAAGGGGTAAAGAACATTGATCTTGTGGTTGCAGTGTGGATGAAAATTCAGCCTGAAATATGCCTGTTTGCAGCAGCCAGTGGAGGAGGGTTATTAATTTCACAAGCAGATAGTGGCAAAAGGCTGCTTCCAAATAGTATTTGCAGGCCAGCTGCGGTGGCTCACACCTGTAATCCCAGCACTTTGGGAGGTCAAGGTGAGCAGATCGCTTGAGGTCAGGAGTTTGAGACCAGCCTGGCCAACATGGTAAAACCCCATCTCTACTGAAAAGTACAAAAATTAGCCAGGCGTGGTGGCGGGCACCTGTAATCTTAGCTACTCAGGAGGCTGAGGCAGGAGAATCACTTGAACCCAGGAGGCGGAGCTTGCAATGAACCGAGATCATGCCACTGCACTCCAGCCTGGGTGACAGAGCGAGACTCCATCTTGGAAAAAAACAAAACAAAACAACAAAAAAAAAAACAAACAAAAAAAAACAAATAGTATTCAGGTTGTGTTCTTTATCGTCTATAATTTTTTTCTCTTCTTCCTAAGAATATTGAAAAACAAAGTTTAATATTTTAAGATCTTAGAGTTATTAAGATTGTCTTAGGATCAGGACACTTAAATCTGCCAAAATCTGGTTGGTAATAATGGGTCATTTATTTTTATTATTTTTTTTTAATTTTTAAAATTTTTATTTCTCAGCCTTGAGATTCTGATATGTAAAAATGCAAGTATCTTCAAAGATAGAAAACATATACAGATATCACTAAGATGGCAGAACTCAGTATATACAATCATGGAGCAGTGCCTTATACCAGCCCTCCAGCTAACTGCAGCTGCAAGCATGACTCTCATGCTGTCTTGTACTTAGTGTTCAACTAGTGACCCAGCTTCCTCAATCATGGGGAAGGGCCATCAGCAAATGGCACTCAGGCATGGGGGCTTGAGAAAAGATCCCACACACTCAATGGCATGTTAGACATTTCATGAAAGGATTAGGTGTGTTACCCCCGGCTTTCTCCCCCAGAGTTTATCGAGACTGATAATAAAGTAAATGCATTATAAGCCACACATACAAGTTGTGGAGTCAAGGAAACAGAGTGACTTTTCTGTGTGTCCTATTTTATAGGCTTTAATTAAATTATTTGTGGCCTTGGATTGGGGGCAGGATTTGGTTATTATTATTTTTTATTATACTTTAAGTTCTGGGGTACATGTGCAGAACGTACAGGTTTGTTACACGTACCATCGTGGTTTGCTGCACCCATCAGCCTGTCATCTACATTAGGTATTTCTCCTAATGCTGTCCCTCCCCTAACCCTGCACTCCCCGAGAGGCCCTGGTGTGTGATGTTCCCCTCCATGTCCATGTGTTCTCATTGTTCAACTCCCACTTATGAGTGAGAACATGCAGTTGTTGGTTTTCTGTTCTTGTGTTAGTTTGCTGAGAATGATGGTTTCCAGCTTCATCCATGTTCCTGCAAAGGACATGAACTCATCCTTTTTCATGTCTGCATAGTATTTCATAGTGTATATGTACCACATTTTCTTTATCCAGTCTATCATTGATGGGCATTTAGGTTGGTTCCAAGTTTTTGCTATTGTGAATAGTGCCGCAATAAACATACATGTGCATGTGTCTTTATGGTAGAATGATTTATAATCCTTTGGGTATATACCCAGTAATGGGATTGCTGGGTCAAATGTTATTTCTGGTTCTAGGTCCTTGAGGAATCATTACACTGTCTTCCACAATGATTGAACTAATTTACACTCCCACCAAAAGTATAAAAGCGTTCCTATTTCTCCACATCCTCTCCAGCATCTGTTGTTTCCTGACTTTTTATTGTTTGCCATTTTAACTGACATGAGATGGTATCTCATTGTTTTTGATTTGCATTTCTCTAATGACCAGTGATGAGCATTTTTTCATGTTTGTTAGCTGCATAAATATTATATTTTAGATTATTCCTGCTTTCTCTTATGGGCATTTAGTGCATTAGTCATTTAGTGCTATAAATTTCCCTCTAAACACTGCTTTAAACGTGTCCCAGAGATTCTGATATGTTGTGTCTTTGTTCTTACTGGTTTCAAAGGACATCTTTATTTCTGCCTTAATTTCGTTATTTACCCAGTTCTCATTCAGGAGCAGGTTGTTCAGTTTCCATGTAGTGCGGTTTTGAGTGAGTTTCTTAATTTTGAGATCTAATTTAATTGCACTATGCAGTGAGAGCCTGTTTGTTATTATTTCCATTCTTTTGCATTTGCTGAGGAGTGTTTTACTTCTAATTATGTGGTCAGTTTTAGAATAAGTGTGATGTGGTGCTGAGAAGAACGTATATTCTGTGGATTTGGGGTGGAAAATTCTGTAGATGTCTTAAGTCTGCTTGGTCCAGAACTGACTTCAAGTCCTTAATATCCTTGTTAATTTTCTGTCTCATTGATCTGTCTAATAATGGGTCATTTATACTTGCCTTTGCTTTAAGCCTGCTTCAATAGTTAGTAAATATGTTTCTAGAGTTTTTCCAATTTAAAAAAATTGACCTGCACCTTGCTTTGGATTGTACTAAAATCTGATTTCAACACAAGCATAGTCTCCTGAATTGCTTTGGTTTTGTTCAGCTGAAGCCTTGGGGAGCACTGAAGCCAAGGTTCTACTGTACCAAAAATTTGAAGGCCATGCGAATGATCTGTATGCGGAAGGACTACCAGAAAACATTCCTTTCAGAAGTCCCTCGTGGTATGGAATCCCAAGGCTGGAAAACATCATTCAAGTGGGCAATCGAATTAAATTTCTTATTAAAAGGTAAGATGATAATCTGCAGAAACAAATTCAGTGTCTTCCCTAAGGAGAGATTAATTCGATGAGGAAGGGCCTTTTGTTCCCCTCTCATTATGACTTCCTTATATTTACAATTAACATTTAGATTCACTTATTGAACAAACATGTATTTAGTATAAGTATCAGATGTGCAAAATTGGGTCTAGCAAGAACCCTGTCCTTGGGAGGCTTAATATTATGAAAAATGCAATGAAGAGTTATTGAGCATTTTTAGGGGAGAAGGCAAGGATGGCATACCCAGATCAGTCATTTGTGCATCCAGAAGGGAGGGAACGTGTTCCAAATATGAGTAAAGGCAGGGAGATGTCAAATATGCCCACATATTCACATACCTCACCCATTCTGTGTGGAGGGAGGAGTGCCATGTGGGCATGGTGGGATTGCATAGATAGACTTGGGTGGCCAAATGGAGGAAGGCCTTAGATCCTACAAAAGCAGTGGCAGTCATTAAATGGTCTCATAGCAGTTCCCTCTTAAAATAATTTGGATCTACCCTTTAGAAAGGTTATTCTGGCTTAATTTTGAAGGGTAATACATGGGTAGTTTGAGTGTTGGGGATAGGAACAGAAGGCCTCTCTCTACTCGTGAAAGGAATGTTGAAGTGGGTTGAGTCTTGCTTACTGATTGAGGTTGTGCATCTGTGTGTATTCATTGGGACTGAGTTGTATATGGAGGGGAAAGGTTTAAGATGATACAGCAAGCTGCTTCTGGCTCTGCTATGAGACCGTTCATCTAAGATTCAGAAACAGAATTGAGCTGGTTTGGGGGAAAAGTGACTTTTGCATATTTATCTTAAAAAAAGATGACTTTGGAGACATCCAGCTGGTCTCACCTGAATGTCTGAAAATTGCTATTTTCAAAATTCAAGTCACCAAAATGATTATTTTCACTATAAAATGAAGGCAGAATGGATTATGTTTAAAAATTGGCCAGGCACAGTGGCTTACGCTTGTAATCCCAGCACTTTGGGAGGCTGAGGTGGGTGGATCACCTGAGGTCAGGAGTTCAAGACCAGCCTTGCCAACATTGCAAAACCCCATGTCTACTAAAAATACAAAAATTAGCCAGGTGTGGTGGCGTGCACTTGTGGTTCCAGCTACTCGGGAGGCTGAGGCAGGATAATTGCTTGAACCTGGGAGGCGGAAGTTGCAGTGAGTCGAGATCGCACCACTGTACTCCAGCCTGGACAACAGGATGAGACTCTGTCTCAAATAATAATAATAATAATAATTAGCAGTGCACAACTGTGTGAGAAAGGCCTGTAAATTTCTTCTAAATGCTTTATTATAATATTAATATCAACTATGTATTTATGGTCCAGAACTTCTTACTCACAATACAACTGTAGTTACTCAGCCAAGAACAAATACAACAGGTAAAATAGTTGTGAAATCCTTTTTAAAAGCACAGGTTAATCTTGAAGCTTTTAAAAATTAATCTTTTAAAATGATGGAACTGCTCCTTCCTTCACCTCCCCAAAAAATCTTTTGCAGAAGCTCAATACAGGCACTTCTTGATTTATCAATATGCACATATGCAGTGTAGGGATAACTGAAGCTTTTTTTCTTTCTTCCTTTTTTTGATACAGAGTCTCACTCTGTCACCCAGGCTGGAGTGCAGTGGTGTGATCTTGGCTCACTGCAACCAGGCTCAAGCAATTCTCCTTCCTCAGCCTCCTGAGTACCTGGGATTACAGGCGTGCGCCACCATGCCTGGCTAAGTTTTGTATTTTGTGTAGAGACAAGGTTTCACCATTTTGGCCAGGCTGGTCTCAAACTCCTAGGCTCAGGTGATCCTTCTGCCTGAGCCTCCCAAAGTGCTGGGATTATAGATGTGAGTCACCGCACCCAGCATTAAGCTTTGAACTTTGGCCAGTGGTATCCAAGAGAAATACAATGTGTGCTGCAAATGCAAGCCACATACATAATTTTACATTTTCGAGTTCAACCTGAAATCATTATAAATAAATACACAATGAAGTATTTAACATTCTTTACTTCATTTGCGTATGTTCTTTTTGTTGATAATTGATGTGTCTTTCATACTCACAGCATATTTCAGTTTCAAGTAGCCACACAACTGTTCAGGGATAGCAGTTACTGTCCGCATTTGGACCTTAATGTTTATTCATATGAGCCCTGTTCCTAAAATGGCAAATACTGTAACTCTGGCCTGCACACGAATATCACAGCCTAATAGGAAAGATCTAAGAAGTCCCCACTGAACAAACAATGTTCTTTTCTTTCTTTTTTTTGAGACGAAGTTTTGCTCTTGTTTCCCAGGCTGGAGTACAATGGTGCGATCTTGGCTCACCGCAACCTCCGCCTCCTGGGTTCAAGCAATTCTCCTGCCTCAGCCTCCCAAGTACCTGGGATTACAGGCCTGTGCCACCATGCCTAACTAATTTTTGTATTTTTGGTAGAGGCAGGGTTTCGCCATGTTGGCCAGGCTGGTCTTGGACCCCTGACCTCAGGTGATCTGCCACCTTGGCCTCCCAAAGTGTTAAGATTACAGGTGTGAACCACCGTGCCCAGCCTATTTTCTTTGTTAGAGCTCTTTATTAGAGCTTTCTTTCTTTCCCATCTTTTTGTTTGCCATTGTGCACTGTCAGAGTAAGTGACCACAATTTGTAGATTATCTACCACCTTAGGAATTTAAGTTGCCAAGAACCAATAACTAGCCATTTAGTATGAAGGTTTTTATTGTCAGGAAATAAGTGTTGGGAATCAAGTATGAATTATGTGTGCATATTAGGTCTTTACAAATTTGTGCAGTTAATCATTCTCATTAATACTACAGTGAATAAATGTTCTCAAGTTGGGTTAATGGGTGTGTCCTGAAATACTGCTCCTTCAGCTCTCACAGTATCTTGGGGCAATTAGTGAAGGTCAGTCAGTGTGCCAAATAGATTTTGTGTGGAGTATGGCATGGAAAGTGGTTGAGAAATTCTATAGTAGGGTAAGAAAATAATCCTTGTCCAGGAGTCCTGCAGTGGAGAAGACAAAACTCAGTGCTTAACTCATAGGTTAAGCATGTTTTTTCTTTCTTTTTTTTTTTTTTTGAGACAGAGTCTTGCTTTGTTGCCCAGGCTGGAGTGCAGTGGCATGATTTTGGCTCACTGTAACCTTCACCTCCTGGGTTCAAGCAGTTCTCTTGCCTCAGCCTCCCAGTACCTGGGATTACAGGTGCACACCACCATGCTGGCTAATTTTTGTATTTTTAGAAGAGATGGGGTTTCACCATGTTGGCCCGGCTGGTCTTGAGCTCCTGACCTTGTGATCAGCCTGCCTTAGTCTCCCAAAGTGCTGAGATTACAGGTGTGAACCACTGTGCCTGGCCCTCAGCATGCGTTTGATTTAGCCAAAGAATCAAAGCATTGGTGAAGAATTGAAGATTGGAAGTTACACATTTTTTGCTAAGGGAAGTAATAGAGAAAGAAAAATATTCCTGGAGGTAAATCTTCAGTTTGGATTAATGTGAACATGAAGAAACCTGTAGAAACCTTCATTTCTCAAGACAAAGCTCAAATTCAAGGTTGTGAGGAATGCAGTCACTGCTTTTGTTAGGGGCAGTTGTGACAGTGATTGCAGAAACTGAGACTGCAAAGCCCGTATTATATAAAGAATGTGCAAGTGCCATAGAAGACACTGCAAGGATTGGGTGCTGGAGCAGTGCTGGACCTGCCATCATCACCAGAGTGCAGCAGAGAGAATCTCCTCTCTTGCCATCACTAACCCAGCACTTGACTTTGTCCCACTCCTAAAAGATCTTGGAAGGAATTAAAGGTGCTTGGTGGTTTCTCATTCCAGCATAACCTTACTTGGCCTGACCATGAACCATGCATTAGTCTTTGGACAGGGCAATTCAAATCACAGACCACATAACAAAAGAATTTTGTGGCCATCAGAACTGTCTCCTTAAACACACCATGGGTGCACTGTGTCCTCAGCTTGGTGAAAGGTAGATGTCACACACGAGAAGGTGGTGGAGCCAGGCATGTGATGGAGCCTCGAAGAGTGGGAGGTGGCAGCTGGCTCTGTGAGGAGGGTGTGAAGTCCTCCCTGGGAGGAGCAGATGCCAGAAAAGGAGGTGAGGGTGGGCAGAAGAGGAGGCTGAGCAGCAAGTGAATAGACGTGCTCGACCTCAGAGGAGGAGAGTCCCATGTCTTTATTGGTAATATTCTAATGTGGTTGATACCGGAGTTATTTTCTGTGGCTGAATGGTTCAACTACTCTGAAATCCATGGGGAAAAACAAAACAAAACAAAAAAAAACTCATACTAAAAACCCTTGAGATGCTAAGTTTTAAAGTAAAGGAAATGTTACAAGATTTTCTGAAACCACCAACCTTTAGCAGTATTTTCAGACCTTCTCCAACATTTTCCACTGCCTTTGTCAGCAATCAGAGATGACCTTCACACTGAGGCAATCTTCCACTTCCCTTACCCTTTTCCTTTTCTCTCTCTTTCTCTCCTTTCCTCATCCAGTAACTCCAGTCAGACTCCATTGTCTCCAGGTCGACTTTCGTCATCATCCACAACTCCTCCACACAAGCCCTGAACACGTGTCCATGTAAGTGACATCCTTTGTCTTTATTTTTTTATTTTATTTTATTTTATTTTATTTTATTATTTTATTTTATTTTTTTATTTTATTTTATTTATTTTATTTTATTTTAGAGATGGAGTCTCCCTCTGTTGCCCTGGCTGGAGTGCAGTGGCACAATCTTGGCTTACTGCAACCTCCACCTCCCGGGTTCCAGCATTTCTCTGCCTCAGCCTCCTGAGTAGCTGGGATTACAGGCACCCACCACCACACCTGGCTAATTTTTGTATTTTTAGTAGAGACGGGGTTTCACCATGTTGGCCAGGCTGGTCTTGAGCTCCTGACCTCGTGATCCACCCGCCTCAGCCTCCCAAAGTGCTGGGATCACAGGCGTGAGCCACTGTGCCCGGCCCATGATTTACTATTTATAAGAACATGGGCTTACTACTTGTGTAATACTTATCCCTGTATTTTAGGTGGGAGTTGCTGAGGTTTGGTGACTACATCTGGCCTCTCAGGGAAATGGCCAAGTTGTTCACATCTCACCTGTATAATGTGAAGTTGTTTGTCAGCTTCATTGGTTACTACTGTGAAATGAGTTATAAAGGGAAATTTTTATTTTTATTTTTTTATTTTTAGTAGAGACGGGGTTTCACCGTGTTAGCCAGGATGGTCTCAATCTCCTGACCTCATGATATGCCTGCTTCGGCCTCCGAAAGTGCTGGGATTACAGGCATGAGCTACCGTGTCTGGCCATAGTAAGGAAAATTTTTTATAAAAAGAAATAGATTTAGGCCGAGTGCAGTGGCTCACACCTGTAATCCTAGCACTTTGGGAGGCCAAAGTGGGTGGATTGCCTGAGCTCAGGAGTTTGAGACCACCCTCGGCAACATGGTGAAACCCCATCTCTACTAAAATACAAAAATCAAAACAAAACAAAAAAATTAGCTGGGCTTAGTGGTGAGTGCCTGTAGTCCCAGCTACTGGGGAGGCTGAGGCATGAGAATTGCTTGAGCCTGGGAGGCGGAGGTTGCAGTGAGCTGACATCATGCCATTGCCAGCCTGGGCGACAGGGCAAGACTCTGTTAGTAAAATATGTCTAGTACCAGATGCTTTTTGGTCTCCTAATGACCTATCAAACTGCAGGGTTTTCTGGCTTTGTAATATATTCAGTTCCACATTTATTCAAGAATTGAGGACTTTTTATATCTTCATTATGTGCCAAGTACTGGGTGGGACAGTAGGTGACAGAGATGAACAAATCCCTAATCCCAGGATTTCACAGTGGATGTTGGAATTTAGTGCCATTTAGCCTCATTCAATTCTGCAGTAGTCCCAAGATTTTCCAAGATCATCCTGTCCTCCAGTGTCCTGTTGATTCAACTTCAGAATATATCCCAGAGTCTGTCCCTCTTCATTCCTCACTGCTGCCACCCTGGATCCATCTGCCATCATCTCTCACCTGGTTTATCTCAGTAGTCTCCTAACTGGTTTTCTTGTTTCCATGCTTGCCTCCTTCAGTCTATTCTGTCTTTTTTTTTTTCTTTTTTGAGACAGAGTCTTGCTCTCTCACCAAGGCTGGAGTACAATGCTGTGATCTCTGCTTACTGTAACCTCCGCCTCCCAGGTTCAAGCGATTCTCCTGCCTCAGCCTCCCTAGTAGCTGGGATTACAGGCACAAACCACCATGCCTGGCTAATTCTTTTGTATTTTTAGTAGAGACAGGGTTTTGACATGTTGGCCAGACTGGTCTTGAACTCCTGGCCTCGAGTGATCCGCCTGCCTCAGCCTCCCAAAGCGTTGGGATTACAGGTGTGAGCCACTGCACCCAGCCTGTCTACTCTCAACACAACAGCTAGAACAGTCATTTTTCAGTGGAATTTAGATCATGTTTACCCCTCTGTTCAAACTCTCCAGTGGCTTTCTGTTTTCTACATGATCTTGCCCCCTACTACCTGTCTCACTGTGCTTCCTGCTATTCTGCTCTTACTCCTCTGTATAAACACTGAGCTCATGGCGTTTCCTTTAACATTCCAGGCATGCTTGACCCTGTCCTGTCTCTGGGCCTTGCTGTTCCCTCTGCCTGGAACATTCTTCCCCTAGTGTCTGCATGGCTCACTGTCTCACTGCTTTGGATTGAGGCTCAAAAATCACCTTATCAAAAGTGCCTCCAGGGTGCTCTGCGTAAAATGTATCCTCAACTCATTTCCTATTTGATGTCTGACTCCCCCACTCTTCTTCACTAAAACGTAAGCTCCATAAGGAAAGGGATTTTGTCTGTTTTGTTCTGTTGTATCCCTAAATACCTAGAAGGTGCTCAGTAAATATTTCTTGGTTGAATGACTAAATCAGCCTATTATTGAATCAGTCAATGTCCTCTGTAGGAGGGACTTCTCACACCAGTGGTGCATATCTGTATGTTAGCTGGTGTAGGGAGGGACATGGTCAGAATGGCTCTGTCTGTGTGGAATAGTTTTGCTTAGCATAATCCCAGCAGGCTCCTATTGGGGTTAAGCCACAGTTTTAGCCTTATTAGTATCACTCTTTAATCATAAAGTCAGAGGATGTTAAAATTGAAAGGGATTTGGGAGACTATTCGGTTCGCTTTCTCATTATTGATGTGAGACTAACAGAGCCTAGCAAAAGTAAGTTAATTACTCACAATCGTAAAGCTGTACAGGTCAATCTGAAATTAGGCTTCTGACATCACTCTGTAGTCTTTCCTACGTGAGTTCTCCCCTGGCTGAGACAGTTCATGGGCTTTCAGGTTTGACAATTTTCTCTCCAGTCTCTAAACAGGAGCTTCTATCTGGACATTCTAGGTTAGCCTAGATGGATGATGACCCTGTGAGGTGTGGAAAATCCCAAAGGTTGACCACTGTGAATAGGAACTACCCTAGATGTGTCAGGAGCACCGCAGGCACGCTCACTCCTCCATTTGCTGGAGTCATGTAGGGTGGACGAAACCCAAATCAAGACCATTTGCTGCTTCAGTTCTTTTATTGCATGTGACAGTCCAATGTGTCTCCATTTAAATTCAGATTTTTTGATGAATGGTCAGACCAGCTGCAGGCCCTTTGGGCCGGAAGTCTTGATCTCGCCAACTGTTCATATTCTTTTTTCTTTTCTTTCCTTTTCTTTCCTTTGCTTTTCTTTCTTTCTTTCTTTCCTTTCTTTTTTTTTAGATGGAGTTTTACTCTTGTTGCCCATGCTGGAGTGTAATGGTGTGATCTTGGCTTACCGCAACCTCTGCCTCCCGGATTCAAGTGATTCTCCTTCCTCAGCCTCCCGAGTAGCTGGGAATACAGGTGTGTACCACCATGCCCCGCTAATTTTTCTATTTTTTAAGTAGAGATGGGGTTTTACCATGTTGGCCAGGTTGGTCTCGAACCCCTGACCTCAGGTGATCTGCCTACCTCAGCTTCCCAAAGTGCTGGAATTACAGGCATGAGCCACTGTGCCCAGCCAATAACAGATATTTTTTGAGCCCCTGCCAAGTGCCAGGCACAGATCTAGGTGCTGGGAACTAAGGGGAGAATGAGTAAGACAGTCTCTTTTCTCGGGGAGCTTCCGTTCTAGTGGTGGTGGTGTGGTGGTGGAGAAGCAGGCTATATACATGCAACAAATGATATGTGTTCAGACGGTGATAAGTAATTTGAAGAAAATAAATAGAGCTTTGGGAGTTAGAAAGTTTGGGCATTAGGATGGGCACTGACCTATTGGGGTGGGCAGTGAAGACCTCTCTGAGGAGGTGACATTTGAGCTGAGGCAGCTCACTGGGCAAGAGTGGTTGTGATGGGTAGAACATGAAGTGCAGGGACCTGAGATGTGAGTGGACTTGGCACGGTGTTTAAGCACCATAAAGATGGTCAGGGTGGCTGGAGCATAGTGGATCCTGGAGAAGCAAGTAATACTCAGATGAGGATGGAGCACCTTCTAGGCTATGGAAAGGAATCTGGATAATTCCAATGGAGTAAGAAGCACTGCAATTAAATCAGGGGTCGGCAAACTCTGTGGCCCATGGGTCAAATCTAGCCTGATGCCTTTTTTTATGAATAAACCATATTGGAACACAGTCTCACCCATGGGTTTACATATTGTCCATGGCTGTTTTTAATGTTACAAGAGCAGAGTTGAGTAGTTTCAACAGAGAACATATGGCCCAGAAGCCTAAAATATTTACTCTCTGGTTTTTATAGAAAAAGTTTACTGACCCCTGAATAAAATCTCAGTTTTGAGGAGGAGACACTCTGGGTACTATTGGCATGGTGTACCCAGGTATACTTTTGTCTCTTACCATTCCCAGACTGGGTATTACTCTGTGAATGAATGGTAAGAGACAAGAGTGTACGTGAATAGTTCAGATAAGAAATAACTAGATGTTTGCTGGGTGCGGTGGCTCACGCCTGCAATCCTAGCACTTTGGGAGGCTGAGGCATGTGGATCACGAGGTCAGGAGATGGAGACCAGCCTGGCCAACATGATGAAATCCCATCTCTACTAAAAATAGAAAAATTAGCTGGGCGTGGTGGTGCACACCTGTATTCCCAGTTCCTTGGGAGGCTGAGGTAGAAGAATTGCTTGAATCCAGGAGGCGGAAGTTGCAGTGAGCCGAGATCGCGCCACTGTACTGCAGCCTGGGTGACAGAACAAGACTCTGTCTTGGAAAAAAAAGAAAAAAGAAATAACTAGATGTTGAGCCACCAGAAAACAAAGATCACACTGTTTTTATTCTGTTTAAAAACACCTAGCTATGCTTCATACTCATTAAATATTGTTGAATGAGTGATGAGATGCTGAATAGGAGGTGCCAGTGAATATGAAGGGGAAGCGAGGTTTTGAGAGATATTTAGGAGGTAAATATGATCCACCTGCCTCGGCCTCCCAAAATGCTGGAATTACAGGCCTGAGCCACTGTGCCTGGCCAAAGGCAGGTGTTTTTGTTTTTGTTTTTGTTTTTTTAGATGGAGTTTTGCTTTTGTTGCCCAGGCTGGAGTGCAATGGCATGATCTTGGCTCACTGCAACCTCCGCCTCCTGGGTTCAAGTGATTCTCCTGCCTCGGCCTCCCGAGTAGCTGGGATTACAGTCATGTGCCATCACACCTGGCTAATTTTTTGTATTTTTAGTAGAAACGGAGTTTCACCGTGTTAGTCAGGATGGTCTCTATTTGCTGACCTCAGGTGATCTGCCTGCCTCAGGCTCCCAAAGTGCTGGGATTACAGACATGAGCCACCGCGCCCAGCCAAAGGCAGCTTTTTAAAGGGTTGCACAGCACTTCATATGCTACTTAAAATGAGATTATTCTTCTTCATTCTTAGAATGCCAGTTGGTTTTATTCGTTGATAAATTCCCAGTTAGTCATACTCACAAGCGCAACATTGTTGATGGGTCTGACATCCCTTCGTAACTTAAGAATCATTAGTATGACTGCCCTATGGAGGCATACTGCTCTATCTCAGGTTTATTTCAATAATAAAACCTTTGGAAGTTTTAATAATGAAACCTACTTAAGGCCCTTTGCTCAAGAAGTCTGAGTCACTAATCACCGCAATTACTCCCATGGCAGCTGTAGAGCAATTTAACAGGATAATAGTGAATAAGATAAATTACACTTCAGATTCTTAATGGATTGATGTGCAAAAGTATGTTAGGGAAGATGGGGGTGGGAGAAGAGTGCCTTTCAAATTTCTGCACACAGTAATACAATAGGGAACTGGGCCATTGTAGCCATTACTGCTAGGGATTAGTCATCTAGTAACAACCTCTGGGGCTCAGTGGTGAGTAGAACATCCTGTTTATTATAGACAGCAAATTGGGTTAATTCTCTTGTTTGTGTGCCTCTGTGGAGGGGGTGGAAATTCTAGGTGATCTGCTAATTGTCTGATTTAGAATACTCCCCTTTCTACTAAAGAATTAGTATCTTTGATGTGAAAATAGGGAGGCAGACCAGTTTTACAAATAGCTACTGGCCAGGAGAATAAGTTTCTGCCAGGTGAGTGGTTAAAAAAAGGCAGACTGGAAAAATAACTGTGGGATGGTAAGTATTTCTTATTTACAAGGCTAACATAAGTTCTCTCCATGTGTTGGGGATGGAAGAAGGGATGGATTGGTTAAGAAGTGAGTACTATGCTTGCTTTGAGTGTCCCTCGATTTGTGTTTAGGGGAGAAAAGTGAGGATGTGGTTATATGGGTAGGGGGTGGGCCCAGGGAAGGGGCCCAAGGAAGGAAATTCAGGAGACTTGACTGCAGTTCCATCCTTATGGACATTCCTTGGCACCTGGTCACATTATGGATGTCTCACCATCTGCTGGGTATTGATTTTTCTTTTTTTTCTTTTTCTTTTTTTTTTTTTTTTAAGACAGAGTTTCACTCTTGTTGCTTAGGCTGGAGTGCAATGGCGCAATCTTGGCTCACCGCAACCTCCACCTCCTGGATTCAAGTGATTCTCCTGCCTCAGCCTCCTGAGTAGCTGGGATTACAGGCATGCGCCACCACACCCAGCTAATTTTGTATTTTTTCTAGAGACAGTGTTTCTCCATGTTGGTCAGACTGGTCTCTAACTCTCAACCTCAGGTGATCCGTCCGCCTCAGCCTCCCAAAGTGCTGGGATTGCAGACATGAGCCACCTCGCCTAGCCAGTCACGATTTTAAAAAACCACCATAGCCTAGTTAATGATGTTTAATAGCTCATCATCACGAATCATTGTGCACACTCGCTATACCAGAGGCTCTAAACTACCCAATTTTTTTTTTTTTTAGATTGAGTTTTGCTCTATTGCCCAAGCTGGAGTACAGTGGCACAATCTCCGCTCACTGCAACCTCTGCCTCCTGGGTTCAAGGGATTCTCATGCCTCAACTTCCCAAGCAGCTGGGATTACAGGTATCCACCACCACACACAGCTAATTATTGTATTTTTTAGTACAGATGGGGTTTTACATTGTCAGCCAGGCTGGTCTCAAACTCCTGACCTCAAGTGATCTGCCTGCCTCAGCCTCCCAAAGTGCTGGGATTATAGGTGTGAGTCACCATGCCCAGCCTAAACTGCCCAATTTTAAAGGGATAATTGGGAAAACAATTGTTTAAAAAGGAAATGAGGGAGTTGCCATGACTGCGGTTAGCAGTGTGAAGACCCTAGAAAACCAGTGTGAACTCCTGGGGGTTCACAGTCTACTGCCTGTTCAAGAGCCTTAGAAAACCAGGAGCCTTAGGAGACCAGGTTCTGAAAGCTTCCCAGGGCTGTATAAACTTCTACATTAAGTTCCATGATGCCCGATGAGTAGTCCCACATTTCCACAGTAGACATGCTGTTGCTGCCTCCTTCCTTATCATGAAAAGAGCAGAAGATGCCGATAATACATGAAGCAGGAAGACAAAGGGGAGACACTGAACTTGTCACCTACCTTTGGATGCCCCTCATGCCTCATGTTTCCCATTGAGCCTCACTTATCAGTGACACAGGGAATGGTCCCTTTGCTCTCCACTTTCCCTGTGGCTTCCTGGAGGTAGGGGAGGCAGATCGTGCTACTTGCTGATATTATGTTGCTGTGGATTCGTTGGAGCGACAGGAACAGGAAATTTTCCTGGTGGTGTATGTGTCACTGGGGCTCACAGGGGTACTTTTTAATGTTCTCACTGGCCTCTGTGATTCTGTGACCCTGGTTATTACATGTTCAGAAAGTGTCAGCTTATTTGAAAGTGATACTCTTATCTTCTATTTAAACATTGCCAAAAACCATCACACTTTTTTTTAAATTAAAACATTTTTGTATTTTTTATTTTCTGGAGACAAGAGTCTTGCTCTTTGATGTAGACATGAAGGGACTCATAGTCCTTCCCCTACAATATGTCTTTAATTTAATAACATATCAATGAAGGGTCATGTCTGAATGAATTATAGAAATTCAGGACCTAAAAAAGGAAGGTCCCAGAAACCGGGCTTTGGTTTATTTCTACTACTACACTTGCTATTGAAACCAAGCAGACAACTTCATTTCTCTTGGATTCAGCTTTCTCATGTGTCAGAATGGGAGAGGAAGGGAGGCATTGGGATAAGTGTCATTCCACCGTCTGTACTTCTAATCTGGCTAACACACGTGTGAAAAATACTGAGATTTGTTGACAGCAGTTTCCTGGACTGCTGTCTTGAACAATTCTGAGGAGGTTTAGCAAGAAAGTGTGTTTCAGTTGATTGGGTGTATCTGTCATGGAGAAGGAAGTAAGGAGTGGGGAGCACTTGCAGCATTCCCGGACATTCCTGTCCATTATCTCAATACCTGGTGCTGACGTTTCCTGCCCCTTATCAGGAATCCTGACTACTCTGTGTCTGATGACTTGAACTTACTGAGTACTGCTTAGTTGCGTCATAGATACCACCTGTCTTTGAACAGCTACCCTGCCTCTTGATGAGAATGCAAAGGCTGCTAAGGGCCACTGCTGTATGGAATGGCCTTCGGTCATCTCTTCTTAGAACACAGAGGTCATTTTGACTGATAACATAACTCTCCTTTTGATTGAAAGTGTTAACATGGGCCGGGCACGATGGCTCATGCCTGTAATCCCAGCACTTTGGGAGGCCGAGGCAGATGGATCACTTGAGGTCAGGAGATTGAGACCATCCTGGCTAACATGGTGAAACCTCATCTCTACTAAAAATACAAAAAATTAGCTGGGTGTGTTGACGTGTGACTGTAGTCCCAGCTACTTGGGAGGCTGAGGCAGGAGAATCACGTGAACCCGGGAGGTGGAGATTACAGTGAACTGAGATCACACCACTGCACTCTAGCCTAGGCAAGAGAGCAAGACTCCATCTCAAAGAAAAAAAAAACAAAGAAAAGTGTTAAAATATTCCTCCTGAAAGTACTTATCTTTTAGGCTTGTTCTTCAGATTTGCCCAATATGCTAAGCAAAATGCCTTCAATATGAAGTGACTATTGCTCGATTGTAGGGAACTTGTTCATAATGTACTTGAGAATGCAGATACAAATAAAAGAATGTGTGTGTCAAATTTTATCTTCTACAAATTATGTTCTCCTGCACTTTCAGCTCAAGCTCTTGGACTCACTGAGGCAGTAAAAGTACCATATTCTGTGTTTGAATCAAACCCCGAGTTCCTGTATGTAGAAGGCTTGCCAGACAGAATTTCCTTTCCAAGCCCTACCTGGTTTGGAATTCCATGACTTGAAAGGATCGTCTGTGGAGTAATAAAACCAAGTTTGTTGTTAAAAAGTAAGTTCCAGGCCAGGTATGGTGGCTCACGCCTGTAATCCCAGCACTTTGGGAGGCCAAGGCAGGTGAATCACCTGAGGTCAGGAGTTCAAGACCAGCCTGACCAACATATCTACTAAAAATGTTAAAAATTAGCCAGGCATGTTGGCTGGTGCCTGTAATCCCAGCTACTTGGGAGCCTGAAGCAGGAGAATCGCTTGAATCTGGGAGGCAGAGGCTGCAGTGAGCCCAGATCACAGCACTGTACTCTAGCCTGGGCGACAGAGTGAGACTCTGCCTCGACAACAACAACAACAATATTAAAAAAGTAAGTTATATTTGCCACTGTAGTCATTTCTGGAATTAAAACAATAAAATGATATTTCTACTAAAATGTTTTTCTAGCTAGAGGTGACAGGCGTGGCTGTAAGTCCTTGATGGAAAAGCCTGGCTCTGAGCTGCAGTCCTGGCACTCTCCATTGCCCCTGCAGTCCCCCATCCTGTACTCAGCTGTCTTTGTCAGTGCAAGAATAGTGACCACTGCCTCCATGGTGTTGAGAGGCACCATGGTGGCTCACAGTACACCTAAGTACTTGAATGAAGTCTAATTTGCTGGGTTTTAGCTGCTGTGTTATTCCTGGGTCAATCTTGTGAGCAACTAAATATTAATGATTGAGTTTCTTTTCTTTTTTGTTTTTTTGAGACAGAGTTTCACTCTTGTTGCCCAGGCTGGAATGCAATGGCGTGATCTCGACTCATTGCAAATTTCGCCTCCTGGGTTCAAGCGATTCTCTTGCCTCAGCCTCCCAAGTAGCTGGGATTACAGGCATGCACCACCATGCCTGGCTAATTTTTGTGTTTTTAGTAGAGACAGCTAATTTTTCTGTTTTTAGTAGAGATAGGGTTTCACCAAGTTGGTCAGGCTGGTCTCGAACCCCTGACCTCGGGTGACCCACCCACTTCAGCCTCCAAAAGTGCTGGTATTACAGGCATGAGACACCGCACCTGGCCTGATGTGATGGTTGAGTTTCTTATTATATCTACATTTCTGTAGAATTTTAGTGGCTGAAGAAAGTATACTAGTGTTAATTTTTTTTTTCTTGAAAGAAGTAATTTACTCTTCATATAATTACTTGCCAGTCATGGGAAGGAAAAGTCAGGGTTTTTGTCCACAATGATAGAAATTATTGTTACATTACAGGATGATTCTGCGAACTCCTTTAGGGAAAAACACTGGTCACATCACGACTGTTTTACTAGCTGTGAGACCACCATTGTACTGGCTACCATAACATTTCTTGGTTTTCTTTCTAGACCTGAACTAGTTATTTCCTACTCGCCTCCTGGAATGGCTAATAAAATAAACACTAAAGGTAAGAGATTACCTGTACTTCCTATTATATTTCACTGCGTTAAGACATCCTTTCTCAGCATTCCTTAAATCACACAGAATCACTGGCCACTCTCTTTGTGGAACTGGCAGTTAGTTTCTTGGCTTTTTAAGGTGTTTTATTTAATGGACCTCTTTTTCCTTCTTTTTTAAAAAAAAAAAAAAATATTGGAAATGTCACATTTGCAATCCCACTTCATTCATGTTTCCATGGCTTTGTTGAGCCCCCTGTGGAGGATTACACTACAAGTTTAATTCTGCAGGTTCCTTTGAAAAGAGCCAAACTGAATAAATTTTAATACTCTGCTCTTATAAAGCATCTCCTTCTGTATTTTTTCCTACAATATACTAAAGTAATTCTGTGCTTATTTTTCAGCTTTGCAGTCCCCAAAAAGACCATGAAGCCCTGAGAGTAATGGAAAGGTTCCTGAAATTGAGGTCACTGTGGAAGGTAAGGGCCAGTCCTTGGCATGTTTCTGTTGATTCTCCAGTTTAATAGTTATGTCAATTCACTAGCTACATGTGTATACAGATGAAGGTAACCAAATTAGTTTTACGTGTGAACAGCTGCCTGTGATAAAGCTAAATTTCCGAATGTCTTTAATTAATTTAATTTCTGAATGTCTTTAATTAATTAATTAATCAATCAGAGATCTCTCCTCTACACGAGGTGCCATCCTTTCCTGAAGGAGCTCCTTGTAAAGTGCATGAGGTGTTCTTTTTTTTTTTTTTTTTTTTTTTGAGACAGAGTTTCACTCTTGTTGTCCAGGCTGGAGTGCCGTGGCGCTATCTTGGCTCACGGCAACCTCTGCCTCCTGCGTTGAAGTGATTCTTTGGCTTCAGCCTCCCGAGTAGCTGGGATTACAGGTGCCCACCACCACACCCAGGTAATTTTGTATTTTTAGTAGAGACAGGGTTTCTCCATGTTGGTCAGGCTGGTCTCGAACTCCTGACCTCAGGTGATCCATCTGCCTCGGCCTCCCAAAGTGCTGGGATTACAGGCACAAGCCACTGTGCCTGGCCAAGGTGTTCCTTTTGGTAAAAAGTCACACTCCGTGACCACACAGGCCTGAGCCTGAATTTATAAAGATTTGAACAAGGTGAACAATGACACTATGTAGAAGGGAGGTTAATTCCAAGGTGACAGGAACTTTATGAAGTAAATTACACTTAAATTAGGCCTTGCTGGAAGAGAAGAATGTCACCAGGGAGAGACAAAGCTACTCCTGATAGAAGGAATAGCATGAGCAAAAGTGCAGATTAAAAAGTCCAGGTAATGATGACAATCTCATTCTAGGGAGCATATTTTATTCCAACTATATCTGGTTTTAGAGTCAGAAGAAGTCCTGGGACCAGCTGGTTCTAGGGTCACAGTAGTTGTACTCTAAAGCAACTCATCCATACTGTCTTCAATTGATATATTAGTGAGGGAAGCAACTGAAGAAGTAATGACCCCAAAGCTTCACCAGGATAGTGAGATGAGAGGCCACCACAAAGACCAAGACGTTCAGAAGGAAAGGCAGGACAGTGAGAAGACAAGCTGTCCTGAAGCCAAGTAACACATGCTTAGGTTGAGAGGTGGAGGAGAAGGTGTTTTATAGCATGGTGACACATTCTGCAAAAGCACTGAGAGCTGCACAAGACAGTGGTGTGAGCCTCCGCAAGGAGAGAGTGCCAGGTCAGCGAGCCCTGGGGGAATACAGTCTCCTTTAAAATATTCTGGACAGAGGAGAGCAGCTAGCAAAGTGAGTCTGATTTCTACTCTTTGTTTCACCTCCTAACTCTAGTATAAAGTGACATTGTATATGCTGGTGCTCTGATCTCGGTCTGTGGATATTAGATATTAAGATTGGGGAGAAAATAAAACAGCCAGTTAAAGTGCACCATTTTTACAGGCACTGTCAGTAGCATATAAGAAATAGCATGTTTCTCAAAAGTAAATTGGTTCATAGTAGTCAGTTGGCACATTCAGCGTGTACTTCTATGAGATTTTTTTGGTATCTTTAAACTCTTCATTCATTAATCCTGTTAACTCAAAGCTTATTTAATAACATAAGCTCTTGGTTATGAACTAGATGTTAGGAACAATAGAGAAATGTAGAGCTAATGTCATGAGTTAAAAGGATTGGGGCTGTAGGAATAATGTTACCAGGAATAACTTGAGGAATGTTTGCTACTGTAGCTAGCTGTGATTTTCCAAATAGGGAGGTGCCTGTTTTTCTCACATAAAAGTAATTGTGCAGGTAGGCTGAAGCTGACATTGGTTCAGTTGCTCAAACATGGTTAAGACTGGCTTCCCTGTGCTTCTCTTCACTCTCCTTTCTGGTGCACGATGACCAAGAGAGCTCCTGTCATCATATCTCCATCCATCATGTCTCCATCCAATTATAAGTAAAGAAAATGCAGCATGAGCCCTGCCTGCACCCATGGTCAGGAAAAGCAAGAGGCTTTTTTTGAATCCTAGCAGAATTTTGCATAAGCCTCTTGGTTTTAAAAAAGATGAATTTTAAAATAATAAAATAAAGCACAAACTCTGAGGCCAAAGTGATAGGATTTAAATCTGTGCTCTGCCACTTAGAAAAATTACTTAAATTCTCTGTTGTTTAGATTGCACACCTGTAAAATGGGAGGAGGAAAATAATATTTGACTCATGATTTTTAAAATTTGAGATGTTATTTCTTTAATAAACAGCTGCTATCATTTCAGAACACTTGCTATTTAGGCAGTTAGGAATTTTGCACTAGAAGGAATGTAAAGAAAGACGGTGGGCATTTGTAATGGATTTAACATTCATCATTTGGCTGCCTGACTGACCCCCAGAGCTGTGATTTTACTCATGAATTTTTCAGAAGTCCCTTAGCTAGCAATGAGTGTAACCAGCCTCCCACTCTCACCATTCAGTGCTCTTTTGTTCTTCTCTGTTTCCCCTCAAACTTGTTTATCCTCACAGAGTGATTAAAACTTGCATTTCTTTTCTTTCCTTTTTAGAGACAGGGTCTTGCTCTGTCACTCAGGCTGTAGTGCAGTGGTGTGATCATGGCTCGCTGTAGCTTCAAACTGGGCTCAAGCAGTACTCCCACCTCAACCTCCCAAGTAGCTGGGACTACAGACGTACACCACCATGCAAAGCTAAATTTTTTATTTTTTGTTGTAGAGATGGGATAGTGCTGTGTTTCTCAGGATGGTCTCAAACTCCTAGCCTCAAGTGATCCTCCTGCCTCAGCCTCCCAAATTGCTGGGATTATAGGCAGGTATGAGCCACCTGTGCCTGGCCCCCATTCCCTTTTTTTAAATAACAACTTTATTGAAATATAGTTCACATACCATAAATTCATTTATCAAAGTATGCAATTCAGTAGTTTTTATAATATTCATGGAGCTGTGCATCTATCATCACAATCCGTTTTAGAAGCTTTCATTACCCTGTAGAGAAATCCACACTTCTTAGCCACTTCTACTCCCCTCATCCCCCTGTGTTCCCATAGGCAACCACTGATCTATTCTCTGTCACTATAGATTTGCCTAATCTGGACCTTTTTTTTCTTCTTTTTTTTGAGACAGAGTCTTGCTCTGTCATCTAGGCTGGAGTGCAATGGTGCAATCTCAGCTCACTGCAGTCTCTGCCTCCTGGGTTCAAGCAATTCTTCTGCCTCAGTCTTCTGAGTAGCTGGGATTATGGGCGCCTGCCACCACACCTGGCTAATTATTGTATTTTTAGTAGAGACAGGGTTTCACCATGTTGGTCAGGCTGGTCTCAAATTCCTGACCTCATGATCTGCCTGCCTCGGCCTCCCAAAGTGGGATTACAGGTGTGAGCCACCGCACCCGGCTTGGACCTTTTATATAAATAGGATTGTGCAATATGTGATTGTTTGTGGCTGGGTTTTTTTTCCCTCTTAGCACAGTGTTTTCAGAGTTCCTTCCTGTCATAGCATGTGTCAGTATTTCGTTCCTTCTATGGCTGAATAATATTCCATGGTAGAGACACACCACATTTTGTTTATTCATCAGTTGATGAACATTTGGGTTGTTTCCATGTATTGGCCACTGTGAATAATGCTGCTATGAATATTCATTTATAAGTTTTTGTGTGGACGTATATTTTTATTTCTCTGGGATATATACCTAGGAGAGAAATTGTTGCATTCTATGATACTGTACATTTAGCATTTTGAGAAACTATTTTCCAAAGTGGTTACACCAGTCAGGTGCAGTGACTCACACCTGTAATCCCAGCTACATGAGAGGCTGAGGTGGGAGGATCACTTGAGCCTACAAGTTAAAAGAGACCAGCCTGGGCAAGATAGTGAGATCCTATCTCGATTTTTTAAAAAATCAAATTAAAATGACAAAAAAGAAACACCCAAACAAAGTGGTTAAACCATTTTTTGTTCCCACCTATAATGTATGTGGGTTCCAATTTCTTCAAATTTTCACCAGCATTTCTTTTTTTGAGACAGGATCTCGCTGTGTCACCCAGGCAGGAGTGCAATAGTGTGATCATGGCTCACTCCAGCCTTGAACTCTCAGACACTTGGGATCCTTTTACCTCAGCCTCTTGAGCAGTTGGGACTACAGTCACAAGCCACCACACTCAGCTAATTTTTTTTATTTTTAGTAGAGACAGGGTTTCACTATGTCACTCAGGCTGGATTTCGAACTCCTGGACCCAAGTGATCCACCTGCCTTGGCCTCCCAAACTGCTGGGATTATAGGAGTGAACCACCATGCCTGGTCCTCTATCTCTTTTCTCTCTTCCTTTTTTCCTTGCTAGATTGAAATGTGTCATGTACCAGCTATCCATCCAATGACTGCCCATCAGTTCCAAATTCACCCTTCACTGCCGGCTCTGCAAACATAGACGTGGGTTCCTTATATGCTTCCTCTATCAGCTGGTACATTATTAAATGTTGTCACTACATTGTGCTAGAGGGACTTTGTAAGAGGCTGTTCTTTCTGATTGTAGTGTGTCAATCTCCACAGCCACTGAGCTTGTCCAGCACTGGGCTCCTGCCCTGCACGGTGCTCAGCAGCACCCAGTGACCAGCAGTTTCTCTGAACCTGCATGGGTGGTTTTGTAGTGAGACAACTGTTCATTCATAGCTTAATCTAGCACCATAGAAGGCAGATTTTCAGCAAATTCCAGAGGGCAGATTGCTAGCATGTTCCACCATGTGGTAATGCAGCAATTCTGCCATTGAATTACCCATGACTGTGCCCTCTCCAAGGGTGACTGGATCTCAGCCCTAGTGAAGAGTCCCTTTCTTGGTCACTCCATCTCATCATAGGGACAGTAGGGGCAGTTACTGTTCATTGTATCAGCTGGTCCTATACTTTTTTTTTTTTTTTTTTGAGACAGGGTCTCCCTCTGTTGCCCAGGCTAAAGCACAGTGACGAAATCATAGCTCACTGCAGCCATGACCTCCCTGGCTCAAGCAATACTCCCACCTCAGCCTCCCAAGTAGCTAGGACTACAGGTGTGCACCACCACACCTGGCTATTTTTTTTTTCTTTGGTAGAGACAGGGTCTCACTGTGTTTCCCAGGCTGGTCTCAAACTCCTGGCCTGAAGCAATCCTCCTGCCTTGGCTTTTCATATTACTGGAATTATAAGCATGAGCCACCATGCCTGGCCTCTGATAGTCCTGTGTTCTCTAGAGTTCTTCTTACTTTTTGGTAGCCAATCTCTTATTATGCTGTTGCCCTGTTATAATGAATAATTCTCTGTATTAAATTTTACCACTTTAAACTTTTGAGTGGTTTTTGTCTCCTGATTGGACTCTAATATGCTAAGAAGGGTCCCGGCAGATAGACTCACACAGATGGGATTTGGGCATAGGTTTGGTTATCCAAGGGACCATGCTGAGCTCCTTGCCAATGGGAAATGGGATGCTGGTGATTTCCAGGAAGTGACCTCACAGTTTTCTTGGGGGACTTTACTGGTCCTTCTTCAGGAAACCCTGTCCTTACCCCCATCATCACTCTTTCACTCTCGTCTTTACTCATCTTTAGCCTCAGCCGAGATGTCTCACCCCACTCTCTCTGATGCAACAAGAAGCCCCTGGGGAACGTTTCAGTCCCACTCTGTACTTCTGTCACATGCTCATCACAGTCTGGTAAGTGCTGGCATACGATTCCTAGATTAGTACATTTTGCATTGCTATAAGGAAACACCTGAGGCTGGGTACTTTATAAAGAAAAACAGTTTATTTGGCTCACAGTTCTGCAGACTATACAAGTAGCATGGTGCCAGGCTGGGCACAGTGGCCCACACCTGTAATCCCAGCACTTTGGGACGCTGAGGCAGGAGGATTGCTTGAGCCCCGAAGTTTGAAACCAGCCTGGGAAACATGGTGAGACATTGTCTCTACTAAAAAAAAAAAAAAAATCAGCCAGGCATGATGGTGCACTGATGCATGCCTAATGCATGCCTATGGTCCCAGCTACTTGGGAGGCTAAGGTAAAAAGATCTCTTTAGCCCAGGAGGTCAGGGTTGCAGTGAGCCATAATTACACCACTGCTCTCTAACCTGAGTGTCAGAGTGAGACCCTGTCTCAGAAAAAAAAAAGCATAGTGCCAGCATCTGCTGGTGAGGACCTCAGGAGGTTTCCACTCATGGTAGAAGGAGAAGGAGGAGCCGGCACGTCACTTGGTGAGAAGACGGAGCAAGGGAGAGGGGAGGAGGTGCCAGGCTCTTTAAACAGTTAGCTCTCACATGAACTAGTAGAGAGAGAACTCACTTATTACCATGGGGAGGGCACTAAGCCATTCATGAGGGATCTGCCCCCATGACCCACACACCTCTCACCAGGCACCATCTCCAACATTAGGGATTTAATTTCAATATGAGAATTGGAGGAGACAAACATTGAAACTATATCAATTTCCTGCTACCCTATAAGCTCTGTGAGGGCAGAAACTCTTACACCTTGTTCACTGCTGTTTCCTGGGCACCTATTATAGTGCCTGGTATGTAGTAGGTGCTCAAGAAATATTTGTTAGAGCCTGATGTGTTGGCTCAAGCCTGTAATTCCAGCACTTTGGGAGGAGGGGGCCAGGGGATTGCTTGTGCCCAGAAGTTGAAGACCAACCTGGGCAACATAGTGAGAACCTGTCCCTAGAAAAAATAATAAACTGGTTGGGTGCAGTGGCTCGTGCCTGTGATCCCAGCAGTTTGGGAGGCCGATGTGGGTGGATCACCTGAGGTCAGGTGCTCAAGACCGGCCTGGCCAACATGGTGAAACCCCATCTCTACTAAAAATACAAAAATTAGCCAGGAATGGTGGCATACACCTGTAATCCTAGCTACCTGGGAGGCTAAGGCAGGAGAATTGCTTGAACCTGGGAGTTGGAGGTTGCAGTAAGCCGAGATCGCCCCACTGCACTCCAGCCTGGGTGACAGGGTGAGACTTCATCTCAACAACAAAAAAAAAAAAAGAAAGAAAAAGGAAAAATAATATACTTAACCAGTTGTGGTGGTACATGCCTGTAATCCCAACTACTTGGGAGGCTGAGGTGGGAGGATCACTTGATCCCAGAAGATGGAAGCTGCAGTGAGCCATAATCACCCCACTATACTTCAGCCTGTGTGACAGAGGGGGACTCTGTCTCAAAAAAAGTAAAAAAAAAAAAAAAAAAAAATTTGTTGGGGAAAAAAAAAGTGAACAAGAAAAGGTGTCAGGAGAGTACTGTGAATGTGGGTCATGTCAGTAGAGTGTAGGGACTTGGGCAGGAGCAGCTGGACCCCAAGAGTAGATTGGTGGAGACCAGGTCATTCATCCTAAGCAGTTTGCCTTGTAGCATGTAGATGAAATATCCCACGTTGGCTGCTGGTGACTGAACTGGGCTTCCTGTTTCTGTGTTTGGTTTGACCATCACAGTGTTGAAGAACTGTTGAAGTGAATACCTTGCAGTTTGCTACGGTTTCCCCCCTTCTCCCACATTACTCCAGCCTCCTTCCCTCACGTAGGTTGCCTGACCCGCTGATACCTGTGTTTGCTATCCCTGCAGATGGGTGGGTAGGAGGCAATTTAAGGAGGAAGATTTAATATGTGAGTTATAGAAAGATAAATAGACTGGGCACAGTGGCTAAAGCCTATAATCCCAGCACTTTGGGAGGCCAAGGCGGGAGGATTAGTTTGACCCAGGAGTTCAAGACCAGCCTGGGCCACATAGTGAGAACACCCTCTCTACAAAAAATGAAAAAAATTAGCCAGGCATGGTGGCATGCACCTACAATCCCAGCTACTTAGGAGGCTGAAGTGAGAGGATAGCTTGAGTCCAGGAATTGAAAGCCTCAGTGAGCCATGACCTTGCCACTATACTGCAGCCTGGGTGATAGAGTGAGAGACCCTATCTCAGAAAAAAAAAAAGCAAGAGAGAGATAAATAGATCCAGCATTGGTGGGAGTGTGCTTTTGAGTGCTCTTTAGGAGAAAATTTTATTTTAACATTTTTTTCTTCTTTAAATTTTTTATATTCTCTTTTCTTTTTTTTTTTTTTTTTTTTTTTTGAGATGGAGTTTTGCTCTGTCACCCAGGCTGGAGTACAATGGCACAGTCTCAGCTCACTGCAACCTCCACCTCCTGGGTTCAAGCAATTCTCCTGCCTCAGCCTCCTGAGTAGCTGGGACTACAGGCCCGTGCCACCATACCCAGCTAATGTTTGTGTTTTTAGTAGAGACGGGTTTCTCCATGTTGGCCAGGCTGGTCTTGAACTCCTTACCTCGTTATCCATCTGCCTCGGCCCCCCAAAGTGCTGGGATTAGAGGCGTGAGCCACTGTGCCTGGCCAAATTTTTTATATTCTAGCAAACCATTTCTTCAACAAGGAGAAATTAATTTCATCCAAAGAGCCCTAGGAGCAGGGCAGACTCAGAAAATCAGAGGCACTGTACTCAGTTTGAGCAGCTTATATCTTTGGACCGCTAAGTTGGCCAGCATCAGTCTGGGTCCATTCTCTTCTCTTTAATTTCTCAAACACAAAGTGCTCTGCTGGAGTCTGAAGTCAGATATGTAGTAGATCAGCAGTGACTCGGCAGCCTGCTATGTTTTGAGGCCTTACGCTAGGAAATGTGCGGGATACAAAATGTAAGGGAAGGCTGGAATAGAGCATCTCCTGGGGAAACAAGAGCCAGAGATATGGTGTTGCCCCATGGAGACAGCCAGCTGGTGTTTGGCAGTGCTTTGTGGAAAGGCCGTACTTTGGTAAGGTCTCTCCAATCTGGAATGTGGCCTACAATATTATAGGCCCCCAAACTCCAGTTTTGTTTTTTGTTTTTTTTTTTTAAGACAGAGTCTCAGCTCTGTCACCTATGCTGGAGTGCAGTGGTGCGATCTCGGCTCACTGCAACCTCCACCTCCCGGGTTCAACTGATTTTCCTGCCTCAGCCTCCTGAGTAGCTGGGATTGCACACATCCACCACCACACCCAGCTAATTTTTGTATTTTTAGTAGAGATGGGGTTTCACCATGTTGGCCAGGCTGGTCTCGATCTCCTGACCTCAGATGGTCCACCGCCTGGGCCTTCCAAAGTGCTGGGATTACAGGTGTGAGCCACTGCGCCTGGCCAAACTCCAGTTTTTCATGTTCCCTGCATAGGTCAGGGTTGTAGGGAGTGATTCATTCTAGCAGAACTCCCTCGATTTTAAGGCAGGTATTCTATTTATTAATTGACAAAGGAGGCATATTTCTCCCCTGGTAATATAAAGATTTAGGTCCTTTTCCCAGTGACTCTGTTTCCACTGTGAGGGTTCTTGGAAAACTAAGCAGAGGATGAGGAAAAGACTGTGAACAAGCTTGCTGGTCCATCCCTGTCCTACAAAAGAGCATACCTCTTCTGTAACCAGAAGACCCTTTTATTTAGTCAAGGCTGGACAGACTGAGATGAGGGGGTGTGTGTGTGTCTGCATGTGTCTGTGTGTGTGTGCGTGTGTGTGTGTGTGTGTGTGTGTGTGTGTGTGTGTGTATGTATGTGTATGTTGAGACAGGGTCTCACTCTGTCACCCAGGCTGGCATGCAGTGGTGAGATCAGAGCTCACTGCAGCTTCCACTTCTGCAGCTTCCACTTTCATCCTCCCACTTCAGCCTGCAGAGTAGCTGGGACTATAGGAATGTGCCACTGCACCCAGCTCATTTTCTAATTTTTTGTAGAGATGAGGTTTCACTGTGTTGCCTAGGCTGGTCTTGAACTCCTGGCCTCATGGGATCCTCCTGCCTTAGTCTCCCAATGGGCTGGGATTATAGGTATGGGCCACCTCAGCTGACCTACGATGATTTTTCAACAATGCGATTCCTCTTTTACAGAGCCACCTAAGCTGAAGATTCCCTTGAGAACAAGGGCTAGCCTGTGATTTCGTGACCTTTCTTCCATTTGTGGTTCTTGCCAAGTGGAATTTAAATGACCTTTTATCAAGATGGATAAACCCAAGTTTCCCAGTGCCAGAATATAGAAAATGGATGGATAAGTAAGTCCCACTCAGCACCCATAGCCCAGACATGGGGACCTCAACACACCTGGGTCCCAGACATCACCTTTCATTGTGAGTAGCTCAGAGATGACATTCTTGGTTGTTAAGTACCCACTGGCAATAGTTTATATAACAGCAAGTGAAGAAATAAATAGTCACCAAAACATTTTCTGTTCCCAATTCCAGCATTAATTGGATTAGATAGTTATCTTATGAAGAATTTTCATATACCACAGTCCTGACCATATGTTCAAGTCAACAGAAAAATTCTATTAAACAGTCAACCTTCTGTCTCACTCTGTTGCCCAGACTGGAGTGCAGTGGTGCAATTATGGCTCACTGCAGGCTCAAGCAATCCTCCTGACTCAGCCTCACAAGTAGCTGGGACTACAGGTGCTTGTCACCACACCTCACTAATTTTCTCATTTTATATATATATATATATCTCAATACCCCAGGACTGACTGGAAAACTTGAGTATGTGTGGATTTTGGTATACATAGAAATGGAGGAGCTGGAACCAATCCCCCCATATACCAAGGGACAAATTGTATCTGTTTTTACAGTTATACTGTAGGATACATTATGTTCCATGACAATGGTAATTTTTAGTGACAATTTTTAATTGAGTGGAATTACCATAAAAATAATAAAAGTAGCAGCTAATATTTACTGAGCTGTTATGAGATCCCTATAAATACCATAGATTTTTAAATTCCCCGTAACTCTTCCTTATTTCACTTAACCACTTTATCTTAAATTACTCATGCTTGCTTCGGTAGCACATATACTAAAGTTGGAACAATAGAGAGATTGGCATGGCCTCTGTGCAAGAATGACATGCAAATTTGTGAAGCATTCCATATTTTTTTAAAAAAGAGAAAAAAAATACCCCAAGATTTTCACTGTGTTTGTGCATATGACCTTTTGTTTAGGTTGAATTATATCCAAAGATGATATTTCCAGAAGTGAGATTACTGTGAGTCACAGGGCATGAGCATTCTTATTATGCTTGATGTAAATTGCCAAGCTTTCAGGCATGGTGGCTGTCGACCTATAATCCCAGCACTTTTGGAGGTTGAGGTGGGAGGACTGCTTGAGGCCAGGAGTTGGAGGAGGCAGTATAGTGAGTCACTGTCTGTATTATTTTTAAAAAATTGCCAAGCTTTACCCTGGAAGGTTTATTTACAATTTAAACATCACTAATAGTAAAAGAAAATGCCCATTTCACTGCACCTTTGCCAGCACAGGGTATTATAATTTAACAAGTTATTTTCTGTTTGATTATTTTTAATAAATAAAAGACCTCATATTACTTTATTTTCATTTGTCACTTTTTTTTTTTGAGACAGAGTCTTGCTCTCTCACCAGGCTGGAGTGCAGTGGCATGACCTTGGCTCACTGCAACCTCCGCCTCCCAGGTTCAAGCAATTCTCCTGCCTCAGCCTCCTGAGTAGCTGGGATTATAGGCACACGCCACCATGCCTGGCTAATTTTTGCATTTTTAGTAGAGACAGGGTTTCACCATGTTCGTCAGGCTGGTCTTGAACTCCTGAACTCATGATCCATCCACCTCGGCCTCCCAAAGTGCTGGGATTACAGGCGTGAGCCACCGTGCCCATCTTATTTGTCACATTTTAACATCTTTTCTTATGTTAGCTTGTTAGCTTTATTTCTTTATTGTCTTTTTTTTTTTGAGACTAAGTCTCGCTCTGTCTTCCAGGCTTGAGTGTAGTGGCACAAGCACAGTCTCAACTTACCACAGTCTTGACCTCCTGGGCTCAGGTGATCCTTCCACCTCAGTAGCTGGGACTGTAGGCACATGCCACCATGCCTGGCAATTTTTTTTTTTTTTTTTTTTTTTTTTAGTACAGATGATGTCTTGCTATGTTTTCCAGGCTGGTCTGGAACTCCTGCCCTCAAGCAATCCTCCCCGACCCCCTCCCAAAGTGCTGGTATTATAAGTGTGAGCCACCATGCCTGGGCTGTCTGTGACTTCTCCATTTATTTATAGAGTTAATGTGTCTTTTACTAATTTGACAATCTATTTATTTAATCTCTTTAAATTATAAAAATAGTAAATATTTTTAAGAAAGAAGTGAAAATTTTCCTTTGCTCTTTAGACCCATGATCTTATCTCAGGAAATAATTGCTATTGAGAAAAAGGGCCATATTTTTCAAGATACAGGCTAATTGGACTTCACTTCACATTTTCATATTTCATGGACATCTATGCCAATACCTATTGATCTTTCTTAATCCTTTTCATGGTTGCATAATATTTTATTATATGGATGTATCACAGTTTACCAGTCAGCCGCTATAGGCATTTAGGCTCCTTCTACTATTTGCTTTGAGCTCTTTATATAATTAAAAATTAACCCCCTCAGCCAGATGTGGCAGCTCACACCTGTAATCCCAGCACTTTGGAAGGCTGAGGTGGGAGAACTGCTTGAGGGTAGGAGATTACCATCAGCCTGGTCAACATAACAACACTTTGTCTCTACTAAAAATTAAAAAAAAAAATGAGCTGGACATTGTGGTGGACACCTGTAGTCCCAGCTCCTACGGAGGCTGAGACTGGAGGATCACTTGAGCCTAGGAGGTTGAGGCTGCAGTAAGCTATGATCATACCACTGCACTCCAGCTTTGGTAACAGAGTAAGACTGTGTTTCTTAAATAAAATAAAAATCAGGTGGGAAGATTTCTTGAGCCCAGGAGGTTGAGGCTGCAGTGAGCTGTGATCGCACTACTGCAGTACAGCCTTGGCAATAGAGCAAGACCCTTTCTCAAAAAATAAAATAAAATAAAAATTACCCTTTATCATATTTCCCAGTGACACCTTCCCTCCTACATTTTTCCTAGAAGCCCTTGAATTTTGTTTGCTTTTCACATACCATTTAAAACTTTTAAGTACTGATGTCTGTCTGTGTCATCCCTCTTTTTTTTTTTCTTTTTTTTTAAAGAATGTCTTTATGTCACTTTCAGCTGAATCTACCATGAAAGACTTCAGAGTCCAGGAAGAGAGACTGACTGGGCAACATCTTATTCAGGTACAAAAAGACTTGAACTATAACACAAAAATGGTCAAATAACAGTACATGCATGAAGTGCAATGGGAAGCTCTTCTGGAGGGTGAGAGAAGCTTCCAGTTAAGATAACATTGAAACCGGGTCCTGAAAGATGAGTAAGAGTTGCATGAGAGTGGGGAGGGAAGGGGGAGGTGGAGGGGTGGGGAATGGGCTGGGATGGGTTGGAGTGAGCTCCCCAGGCAGGGAAACCAGCACTGTAAAGACCTGGACAATGAAAATGGCACATTTTATTCAGGGAATGGTGAATTAAGTGTGGCAGGAATGCATTGGAGAGACAGTAATTTGCTTGTATGGAATTTTGCCCAAGAGACCTCATTACAGTTTCTAATCTGTTGACATTATTATGCATCCCTCTCCTTGTCAAATAGTTTAGAATAGGTATAATGATCACAATAACACCAATCATAGTATTTCATTAGTTCTCACAAAATCACAGATAGGTGCCACAGTTATCTCCATTTTACACACAAAATGGTGAAGACTTGTGGATAATAAGTGATTTGCCCAAGCTCACCTGGATATTAAGACTGAGTCAAATGTTGGGTCTTGTTTGACTTTAATGCTTGCTTTGTTCATGAGCACCATGCATTGCCTCTCCTATGCAGTTAAGCAGGTAGACAGGTGAGAGAAGAACCCATGTTTCTCTCTACTCACACACTTCTGACAAAATGTGAGTGCAGAGTTTCTACACCAATTCTCCAACTCTCTGGATACCAACTGCGTATCCCACAGTTCCATCCTGACACTACCTGGAGTTAGTGCAGACCCTACAGATTAGGGGCTCAGTCCCACGAGACCACCCTCACTTTAGATGCTAGTTGCAAGTCCTAGGTTGTCACCTGTATTTTGACCAACCAGTTAGAAATCAGGGGTTCCCATGATCCTCTTATTGGGTTTAATTATTTGCTAGAACAACTCACAGAACTTAGAAAAACAGGGTTTTTTTCCTTTTTTTTTAAGAGACAGGGTCTCGTTCTGTTGCCCAGGCTGGAGTGCACTGGTGCAATCATAGCTCATTGAAGCCTCAACCTCCAGGGCTCAAGTGATTTTCCTGCTTCAGCCTCTCAAGTAGCTGGAATTACAAGTTTCCCACCACCACATCTGGCTAATTTTTTTAATTTTTTGTATAGATGGGGTCTTGTTACATTGCCCAGTCTGGTCTCAAATTCCTGGGCTCAAGTGATTCCCCCACCTCTGCCTCCAAAAGTGCTGGGATTACAGGCATGAGCCACCACATCTGGCCAGTTTATTTTCTATTACTGGCTCAGTGTAAAGGCTGCATCTCAGGAACAGCCAATGAAAGAGATGTATTGCAGGGTAAGTGGGGAGGGGCACAGAGCTTCCATGCCCTCTGTTGGGCATGCTACCCTCCCAGCACCTCCTTGTGTTCAGCAACACAGAAGCTCTCCAAACCCTGTTGTTTAGGATTTTTATGGAGGCATGATTGATAAAATCATTGGCCATTGGTGGTTAAGTCAATCTCCAGCCCCTTTTGCCTCCTGGAGTTCAGCCAGTAAGGCTGAAAGTTCCAAGCCTCAAAAAATGTGGTTGGGGTTGGGCACGGTGGCTCACGCCTGTAATCCCAACACTTTGGGAGGCCGAGGTGGGCAGATCACCTGATGTCAGGAGTTCAAGACCAGCCTTACCAACATGATGAAACCCCGTCTCTACTAAAAATACAAAAATTAGCTGGTCATGGTGGCACATGCCTGTAATCCCAGCTACTCAGGAGGCTGAGGCAGGAGAATAGCTTGAACCCGGGAGGCGGAGGTTGTGGTGAGCCGAGATTGTCCCATTGCACTCCAGCCTGGGCTGCAAGAGCCAAACTCCATTTAAAAAAAAAAATGTGGTTGGTTTCTCTGGCAACCAGCCCTTCTGAAGCAGTCTAGGAACTTCCAGCCACCCAGGCATCTCAACAGCATCCCACATGCTTTCTTACCATGCTGCAGATCTGAAAGAACTTAGAGGTCCTTGTGTCAGGAACCTGGGACTAAGACCAAATATTAAAACAGAAGGTGCTCCTATTACCTCTATCACTAAGGACTTTATAAGAGCTTTAGAAGCTTTGTGCCAGGAACCAGGGGCAAATACCAAATATGTATTTCTTTTCTTATATTTGAGACAGAGTCTCACTCTCCTACCCCAGCTGGAGTGCAGTGATGTGATCGTAGCTCACTGCAGCCTTGACCTCCTAAGCTAAAGCAATCCTCCCACCTTCACCTCTCCAGTAGCTGGGACTACAGATGTGCATCACCATGCCCAGCTGATTTTAATGTTAATTTTGTAAAGGCAGGGTCTTGCTATGATGCCAAGGCTGATTTTGAACTCTTGGCCTCAAGCATTCCTTCCTCTTTGGCTTCCCAAAATGTTGGGATTATAGATGGGAGCCCCCATGCCCGCCAATCACAAGGATCTTTATAAGAGAAAGGAGGTAGGAGAGTCAGAATTAGAGAAGGAGATGTGGTGATGAAAGAAGAGGTCAGAGAGGAAGATTTGAAGATGCTGCACTTCTGACTTTGAAGATGGAGTCAGGGGCCATCTTCAAGGTGAGTCAAGGAATGGGGGTGGCTTCTAGAAACTGGAAAAGGCAAGGGAGCACATTCTCTCTAGAGCCTCCAAAAGGAATGCAGCCCCTCTGACACCTTGACTTTAGCCTTACTAGACCTAGCTGGGTTTCTGGGCCCCAGAACTGTAAGATGGTAGATTTCTGGTGTTTTAAGCCACTAAATGTAGGGTAGTTTGTTGCAGCAGCAAGGAGAAATGAACATGAAGCCAGGGGCAGTTGCTCACGCCTGTAATCCCAGCACTTTGGGAGGCTGAGGTGGGAAGATTGCTCAAGCCCAGGAGCTTAAGACCAGCCTGGGCAACATAGTGAGACCTCATGTCTACAAAAATTTTAAAGAAAAGGCTAGGCGTGGTGGTTCACACCTGTAATCCCAGCACTTTGGGAGGCCGAGGGGGGTGGATCTTGAGGTCAGGTGTTCAAGACCAGCCTGGCAAAGATGGTGAAACCCCGTCTCTACTAAAAATACAAAAATAAGCCCGGTGAGGTGGTGCGCACCTGTAATCCCAGCTACTTGGGAGGCTGAGGCGGAGAATCACTTGAATCCGGGAGGCAGAGGTTTCAGTGAGCCAAGATCATGCCATTGCACTCCAGCCTAGGTGACAGAGTAAGACTCTGTCTCAAAAAAAAAAAAAAATTAGCTAGGTGTTCTGGCGTGCACCTGTAGTCTCAGCTCCTAGGGAGGCTGAGACAGGAGGATTGTTTAAGCCTAGGGCATTGAGGTTGCTGTGAGCTGTGATTGCACCACTGTACTTCAGCCTGGGCAATAGAGCAAGACCCTGTCTCAAAAAGAAAGAAATGAGCATGCTGGGAATGGGGACAGATGGCAATGTTAGGTAGAGTGGTCAGGGTTGGCCTCATAAGTGAAAATTGAGCAAAAGTTTGAAGCAGGTGATGGAGCTGGCCAAGGTGCTGAGGGAAGAGCACTGTAGGCTGAGTCAACAGGATAAAGGCGTTAGGAGGAAACTCCCTGGTGTGTCTGAGGCTCTGGAAGGAGGCCAGAGGAGCAAAGAGATAGAGGGAGTGAAGCAGGCGAGGAGGCCAGGGAGTTGCTGGGCTGGGATCAGTACAGATCATGTAAGCCCTGGAGGCTATTGCTGGGGCTTTGGCTTTTATTCTGACTGAAATGGGAACTGTGGGTGGGGGTGTTGGGGGTGGGTTCTGAGCAGAGAAGCATCGTGATCTTTCTCCTGATTTAAAAGCACCCCCTGGCTGCTGAGTTGAGAAAGACTGTGGGAAGATTTGGGTAGAAGCAGGGGGGCTGAGATTTGGCAACATCCAGGCGGGAGATGAAGTCAGTCAATAGGATTTCCTGACAGACTGGATGTAAGCTGTGAGAGAAGGCAGGAGTCAAGGTTGAGTTTGGTTCTAATTGAATTATTAAGTAATTTTTGAAAACACTACTGCCTTTCCCAATCCTACCAAGTAAAGGATGCTAGATTAAAGAAATCGCAAGTCAGGCCACACAGGTGCAGTGGCTCACACCTATAGTTGCAACAGTTTGAGAGGCAGAAGATGGGAGTATGTTTTAAGGCCATGAGTTCGACAACAGCCTTGCAACATAGCAAGACCTCCCTCTACAAAAATAAAAGAAAGAAATTTAATAAAATAAAATAAATATGGCCGGGCATGGTGGTGTGTACCTATGGCCCCAGTTACTCAGGAGGCTGAGGTGGGCAGATCTCTTGAGGCTAGGAGTTTGAGACCATCTTGGACAACATAGTAAGACTTCTCTGTCTACAAAAATTAAAAAAAAAAATAGCCTGATATGGTGGTACTTGCCTGTATTCCCAGGTACTGGTACAGCTGAGGCAGGAGGATCTCTTGAGCCCAGCTGGTCAAGGCTGCAGTGAGCTATGATTATACCACTGCACTCCAGCCTGGGTGACAGAGCAGGACCCTGTCTCAAAATACAAATATGAATGAAGTGAAATCTCAAGTCAGACCAGTCCCTTCTAGGCTATGCAGGCCTTGCAACCACATAGCTGCGTGATCAGGATTGTGTGGCTGTGGATGAGGAGACCCCTGCCCAATTGTTGTTGGCTATATAATCAGTTTATTTTTAAATATAGTAATCAGATATATTTCATCATGCTTAATGGTCTCAAATATGTGTGGGTTTTGGAATTCTCCTTAGAACAGGTTGTAACATCTTATTGGCTCTGTCATTCCCTGATTTTTTTTATCTTATCAGTTTTTAATAAGATCAGAATTGGTATTAGACTACCTAATCAGTTTTGATTAAGGAGAAAATGAAATTGTTGTTCGCACTTTATCCAAGATTGGTGTCATATTTGCTAAATCAAATCAATACTTGAACAAATGCAAAATTAGGGCTTCTTTATCATGAAACACTATGTCATTCTTGAAGAAGATGCCTTTTTTTTTATTTTTTAAAGATGGTGTCTTGCTTTTGTCGCCCAGGCTGGTGCAATGGCGTGATTTTGGCTCACTGCAACCTCTGCCTTCTGGGTTCAAGCAATTCTCCTGCCTCAGCCTCCTGAGTAGCTGGGATTACAGGTGCCCGCCACCACACCCATCTAATTTTTGTATTTTTAGTAGAGATAGGGTTTCACCGTGTTGGCCAGGCTGGTCTCAAACTCCTGACCTCAGGTGATCTGCCCACCTCAGCCTCCCAAAGTGCAGGGATTACAGGCATGAGCCACCATGCCCAGCCTCCATTTCTTTTTTGTAGTTTTTAATAAACAGTTGCTATCATTGCAGACTTGCTATTTAGGCACTTAGGAATTTTTCACTAGAAGGCATGTAAAGAAAGACCATCAGCATTTGTAATGAATTTAGCATTCATTCTTTGACTGCATGACTGTCCCCAGAGCTTTAACTTTACTAATGAATGTTTCAGAAGCCACTTAGCTAGCAACTGGGCCTTACCAGCCACTTACTCTCGTTATTCAGTGCTCTTTTATTCTTGTCTATTTCTCCTCAAACTTGGCTACACTCACAAAGTGATAAAAACTTGTATTTTCTTTCCTTTTTAGAGACAGGGTCTTGCTCTGTCACCCAGGCTGCAGTACAGTGACATGATCATGGTTCACTGTAGCCTCAAACTCCTGGGCTTAAGCAATCCTCAGTCTCCCAGGTAGCTGGGACTACGGACGTGTGCCACCATGCCCAGCTAATTTTTTAATTTTTTTATCATAGAGATGGGATCTTGCTAGATTGCTCAGACTAGGCTCAAACTCCTGACCTCAAGTGATCCTCCTGCCTCAGCCTCCCAAAGTGCTGGGATTACAGGCAGGCATGACCACCTGTGCCCAGCCACTTATTATTTTAAATAATAGCTGTATTAAAATATGATTCACATACCCTTCAATTTATTTATTTATTGAAATCTGCAATTCAGTAGGTTTTAGAATATTCACAGAGCTGTGCATCGATCACCACAGTCACTTTTAGAACCTTTCATTACCGTATAGAGAAATCCGCACCTCTTAGCCACTACCTCCTACTCCTCCCTACCTGCCTTGGCCCCCCAGCCTTAGGCAACCATTGATTCATTTTTTATCACTATAGAATTTCCTAATCTGGACAAATAGAATTGTACAATATGTGATCTTTTGTGGCTTTTTTTTCCCTCTTAGCACAATGTTTTCAAAGTTCCTTTATGTCATAGTGTGTATCAGTATTTCATTTCTTGTATGACTGAATAATATTCCATGGTAGAGACACACTGCATTTTGTTCATCTGTTCATCAGTTGGTGGACATTTGGGTTGTTTCCACGTATTGGCTATTATGAACAATGCTGCTATGAAGATTGCTGTACAAGTTTTTGTGCGGACATATATTTCTATTTCTCTGGGATATATGCCTAGGAGTGAAATTGTTGCATTATATGATGACTGTATATTTAGCCTTTTGAGAAACTGCCAGTTTGTCTTCTAAAGTGGCTACACCAGTTGGGTGTGATGGCTCACACCTGTAGTCCCAGCTACTCAGGAGGCTCAGTTGGGAGGATGGCTTGAGCCCACAAGTTCAAGATCAGCCTGGGCAAGATAGCAAGACCCTGTCTTGATTTTTAAAAAATCCAATTAAAATGACAAGAAAAGCGTGGTTACACGATTTTATGTTCCCAACAGTAATGTATGTGGGTTCCAATTCCTCCACATCTTCGCTGACTTTTTTTTTTTTTCTAGACAGGGGCTTGCTCTGTCTCTCAGGCTGCAGCACAGTGACGGCATCACAGTTCACTGCAGCCTTGACCTCCCAGGCACAAGTGATTTTCTCATCTCAGCCTCCTGAGTAGCTGATAATTACAGGTGCATGCCACCATGCCTGGCTAATTTTTATATTTTTTTGTAGTGATGGGGTTTTACCATGTTGCTCAGGCTGGTCTCTTACTCCTGGCCCCAAGTGATCTGCCCACCTCAGCCTCCCAAAGTTCTGGAATTACAGGCTAAGCCACTGTGCCCGGCCTTCACCAACATTTGTTATTATCTGGTTTTTTTTCTTTATATCTTAAAGCAGTATAAGAACAAGTGTCTTCAATTATAGTAAACAAAAAATATAATCCCAGGGCATTGGGAGGGTGGGAGGGTGAGATAGGAAGATCTTTTGATGCCAGGAGTTTTTTTGTTTGTTTGTTTGTTTGTTGTTTGTTTGTTTTGAGACAGAGTCTCACTTTGTCACCCAGGGTGGAATGCATGCAGTGACGTGATCTTGACTCACTGCAACCTCTGCCTCCCAGGTTCAAGCGGTTCTCCTGCCTCAACCTCCCGAGTACCTGGGATTACAGGCTCATGCCACTACTGCCTGGCCAATTTTTGTATTTTTAGCAGAGATGGGGTTTCGCCACATTGGCCAGGCTGGTCTCGAACTCCTGACCTCGGGTGATTTGCCTGCCTTGGCCTCCCAAAGTGCTGGGATTGCAGGCATGAGCCACCACGCCTGGCCTGATGCCAGGAGTTTTAGACCAGCCTGGGCAACCTAGCAAGACCTCGTCTCTACAGAATATTTAAAAATTAGCCAGATGTGGTGGTGGCTGCCTATAGTCTCTCTCTGTATTTTTTTATTTTTTTATTTTTTTTTTACTTTTTGAGACATGGTCTGGCTCTGTCACCCAGGCTGGAGTGCAGTGGTGTGATTATGGCTCACTGCAGCCTGAAACTCCTGGGATCAAGTGATCAACCCTCCCACCTCATTCTACCAAGTAGTGGGGACCACAGGTGCATGCCACCTGGGTCTCGCTATGTTGCCCAGGCTGGTCTTGAGCTCCTGGCCTCAAGTGATCCTCTCACCTTGGCCTCCAAAAGTGCAAGGATTACACATATGAGCCACCATGCCTGGCCCCTACCCTGCCTATTGAGAACCAAAAGAATGATCCAAATTCTCCTTAGCTCAACTCGAGCCATTTCCCTATTGCTTCATCAGCAAGCAGCTGGTTATTGGGCTGTCCAGGCCTCCCAAGCAGCACAGAAATGAGGTGAGGGAGTTTTCCTGCTGCTCCACTCTGTGAGGAGTTGGAGGATGATGTTTACTTGTTTGCAGAGAGAGATGCCTTGTAGGTACCTTAGGATGGAGGGGATCCTGATTCCAATGTCCTTTTTTTCTTTAGAAACAGGACCTTGCTGTGTCACTCAGGATGGAGTTCAGTGGTCCTATCATGGCTCATTGTAGCCTCAAACTCCCAGGCTCAAGCGATCCTCCCACCTCATCCCTCCCAGTAGCTGGGACTATAGGTAAGTGCCATGACACTCGGGGAATTTTGGGTTTGTTTTTTTTTTTGTAGAGATGGGGCCTTGCTATGTTGCCAGGGCTGACCTTGAACTCCTGGACTCAAGGGATTTTCCTGCCTTGGCCTCCCAAAGTATTGGTAATACAGGCATGAGCCATTGTGCCCACTATCTCTGGTTCTTAACCTTCTGCCTCCCTCTTCCACATTTAAAGAACACTTGTAATTACATGGGCTCACCCAGATACTCCAGGATAATCTTGTTTTAAAGTCACCTGATTAGCAACATTAATTCCATCTGCACTCTTAATTCCCCCTTCCTATGTAATTGTGTGGTGTAACATAGGACATGAGCAGTTGGGGGTGGGGGTCATTACCTTGGCCACCACAGTGACTGTTTTGTGCCAGGCACTGAGCTAAGCACTGGTGAATTAAACATGAATAACACATACTCCCTAATCTCCATTCATATATGGGAGGAGCACCTCACCTCCCATGCTCCTGAGAATCTGGGGAGTCAAGGAAGGCTTCCAGGAGGAGATGATGCCAAAGCAGACAAGTGACAGAGGAGCCAAAGCTAGCCAGGAAGAGAGTAGAGATTTAAGGGGAAGCATATTCTAAGCAGAGGGCATCACCCACTTCAGAGGCTCCCAGAGGAGAGAGAGTGGGCATTCAAGGTGCAGATGAGGCTCAGTTGGACTCTACAGCAGGTAAAATGGAGAGGGGCAAGCAGTGAGGCTGCCTTGCAAGGCAGGGTAGAGCAGGGGTTTGGACTTAATACCCAAGGCAAGGAGAAGTGATGTAAATGGGGGAGGAGTAATGTGATGAGATTCATGGATTAGAGACGTGGCCCAGGCTGCTGTGTGGAGAAGGCACCAGGGAAAGCAGATGGCTCAGTGGGTGTGCTGGAGACCTAAAGCAGGGGAAACACTGAGTTTAGGGAGAGGTTTTTTTTTTAAATATAAGAAGTTTGATTAGTTTAAATGATGGTGAAGGAGCTAAAAGGGGGGGATAGGTAATGATACAGGGAAGTGGGAGGAAGAACTGACAAGTGAGGTTCCAGAGAGGGCGGGAGAAGTAGGGGGATCAGCACTTTCTTTTCTTTTCTTTTTCTTTCTAAGACAGGGTCTCACTATCTCCCAGGAGTGCAATGGCATGATCTTGGCTCATTGTAGCCTAGACTTCCCAGGCTCAATGGGTCCTCCCACCCCAGACTCCAAGTAGCTGGAACAACAGGTGTGCACCGCCACCACACCTGGCTAACTTCTTTCTTTTTTTGGTAGACACAGGGTCTCACTATGTTGTACAGGCTGGTCTCCAACTCCAGGCCTTGAGCGATCCTCCTGCCTAGTCTTCCCAAATTGCTGAGATTACAGGCTTGAGCCACCATGCCTGGCCTCTGCTAGTTCTGTATTCTCTCGAGTCGTCTTTACTTTGTGCTGTTTTGTCCCTCATTATGCTGATCCTCTATTAAAATTAATACTTTTTTTTTTTCAGATGGAGTTTCACTCTTGTTGCCCAAGCTGGAGGGCAATGGTGTGATCTCGGCTCACTGCAACCTCCGCCTCTCAGTTTCAAGCGATTCTTCTGCCTCAGCCTCCCAAGTAGCTGAAATCACAGGCATGTGCCACCACGCCCAGCTAATTTTGTATTTTTAATAGAGGCGGTGTTTCTCCATGTTGGTCAAGCTGGTCTCAAACTCCCGACCTCAGGTGATCTGCCTGCTTCAGCCTCCCAAAGTCCTGGGATTACAGGCGTGAGTCACCACGCCCAGCCAAAATTTAATACTTTTTATATTAAAATTACATATATATATTCTTACTTTTATTTTTTGATACTGGCTTTCACTCTGTCACCCAGGCTGGAGTGCAGTGGCACAATCTCTGCTCACTTCAACCTTCACTTACCAGGCTCAAGCAATTCTGCCTCAGACTCCCGAGTAGCTGGGATTACAGGTATGTACCACCACACCCGGCTAATTTTTGTGTTTTTTGTAGAGATGGGGTTTCACCCTAATTCCCAGGCTGGTCTCAAACTCCTGAGCTCAAAGCGATCCACCCGCCTTGGCCTCCCAAAGTGCTAGAATTACAGGTTTGAGCCACCTTGCCCATTCTAGTTTAAACTTTTGAATGGTTTATATCTCCTGATTGGACTCCTACAAATACAGAATTGATGCTAGGAAGGGTACCAGGAGATAGACCCACACAGATGGGATTTGGGCACAGGTTTGGTTATCCAAGGAGCAGAGCTGAGCTCCTTGCCAATGGGACACGGGATGCTGGTGATTTCCAGGAACTGACCTCACAATGACTCAAGCTACCACTTATTGTTGATTGTGATGAAATGCTAGCTGAAGCATATGCCCTGCAAGCTTAGGGGTGCTACACTTGACCACGGCGGCAGTAAAGATGACTCTGAAGAATGGCATGGGATGGATCCTTTTGAATGCACTCAAGCAGGGGTCTCCAACCACAGGTCCATAGAGCCGGAGGTGAGCAGCGGGCGAGTGAGGGGAAACTTCATCTATATTTATAGCCCCTCCCATCGCTCCCATGACCACCTGAGCGCCATGTCCTGTCAGATCAGCAGCAGCATTAGATTCTCATAGGAGCACGAACCCTGTTGTGAACTGTGCATGTGAGGGATCTAGGTTGCACGCTCCTTGTGAGAATCTAATGGCTGATGATCTGTCACTGTCTCCCGTCACCCCAGTTGAACAGTCTTGATGCAGGAAAACAAGCTCAGAGATCCCACTGATTCTACATTATAGTGAGTTGTATAATTATTTCATTATATATTACAATGTAATAATAATAGAAATAAAGTGCACAATATATGTAATGCACTTGAATCATCCCAAAATCATTTCCTTCACCCCGAGTCTGTGGAAAAATTGTCTTCCACAAATTCACTCTGTTTTTTTGGTAGAGACAGGGTCTTAATATGTTGCCCAGGCTGATCTCAAACTGCTTGCCTCAAGTAATATATCCCTCTCAGCCTCCCAAAGTGCTGAGATTGTAGGCATAAGCCACTATGCTCAACCAAGACTGAGTTTCTTAAACCAAATAAAGATTAAGTGAGATTACCTGAGCCCAGGTGGTTGAGGCTGCAGTGAGCCCTGATTACACCACTGCTCTCCAGCCTAGGTAACAGAATGAGACTCTGTCTCAAAAAATAAAATAAAATAAAGTACGATAACATATAAATTAACCCTTTATAACATTCCCAGTAACTTTTCCTCCTAAGTGTTCCCCACAAGCCTTTGAATTTTGTTAAATTTTCACATACCATTTAAACCGTTTAAGAACTTATGTCTGTCTGTGTCATCCCTCTTTTTCAAAAGAATGTCTTTTTGTCACTTCCAGCTGAATCTACCATGAAAGACTTCAGAATCCAGGAAGAGAGACTGACTGGGCAACATCTTATTCAGGTACAAAAAGACTTGGACTATAACTCAAAAATGATCAAATAATAGTGCATGCCTCAAGTGCAATGGGAAGCTCTTCTGAAGGGTGAGAGAAGCTTCCAGTTAAGGTAACACTGAAGCTGGGTCCTGAAAGATGAGGAAGAGTTGTATGAGAGTGGGGAGGGAAGGGGGAGGTGGAGGGATGGGGAATGGGCTGGGATGGGATGGAGTGAGCTGCCCAGGCAGGTAAACCAGCACTGTAAAGACCTGGACAATGAAGATGGCACATTTTATTCAGGGAATGGTGAATTAAGTGTGGCAGGAATGCTTTGGAGAGACAGTAATTTGCTTGTATGGAATTTTGCCCAAGAGACCTCATTACAGTTTCTAATCTGTTAATGTTATCATGCATCCCTGTCCTGGTCAAATAGTTTAGAATAGGTATAATGATCACAATAACACCAATCATAGTATTTCATTAGTTCTCACAAAATCACAGGTAGGTGCCACAGTTATCCCCATTTTGTGAATGAAGTGATGAAGACTTAGGAATAATGAGTGATTTGCCCAAGCTCACCTGGATATTAAGACTGAGTCAAATGTCGGGTCTGGTCTGACTTTAATGTTTGCTTTGTTCATGAGCACCACGTATTGCCTCTCCTATGCAGTGAAGCAGGTAGACAGGTGAAAGAAAAGCCCATGTTAGTCTCTACTCACACACTTCTGACTGAATGTGTGTGTGGAGTTTCTACACCAAGTTCTCCAATGCTCTGGATATTAACTGGGTATCCCACAATTTTATTCTGACACTACCTGGAGTTGACACAGACCCCACAGGTTAGGGTCTCAGTACCACGAGACCACCCTCATTTCAGATGCCAATGCAAGTCCTAGGTTGTTACCTGTACTTTTGACCAACCTGTTACAAATCGGGGTTCCCATGACCCTCTTCTTGGGTTTAATAATTTGCTAGAACAGTTTACAGAACTCAAAAAAACAGTTTATTTTATTTTTTTCTTAGAGACAGGGTCTCATTTTGTTGTCCAGGCTGGTGTGCAGTGGTGCAGTCATAGCTCACTGCAGCCTGGACTGCCTGGGTTCAAGTGGTCCTCCCACCTCAGCCTCCCTAGTAGCTGAGACTACACACCTGCACCACTACATCTGGCTAATTTCTTTTATTTTTTGTAGAGATGGGGTCTTGTTGTGTTGCCCAGTCTGGCCACAAATTCCTGGGCTCAAGCGATCCTCCCACCTCAGCCTCTTAAAGTGCTGGGATTACAGATGTGAGCCACCACATCTGGCCAGTTCATTTCCTATTACAGGTTCATTGTAAAGGATACATCTCAGAAACAGCCAATGAAAGAGATGTACATGCTGGATGTTGTGACTCACGCCTGTAATCCCAGCACTTTGGGAGGCTGAGGTGGGAGGATTGCTTAAATTCAGGAGTTTGAGACCAGCCTGGGCAACATGGTGAAAACCTGTCTCTACAAAAAAAAAAAAAAAGCCGGGTGTGGTGTTGTGTACCTATAGTTCTAGCTACTAGGGAAGCTGAGGTGAGAGGATGCCTTGAGCTGGGGACTGGGGAGGCTTAGGTTGTAGTAAGCTGAGATTGTGCCACTGTACTCTAGCCTGGACAAAAGAGCCAGACCCTGTCTCAAAAAAAAGAAAAGAAAGATGCCCAGGGCAGGGTAACTTTGGGAGCACAGAGCTCCCATGCCCTCTGTTGAACATGCTACCCTCCCAGAATCTCCTGCGTTCAACAACCCCAGAAGCTCTGCAAACCCTGTTGTTCAGGGTGTTTATGGAGGCTTTATCATGCAAGCACGATTGATAAAATCTTTGGCAGTTGGTGATTAAGTCAATCTCCAGCCCCTCTTCCTCCTGGAGTTCAGTGCATGAGGCTGAAAGTTCCAAGCCTCTAATCATGTGGTTGCTTTTTCCGGCAATCAGTCCTCCTCCTGAAAAAATCTAGGAGCTTGCAGTCACCCAGTCATCTCAACAACATCACCAAATGCATTCTTGTCATGCTGGAGATCCCAAAGTTCTTAAAGGCTCTTGTGTCAGAAACCTGGGACCAAGACCAAATATTAAAACAAAAGATGCTCCTATCACCTCTAACACTGAGGTCTTTATAAGGGCTTTAGAAGCCCTCTACCAGGAACCAGGGACAGAGACCAGATATATATTTCTTTTGTTTTCTTTTTTTGAGGCGGAATCTCCCTGTGTCATCCAGGCTGGAGTGCAGCGATGTGATCATAGCTCACTATAGCTTTGACCTCCTGAGCTCAAGCAATCCTCCTACCTCAGCCTCCCAAGTAGCTGGGACTACACGTGCATGTCACCCATGCCCAGCTCATCTTTGTAGAGATGAAATTTAGTTATGTCGCCCAGGCTGATCTCAAACTCCTGGGCTAAAGTGATCGTCTTACCTCAGCCTCTCAAGTAGCTGGGACTACAGGCACACACCACATCCAGCTCACATTTATTTTCATTTTTTTCTAGAGGTGGGGTCTCTCTATGTTGTTCAGGCTAGTTTCAAACTTTGGGTCTCAGATGTTCCTTCTGCCTTGGTCTCCCAAATTGTTGCGATTATGTGTGGCAGCCACCATGCCCAGCAATCACAAGAGTCTTTATAAAAGAAAGAGGGTAGGAGAGTCAGAATTGGAGCAGGAGATGTGGTGATGGAAGCAGAGGTCAGAGAGGGAGATTTGAAGATGCTTCACTTCTGGCTTTGAAGATGGAGTCAGGGGCCATGATCCAAGGAATGGGGGTGGCTTCTAGAAGCTGGAAAAGCCAAGGAAACACTTTAGAGCCTTCAAAAGGAATGCAGCCCTGCTGACACCTTGACTTTAGCCTTAATAAATCTAGTTTGGGCTTCTGGCCCCCAGAACTGTAAGATGGTAGATTTGTAGTGTTTTAAGCCACTAAATTTAGGAAATTGCAAACTATGTTGCAGCAGCAAGAAGAAAGGAACATGAAGCCAGGCATGGTGGCTTATGCCAGCAATCCGTAGGAATTTTAGGCAGGAGGATCACTTGAGGCCAGGAATTCAAGACCAGCCTATGCAACACAGTGAGACCTTGTGTCTACTAAAAAAAAAAAAAAAAAAAAAATTGGCCAGGCGCGGTGGCTTATGCCTGTAATCCCAGCACTTTGGAAGGCCGAGGTGGGTGGATCACCTGAGGTCAGGCGTTCAAGACCAGCCTGGCCAACATTGCAAAACCCCATTTCTACTAAAAATACAAAAACTAGCCGGGCATGGTGGCACATGCCTGTGATCCCAGCTACTTGGGAGGTTGAGGCAGGAGAATTACTTGAATCTTGGAGGTAGAAGTTGCAGTGAGCCAGGATCACACTATTGCACTTCAGCCTGGGCAAGAAGAGTGCAACTCCATCTCAAAATAAAATAAAATAAAATACTAAAAAAATTAGCCAGGCATGATGGTATGCACCTGTAGTCCCTGCTACTAGGGAGGCTGAGGTGGGAGGATCGCTTGAGCCTGGGAATTTGAGGTTGCAGTGAGCTGTGATTGTGCCACTGCACTCCAACCTTGGTAACAAGAGTGAGATCTTGTCAAAAAAATGAAGGGAGGTGGGGGGAGGGAGGGAGGACAGGGGAGGGGAGGGGAGGGAAGAAAAGAAAGAAGGAGGGAAGAAATTAGCATGGTGGGCATGGGGACAGATGGCAATGTTAAATAGTATGATCAGGAGTGGCCTCCTAAGTGAAAATTAAGCCAAGACTTGAAGGAGGGCAAGGAGCTGGCCAAGGTGCTGAGGGAAGAGGATTGTGGGCAGAAACAACTGAATAAACTGTCTGAGGTGTGTCTGAGGCTCTGGAAGGAGGCCAGTGGAGCAGAAGGAAAGAGGGAGAGAATTAGGGCAGGAGGCCAGGGAGTTGCTGGGCAGGGATCAGTACAGACTGTGTAAGCCCTGGGAGGTTATTGCTGGGCCAGATAGGAAATTGAAGAGGGTTCTGAGCAGAGAGGCGACATGATCTGTCTGCCGATTTAAAAGCATTCTCTGGCTGCTGAGTTGAGAAAGACTGTGGGAAGATTTGGGTAGAAGCATGGGGGCCAAGCTGTGGCAACATCCAGGCGGAAGATGATAGTAGTCTTGACCAGGGTCATGGTGGTGTTGAGAGATGGTCAGAGGAGAGAAGTAGGAGAGGAGGCCAGGGAGTCGGTGGGTGGGGATCTTCAGTATGTGTTGAAGACAGTCAACAGGATTTCCTGACAGACTGGATGTGGGGTGTAAGAGAAGGCAGGGGTCAAGGTTGAGTTAGATTCTTACTGAATTATGAAGTAATTTTAAAAACGACTACTGCCTTTCTCAATCCTGTCAAGTATGGGATGCTAGATTAAAGAAATCTCTTCAGGCTCAGTACAGTGGCTCATGCCTGTAGTCCCAGCTGTTTGGAAAGCAGAAATGGGAGTATCTTTTAAGGACAGGAATTCAAGACCAGCCTGGGCAACATAGCAAGACCTCCTCTCTACAAAAATATTTTTCTTTTTTTTTCTTTTTGAGATGGAGTTTTGCTCTTGTTGCCCAGGCGGGAGTGCAATGGCTCAATCTCGGCTCACCGCAACCTCCACCTCCTGGGTTCAAGCGATTCTCCTGGGTTCAAGTGATTCTCCTGCCACCTCAGCCTTCCTGAGTAGCTGGGATTACGGGCATGCACCACCACGCCTGGCTAATTTGGTATTTTTAGTAGAGACGGGGTTTCTCCATGTTGGTCAGGCTGGTCTCGAATTCCCAACCTCAGGTGATCTGCCCACCTCGGCCTCCCAAAGTGCTGGGATTACAGGCATGAGCCACCACACCCGGCCAAAAATATTTTTCAATATTTAATAAAATAAAATAAATGTAGCTACGCATGGTGATATGTACTTGTAGTCACAGCTACTCAGGAGGCTGAGGTGGGCAGATCTCTTGAGGTGTCAGGAGTTTGAGGCCAGCTTGGGCAACGTAGCAAGACCCCTCACTCTACAAAAAATTTAAAAAATAGCCAGGTATGGTGGCACTCAACGCTAGTACCAGCTACTGGGGAGCTGAGGCAGGAAAATGGCTTGAGCCCAGGAGGTCGACCCTGCAGTGAGCTACAAGTGCATAGCCACATTCCAATCTGGGTGACAGAGCAGGACCTGTCTCACAACACAAATAGAAATACAAATAAAATAATAAAATCTCAAGTCAGAGACTTTTGTCTCTGCAGCCCTTGCAACCCCAGAGCCGTGCAGTGGGGTTTGTGTCACTGGGAATGAGGAGACCCTTGCCCAGTGTTGTTGCCTGACTAATCAGTGTTTTAAAAAATATATTAATCAGGGTGGGCACAGTGGCTCATGCCTGTAATCCCGGCACTTTGGGAGAGCCAGGCGGGTGGATCACCTGAGGTCAGGAGTTCAAGACTAGCCTGGCCAACATGGCAAAACTCTGTCTCTACTAAAAAAATACAAAAATTAGCCAGGCATGGTGGCAGGCGTCTGTAATCCCAGCTACTCGGGAAGCTGAAGCAGGAGAATCACTTGAACCTGGGGGGCAGAGGTTATGGTGAGCCGCGATCACGCCACTTCACTCCAGCCTGGATGAAAGAACGAGACTCCGTCTCAAAAAAAAAAAGTATTATATCAACATGTAATTGTTTTATTATTAATATTTAATGAATAATAAAATTTTTTTTTTTCAAGACAGAGTCTCACTCTGTCACCAGGCTGGTATGCAGTGGTGCGATCTCAGCTCACTGCAACCTCCGCCTCCTGGGTTGAAACGATTCTCCTGCCTCAGCCTCCCGAGTAGCTGGATTACAGGCGTGTGCCACCACGCCCACCTAATATTTGTATTTTTAATAGAGGCGGGGTTTCACCATGTTGGCCAGGATGGTCTTGATCTCTTGACCTTGTGACCCGCCCACCTCGGCCTCCCAAAGTGCTAGGATTACAGGCATGAGCCACTGCGCCTGGCCAAATATTTTAAAAATTTTGTCTTGTATTACTTATATCAACATGTAATAGTTTTATTATTATGTAATGAATATTTTTAAAATTTTGTCTTATTTTCTAATTTTAATATAATTATTTATATAAAGAAAAAGTCTTAGAGATCTTCAATAAAGTTAAAAAATGTAAAGGGATGCTAGACCCCGAAAGATTGAGAACTTCTAGTTTAGAAATATTCAGAATAAGCCACATACAACTTGCACTTGGTCTATTTTCTTTCTTTCTTTTTTGTTTTAGTAGATGGGATCTCACCCTGTCACCCAGGCTGGAGTACAGTGGTGCAATCACAGCTCACTGCAGCCTTGAACTCCTGGGCTAAGGATCCTCCTGCCTCAGCTTCCTGAGTAGCTGGGACCGTAGGTATACATGATGACATCTGGCTAATTTTTAAATTATTTTGTAGACATGGGGTCTCACTTTGTTGGCCAGGCTGGTGTCAAACTCCTGGCCTCAAGTGACCCTTCTACCCCTGCCTTCCATCCTAGAGGTATGAGCCACCACAAGGAGCACTTGTTCAATTTTCTAAAAAAATAAAAAAATTCTAAAGTAAGGCTATGAGATGATGGCAGGAAGATAAAAGTAGAAAAACAGAAGAATAAGTTCAAATGACTTATTCACACATATTCTTTTGATAGCAATAATAACTTAGTAGATAGATTTCTTTCAAACAGAAAGCAAATAAACAATGTACAGGAACTTCAACACACACTATACAATATTTCCACGTTGCTGACATCAGTTGTGTAAATTCTTCGTGGTTTACTTGACTGTCGCTATCGGTAGTTGGCTTCTCTGATCATTTTTATCAACTTCCTCATCTGTTAACTTCTCTCCAAGGTATGTCATATCATGACATACTGCTGCTGCACGAACATGGCCAGTGTCATTTTATTAAACTCGTAGAATGCTTCACTAATTTCTTTTTTTACCCTCTGTCTCTGTGTTTTGCATTTTTCTTACCTTTATTGTCAGAAACTCCAGAAAGTCAATCATACTAATTCATCACCATTTGCTTCATTAATTTATACTTTGCTTATATGGAATTTTGCCCAACAGACCTCACTACAATTTCTAACCCATTTTTTGTTTTTTTGTTTTGTTTTTTTCTGACACAGGGTCTTGCTCTGTTGTCCAGGCTGGAGTGTAGTGGTGCCATCACAGCTGACTGCAGCCTCAACCTCCCAGGTTCAAGTGATCCTCCCACCTCAGCCTCCTAAGTGGCTGAGACTATAGGTGCTTGGTACTGTGCCCAACTAATATTTGGACTTTTCCTATATGTGGGTTCCAGAGGGCTGACTGTGAAATGTGAGTATGCATGGATTTTGGTATATGCAGAGATGGGGGGCTGGAACTAATCCTCTCTGTATACCGAGGGATGACTGTATATGTTTTTACAATTATGCTGTATGACACATATTGTTCCATAGCCTTGAAAATGATAATTTTTAATGAAAATTATTTTTAATTGAGAGGAATAATAATAAAAGTAGCAGCTGGCCAGGTGTGGTGGCTCACACCAGTAATCACAACACTTTCGGAGGCTGAGGTAGGAGGATGGCTTGAGGCCAAGAGTTTGAGACAGGCCTCGGAAACCAAAGGAGACACCATCCCTACAGAAAAGTACATGAATTATCCTAGTGTGGTGACATGTTCCTGTAGTCCCAGCTACTTGGGAGGCTGCTGTGGGAAGATCACTTGAGTCCAAGGAGGTTGAGACTGCAGTGAGTCGTGATCAGGCCTCTGCACTCCAGCCTGGGTGACAGAGTGAGACCCTGTCTCAAAGCAACAAAAAAGTAGCAGCTAACATTAACTGACCTTTTACCAGGTGCCTATAAATACCATAGTATAATTTCTTATAACTGTTTCTTACTTAACTTAACCACTCTGTTTTCAATTACTCCCAGAATTTCACTGTGTTTATGCAGATGACCTTTTGTTTAGATTGAATTGTCTCCCCAAGGTATTTCCAGAAGTAAGATTACTGTGAGTCATGGTGAATGGGCATTCTCATTGCCCTTGATGTACATTGACAAGGTTTTGGGTGCCTCCTGGCTATAATCCCAGCCCTTTGGAGGCTAAGACAGGAGGATTGCTTGAGGCCAAGAGTTGGAGGAGGCAGTAAGGTGAGACCCTGTCTCTATTATTTTAAAAAATTGCCAACCTTTACCTTGGAAGACTATGTACAATTTAAACACCCCTCCTAGTATAAGAAAGTGTCCATTTCACTGCACCTTTGCCTGCACAGGGTATTATAATTTAATAAGTTATTTTTTGTTTGATTATTTTAAATAGATAAAATACCGCATATTACTTGGTCACATTTCAGCATCTTCCCTTAGCTTATTAGCTCTATTTCTTTTCTGTCTGTAAATGGTTGTTGTTGTTGTCGTTTTGTTGTTTTGTTTGAGACGGGGTCTTGCTGTGTCACCCAGGCTTGACTGTAGTGGCATAATCATGACTCACTGTAGCCTTGACCTCCCAGGCTCAAACTATTCTCTTACTTCAGCTTCCTGAGTAGCTGGGACTACAAGTGTGCACCACCACTCCCAGCTAATTTTTTTCTTTTTTTGGATAGAGACAGGGTCTCACTGTGTTGTCCAGGCCAATCTCTAGCTCCCGGCCTCAATCAGTCCTCCTGTGTTGGCTTCTTAAATTGCTGGAATTTCAGGCATGAGCCACCATGCCTGGCCTGGGCTAGTCCTATATTCTCTGGAGTTCTCTTTACTTTGTGCTAGCCAGTCTCTCATTATGCTGTTCCCCTGTTACAATGAATAATTCTCTGTATTAAATTTACCACTTTAAACTTTTGAGTGGTTTATGTCTCCTGGTTGGACTCTAATATGCTAAGAAGGGTCCCTGGAGATAGACTCACACAGATGGGATTTGGGGATAGGTTTGGTTATCCAAGGGGCAGTGCTGAGCTCCTTGCCAATGGGAAACGGAATGCTGGTGATTTCCAGGAAGTGACCTCACAATGACTCAAGCTACTGCTTACTGTTGATTGTGATGAAATGCCAGCTGAGGCACATGCCTTGGGAGCTAAGTGGTTGCTGCACTTGACCGCTATGAAGACTGGTGTGGGAATGGTCCTTTTGGATGCACTTCAGCAGGGGTCCCCAACCCCTGAGCCATGGAGCTGTAAGGAGCCACACAGCAGGAGGTGAGTGGTGTTGAGTGAGGGAAGCTGCATCTGTATTTACAGCCACTCCCCATTGCTCACATTCCCGCCTGAGCTCCGCCTTCTCTCAGATCAGCAGCAGCATTAGATTCTCATAGGAGCATGCATCCTATGCAAACCGTGCATGCGAGAGATCTGGGTTGTGCTGTCCCTATGAGAATCTAATACCTGATTATCTGTCACTTTCTTCCATCAATTCAGATGGGACCATCTTGTTGCAGGAAAATAAGCTTAACATGTCCACTGATTCTACATTATGGTGAGTTCTATAATTATTTCATTATATACTACAATGTAATAATGGAAATAAAGTGCCTAATAAATGTAATGCGCTTGAATCTTTTGGCTCAGCTCCTGCCTCCCGGCAGCCTCTCCAGGTCCAGAACTTTCTCCAGTCGGCCTCTACGGGCCAAGCTTGTGGCTCACAATGGCCTATTTAGGCCCATACCCTACCTCATGGCAGTCTCCACAGATGAGGCTGCTGCCTCATGGCAGCCCCCACAGGCCCAGCTCCATCATTACAATGGCCTCTTTAGGCCCAACTCCTGCCTCCCAGCCTTCTCTCCAGGCCCAGAGAGAAGGTTCTCAAGTCAACCTCACCAGGCCCAGCTACTGCCTCTCATCAGCCTCCCAAGGGCCATCTTTTGCCTCACAGCCACCTTCCAAGACTCAGCTCCTGTTTTACAGTGGACTCTTGAGGCCCACCTTTTGCCTCCCAGTGGCCTGTACAGGCCCAGCTCCTGCCATACAACAGTCTCTTTAGTCCGAGCTCCTGCCTCTGGGCAGCCTATACAGGCCCAAAATGTCCATAAGTCAGCCTCTCAAGGCCAAGCTCCTGCCTTCTTCCGTTGGCCTCTCCAGACCCAGCTGCTGCCTCCAGGTGGCCTCTAAAGGCTGAGGTTTCTCCTGGCTGTGCCTGGAGGCCCAGCTCCTGCCTCACAACAACCTCTTTTGGTTCAGCTCCTGCCCAGCTCCTGGTGGCCTTTGTAGGCCCAAAACTGCCTCAAGTCAAGCTCTCCAGACCCACCTTCTGCCTCCCAATGGCCTGGACAGGCCCAGCTCCTGTGTGACAACAGCATCTCCAGGCCCAGCTCTTGCCTCCCAGCTGACTCTCCAGGCCCAGCTTTTGCCTCACGGAGGTCTTCCCTGAACAAGTTTCTACCTGCCTCCCGGCAGCCTCGACAGGCCCAGGTCCTGCCTCACACTAACCTCATTACGCCCAGCTCATGCCTCACGGCAGCCTCTCCAGGCCCAGCTCCTGCCTCCGACGGGCTGTCCAGGCCCAAAACTTCCTCAAGTCGCCTCTTCAGGCACAGCTCCTGCCTAACACTGGCCTCTTTAGGCACAGCTCATGCCTCTCAGTGGCCTCTCCAGGCCCAGCTCCCGCATCCCGGTGGCTTCTCCAGACTGAGAACTTTCTCAAGTCTGCCATTTCAGCCCAAACTCCTGCCTCCCATTGGCCTCTACAGGCCCAACCTCTGCCTCACAGCAGACTTTCCAGGCCCAGTATCTGCCTCACCACAGCCTCCCAGGCAAAGCTCCTGCCTTTCGGCAGCCTCTACAGGCCTAGCTCCTGCCTCCCAGTGGCCTCTCTAGGCCAAGCTCCTGCCTCATGGTGGCCATTCCGGCCCAGCTTTTGCCTTTTTGCAACCTCTTTAGTCACAGAACTTCCACAAGTGAGCCTCTCCAGGCCCAGTTCTTCCTCCTAGCTGAATCTCCAGGCCCACCTCCTGCCTCACAACAATCTCTTTTGGCTCAGCTCCTGCCCAGCTCCTGGAGGCCTTTGTAGGCCCAAAACTTCCTCACGTCAAGCTCACCAGCACAATCTTCTGCCTCTTGGTAGCCTGGATAGGCCCAGCTCCTGCATGACAATGGCCTTTCCAGGCCCAGCTCTTGCTTCACGGAGGTCATCCCTGGCCAAGTTCCTGCCTACCTCCCAGCAGCCTTGACAGGCCCAGCTCCTGCCTCACACTGGCATCATTAGGCCCAGTTCATGCCTCACGGTGGCCTCTCCAGGCCCAGTTCCTGCCCCTGACAGACTCTCTAGGCCAAAATCTTCCTCAAGTCGGCCTCTCCAGGCCGATCTCTTGTCACACTGGTCTCTTTAGGCCCAGCTCATGCCTCTTGGCAGCCTCTTCAGGCCCAGCTTTTGTGTCCTGGCAGCCTCTCCAGGCCCAGCTCCTGCCTTCTGTCAGCCTCTACGGGCCCAATATCTGCCTCACAGCAGATTCTCCAGGCCCAGCATCTGCCTCACCGTGGCCCCCCACAAGCCAAGCGCCTG